>NC_000013.11:111843441-112148370 GCF_000001405.40 Homo sapiens
CAAATATAATTTTATTTTACAGATGCAGAATTTGGCACATAGACAATTACAATAGATCAGAGTACCAATATTGGCACGTCAATAATGCTGTAGGATTACAGCAAGTATTCATTGAATTCTTTCCATGCCTAGAGCTGTGGGTAACACTGGGAGCACAAACACTGACTTTTTAATGACATATTTCACGACAGCAAGAGGTTATTTTAACATCATATGCCAAAATCCAAATAAAATTTATTTTGTAATGTTTATGTTTTAAAAATCATTTTTCAAAAACCTGACATTTTATTTTTAAGGGATAAAAATATTGCTAATTGCCTTTATATTGATCTGTGGTTTCTGAAAAAAAAAATGGCATGTGTAATTGTCCCATAAAAGCATTTTAAAAGAAATGACAACATGTAAATTAAAATCTATCCCCTGAGGACATCAGCAGAAGCAATAAATTGATAGTGATGAATTTTGTTTCTCTCATCTCAAGTTTCTAGGGATATTTTTCATGCTATATCAATGATAATGAAAAAAAAGAAAATTAACATTTCAGGTTATAAAAATTATTTTCCTGAGAGTCAGGGCCACAATGTGAGTGTTTATTTTTACATAACTGTTTAGGCGTATGGTGGGGAGGTGGGATTAGGTAGCAATAAACATACAGAAAAGAACCTTATCAGCACTTTCCAACATGGTAGCCACTAGCCACATGTGGCTTTTTAAATTTAAATTTGAATTTAACTTATTCAAAATCAAATACAATTAAAAACTCAATTCTTCTTCCTCACTGGCCACGTTTCAGGTGCTCAACAGCCCTGTGTGGTTGGCGGCCACCGTCGTGCACGGGGTAGATGTACGGCGTTTCTGTCGTCACATAAAGGCCTCTCGACAGAGCCGTCCTGGGTACAACACCATCCTGGCTACAGAGCCGTCCCAGATACAGAGCCATCCCGGACACAGAGGTGTCCCGGGTACAGCGCCATCGCGGATACAGAGTCATCCCGGGCACAGAGCCTTCCTGGGTACAGAACTGTCCTGGGTACAGCACCATTCCGGGTACAGAGCCGTCCCGGGTACAGAGCCATCCCTCATACAGAGCTGTCCCAGACACAGAGGCATCCCGGGTACAGAGCCGTCCCGCGTACAGAGCCGTCCCGGATACAGAGCCGTCCTGGGTACAGAGCTGTCCTGGGTACAGAGCCTTCATGGGTACAGAACTGTCCTGGATACAGAGCCGTCCCGGGTACAACACCGTCCTGCGTACAGAGCCGTCCCGGATACAGAGCCGTCCTGGGTACAGAGCCTTCACGGGTACAGAACTGTCCTGGACACAGAGCCGTCCCAGGTACAGAGCCGTCCCGGGTACAGAGCCGTCCCGGGTACAACACCATCCTGCGTACAGAGCCGTCCTGGATACAGAGCCATCCCGGATACAGAGCCGTCCTGGGTACAGAGCCTTCATGGGTACAGGACTATCCTGGATACAGCGCCATTCGGGGTACAGAGCCATCCTGGGTGGGTCTCCGTGCTTTCAGTTGTCATCGGGCAGCAGCATCAGGTCTGGAACGCATCTCTGGCCCTTCATCTAGCCAGCCATTGTGTGTCAGAAGCATCCTCTTGTGTCAAATGCCATTTTTGAGATTATAAACATTGTGTCAGGTTTGATGCCTTCAGAGAAAATTACTCAGACTTTATATAAATATGTGTTCAAATATGGTTTTGAGAAGTTCGCTGACTCAGACCCCGCGAACTGTTAGGAGGTCCCTAAGACCCTGCAGCTGTGTCCCAGGGTACAAGGGTGGCCCCACACAGTGTCTGTGGGGCGGAGCTGGACGGATCCCATCTCCACGTGTCTCCTTCTCCAGCTCTAGTGTGACAACTGACTTAGGAACCAAACACCACTGCCATGCAGATGAGTCAAAACCCATGGGCTCCGCAAAGATTCCACAGGTTCTGGGTGGACATGGTATGGCCTTGCTAAAACAGGACATGGAACCAAAAGCAGGAGTCCCTTCCTTTAGGAAATGCCAGGGTCAGAACAAATAAGCTGACCTGGAATCGCTGCCCAGTAAGAAAGGAAGATCTGTTTCAGCCAACAGCTGCCCACCTCCCTTCTGGACCTAAAAGTCCTCTGTTGAAGCTGTCAGGCCTCAGAGTCAGGGCGCGTTGGCATCTCCCGGGGCATTTACCTGCACTGCCAAGGGAGTGATTCGTGAGTACTAAGAGGAGGTGCCCGCTCTCGCCGCGGGGTCCAGACCATTTCCGATGGATGGGGCGGAGGTTGCCTGCACTTCCTAGTGCTGTCTGCGGTCAGGCTTCCAGCTGCAGCAAGCCCCGGTGGGACCCACAGCCTTGAATTACGAAAATCACAGGCGCAGGACGCAGCCTCCATGCTGCAGAATGGGCACATGCTTTGTGCAGTGGTGACTTTCACACCAGACTGCGTGTGTGCCCTGTGTGGGTGTTCCTGGAGTGTGCCACGGGCCGTGTACCCTGCGTGGGTGTGCACAGGGTGTGCCACGGGCTGCGTGCCCCGCGTGGGTGTGCACGGGGTGTGCTGCCTGCACGCAGCTGCTGGCTGCTACCATTCTGCTCTTGTTTTGTTCCTTACAACCTCTTTGCACTGAAACCCAGATGCAAGTGAAATGGTCACAAAAGAAGTATCTGGGTTAAATGCGTGCTAAACAGGTTTAAAATTACAGCTCATTGTTTGGAAGCAGATGCAAGCCTCAAACAAATGCAAAACATCAATGCAGATGCAAACGGGAGGGCAATTTGAAAATTCAATCCTAAGTGCCTGATACTGTCAGGGGCGAACTGGGCTGGCTTCCCTGGGGGCCTTCGGCCGGAAGGGCCGGCCCCAGGAAGGACAGTGAGGGAGCCGTCTGCTCAGTGAGGGAGGGGTTGATAAGAGCAAAATCCACACCGCTCTTTGGCTTCCTTACAGTTCTCTAATTTCTCAAACAGCGTTAATGATATTTCTGATATCTTGGGAATGCCAAGAATAAAATGAGCTTCAAGCACATTCCTGTGATTTCCTTTGTGAGTAACTTTACGAGGGTGCCCAGAAGGGTTTTCTTTCTCCATATACCCAGAAGCTTCCATGCTTTCAGCAAGGAATGACCCACATTTAATCTTGGGTTGGGTTCATACACATTTCCTCTTTGTTTCCTCCCTGGATATGTTTTGCACGCCAGTGTTGCTCGCATGATTCGCAAGTCCCTAATAACAGGCTCATATTTATGCAGTCGGCCCTCAAGCCTGGCTTCATACGCAAATGCATGGGACATAATACCTGTATTTTATGATGACAACACCGATTATAGAACCTGGATCTGCTGTCCTGGAGTATTCCTGGCAAGTTCTCTGTTTTATAACTGCCCTATGGAGGCAGGGATCTAATGTTGATTGTTACGCGTTTGGCATTTTAATAAGCACTTGACTCTTGTCTCTAGGGGGTAGATATTGTTCCTTTTACTGACCAGTTAGGGCGGTGCAACTTGAGACAGGAAGCAGCTTGCCCAGGGGACACTGAGTGGGAAGCAGAGCCCCTCCCCTTCACCCAACCCAAACCCAGATCTGAGGCGGTCGCATCACACTGATGGCTCTGCCCACCTGGAAGGAAAGGGTTCACACCACACCATCGGCAACTCATTCTTTTTTGTTTTCAGTGTTTTAGTGTCAAGTCAATATTTGAAAAAAATAGAAGAGGTCATGTTTTACTTTTGCTATGTGACTTTTGATTAATCGAATGCTTTCTTTTTTATTTTTTAATTTTTTAATTGACAAAATTGCATATATTGTATACAACATGTTGTTTTGAAATATACATATATTGTGAAATGTTTAAATAGACTAATTATATGCATGGTCTCACATACCATTTTGTGTAGGAGAACACTTAAAATCTACTCTTAGTAATTTTCAAGAATATAATACATTGTTACTAACAATGTAGTCACCACCGTTGTACAATAGATCTCTTGAACTTGTTCTTCCTGTCTAGCTGAAAGTTTGTACCCTTTGACTAACATCTCTCCAGCACCTCACCCCCCTACCCACCGCCCCACCCCACAATCCCTCCACCCCAGTCCCTGGTAACCACCATTCTATCCTCTGCTTCTGTGACTTCAACTCTTTTAGCTCTTTTAGCTTCAACAAGTGAGATTGTGCAGTATTGGTATTTGTGCAGTTGGCTTATTTCACTTAATATAATGTCCTTCTGGTTCATCCATGCTGTCTCAAGTGAGAGGATCTCCTTCTTTAAGTCTGAATAATATTCCATTGTGTATGTGCCACATTTTCTTTATCCATTCATCCCTTGAAGGACACATAGGTTGATTCTATATTGGCTATATTGGCACTATTCAAGTGCTGCAGGGAATGTGGGGGTGCAGACAGCTCTTAGACTTACTGACTCCAATTCCTGTGGGTATATGCCTGCCTTTGGGACTGCTGAATCATATTGTGGTTGTATTTTTAGTTTTTGAGGAATCTCCATACTGTTCTCCATCATGGCTGTAGTAATTTACATTCCCACCGACAGGGTACAAGAGTCCCCTTTTCTCTGCATCCTCACCAAAACTTGTTATCTTTCGTCTTTGACAATGGCATTCTAACAGGTGGGAGGTGATGTGGCATTGTGGTTTTAATGTACATTTCTCTGATGATAAGTGATTTTGAGCATTTTTCATATACCTGTTGGACATTTGTCTGTCGTCTTTTGAGAAATGTCTATTCAGCTCTTTTGATCACTTTCTAATTGGGCTATTTATTTTCTTACTGTTGAGTTGTTTGAAGTTCTTTCATATCTTGGTACTAGCCACTTATCAGATGTGTGGTTTGCAGGTACATTTCCCATCTGTAGGCTGTCTCTTCACTCTGCTGATTGTTTCCTTTGCCATGAAGAAGCTTTTTATTAATATTTTGATGAAATCTCGTTTGTCTTTGTTGAATTTGCTTCCTGTGCTTTTGGGGTCATATCCAAAAAATCGTTGCCCAGATTAATGTCATGGAGCTTTTTCCTCTAGGTTTTCTTTTAGTAGTTTCACAGCTTCAGATCTTATGTTGAAATGCTTCATCCATTCAAGTTGATATTTATATATGGTGTGAGGTAAGGATGCAATTTCATTCTTCTGCATGTAGATATTCAGTTATCCCAACACCATGACATATATTCTTATTCCATGTAAGCTCTATAACTTTGCCATAACTTTGCCAAAAATACTGAAACTTAGCTCTCAGACCAATGGACTGCTTTAAATTATCTTCCCCTTTGCTACTTACTACAGTTTAATATAAAGAGAAATCTTAAAATACCTAAGTGCTGCTTAAAAACATAAACCTCCCTACCATTTGTAGATTATTCATACATCTCCTCTTCTTGGGGAGATGGAGGGAAGAGGTGGGTTCTAGAAGGCATTCTTCCCCAGCTATCTTCTGCTAATAGCAGGCTCCTGATTATCAAGCTGGAAGTGGAAGGGGCTGTGATGCTGTCAAAACTTATAAACTATTAGCTTCTTAATGATAATATATACTATCTGCTACTATTATACACAATAATATATACTAGTGAGTTTCCTATATATATTGACTATTTCACTTAACACCACACTACCAACATTTTACTTATTCAATACCTATTTAAGATTCTACTGCATGCCAGGCACCCTTCTAGGTGCAGAACATACAGCCGTGAACTGTGTCCTGTTGTCTTAAAAGGGGAAGATGGACACTAGCGAATCAACAAGCATGAGGACAGTAGATGTACACACAGGTTTAGGCACCACTGGAAAATTCAAAATAATGTAAGGCTCACATTTTCTCTATGTGTGTGTATATATATCACATTTTCTCTGTGTGTGTGTGTATATATATACACATATATACACATATATACGTATATACGTATATATGTATACATATATGTATATATACACATATATACATGTATATACGTGTATATATACACATATATACATATATACGTGTATATATATACACATATATACATGTATATATACACACATATATATACACATATATACATATATAAATATATACACATATATAATATATACACATATACACATATATACATATATATACACACACACATATGTACATCTACTTGTATGTATATGTATATACACTAGTATATATTATTGTGTATAATAGTAGCAGATATTATAGAGAGAGAGATGAGAGAGAGAGAGGTGGGATTTTGCTATGTTGCCCAGGTTGGTCTTGAATTCCTGACCTCAAGCAATCCTCTTGCTTCAGTCTCCTAAGTAGCTGGGACTATAGGTGTGATCCATCACACTGACTTCACACTATATTTTTAAACGTATGGCCTTGATCTCAAGAGGCAACAGTGCTTTTCCATTTCTATTTAACTACAAAGACTCCCAAAGTACTGCTCTTTGTACTGACCAGTTAGGGCAGTGCAACTTGAGACAGGAAGCAACTTGCCCAGGGGACCCTGAGTGGGAAGCCTGGCCTCGCCCTACTGGCTCTGACCTGGTGTTTGCCCATCACTGTATCCATGAAACAAGTCAGCCTTCCCGACATCGACTGGCTTTAAAAAAGCATCTGATAAAAATATGGTTACTTTTATTACCAAGAAAAATGTTAAAATAGGCTGGGCATGGTGGCTCATGCCTGTTACGCTAGTACTTTGGGAGGCTAAGGCAGGCAGATTGCTTGAGCTCAGGAGTTCAAGACCAGCCTGGACAACATGGAAAAATCCCATCTCCACAAAAAATTAGCCAGGCATAGGGGCCTATAGTCCCAGCTACATGAGGAGCTAAGACAGGAGGATCGCTTGAGCCTGGGAGGTCAAGGCTGCAGTGAGCCAAAATCATGCCCCTGCACTCCAGCGTGGGTGACAAAGAGAGACCCTGTTTCAAAAGAAAAAAAGAAAAAGAGAAATGTTAAAATACGTATGGACATAAAACTGTGTATCCTATGAAAAGCACATTTTGTACTGTAGCCTGAGTGAATATGTTACCCCTATGCTGAGTGCTGTCGTAACTTGCTTCCAAATGCTGAGCTTTTATTGTTTCAGTGTTCTTCTTCACAAAATTACCTCAGCTTTCTATGTGCTTAGTAACTGCTTTCTGGGCGAGTATTGCTTTGGGGTGCATTACCATGTGCTAGGAACGAGGAGAAAGTGTACCCTTCCCCACCCTCCTGCCCTGTGGTGCCCGTGTCCAGTGAACCTGGGTAGGCCCCTAGGCAGGCGAGGGGAGTGTGGGTGCCCGGGAGGCTGGCCTCCGGCAACACTGTTCCCTCCCTAGGGTTGTCTCCAAGGGCTGTTCCAAGGGTGCATGAAAACATTCCAATAGTTCTTGGAAGGAAAACAAATACATTCTACAAAATCTTTAAAAAAAACAATCTTTAAGGGATGCAGCCAGTCACTGCAGGATTCGCGCTGCCTCTGCTCTGCCACAACCACGAAACGTGTTTTCCTTCCGAGGAAAAACCCAAGGTGATTGGAAGTCAGCTTCACCCCATTCTTCTTGCCTTAATTTCAAGGCACCTTGAAGAAAAAAATAGACACCCTCCTCTCTGTGAAAGGAAAATCTTGGGGCACCAAATTACTAAGCCAAAGGAAAAAGTCCAGCTGGGAACTGTTCAGGGCAAACCTGCCTTCCATTCTATTCAAAGTCATCCCTCTGCTCACTGAGATAGATGCATATCTGATTGTCTGCTTTGGAAAGGCTAATCAGAAACTCAAAAGAATGTAACTGTTTGTCTCTCACCTTCCTGTGACCTGGAAGCCCCCTCCCTGCTTTGAGTTGTCCCCCCCTTTCCGGATGGAACCAATGTACTTCTTACATGTATTGATTGCTGTCTCACGTCTCCCTAAAATGTATAAAATCAAGCTGTGCCCCGACCACCTTGCGCACCTGTCGTCAGGACTTTCTGAGACTGTGTCATAGGTGTATCCTCAACCTTGGCAAAATAAACTTCCTAAATTAACTGAGACCTGTCTCAGATTATCAGACTTTACACCCCAAAATATCATTTATTTGTATGCAGAAGATCTCTAACTGGAGGCAAAGCATCCCTCTGTGTAACAGACACAGAAACAGCATTTGTGGGGTCAGATTACCATAAGACCAATCCCATTCCACTTTCAATTTCCCAAACATTTACAGAGAGACTGCTAATTACCCTAGCACTGGTCGGCTAGTACATCTCCCCTTAAAAATAAAAGTATAACAGGATAAAAACATGGTTAAAAATTGGTTGAATTAATTGCTAAACATCTTTAACAATGTTGGAAGCACAGCCAATGTTGAAGAGAGGATTTGGTTTCCTGGTCTAAAAACCAATATTGATTCTACTTGCCTGCACTTACCAAAGATATCTTTTCATGGAGAAACATTCCCATATGTGAAAACTTTTGGAAGCTAAAGTTCGTTAAATTCCATTGGACCCAGGTGGAGAGGGAGCACCTTCAGGCACCGGCACCAGGGGGTCTCCCTGACTTCGCTGCCTGCACCTGTACCTCCCTCTCCGCTCTTGATCAAGACCACAGTGTTGAGTCCCAGCACTTTGGGAAGCTGAGGCAGGAGGGTCATTAAGACCAGGAGTTTGAAAACCGCCTGGGCAAAAAAATTAGACCCTATCGCTACAAAAACAAAAAATTAGCCAGGCACAGTGGTGTGCACCTGTGATTCCAGCTCTATGGAGGCTGAGGCAGGAGGATTGACCTTGGGAGGTCGAGGCTGCAGTGAGCTGTGATCACACCACTGCACTCCAGCCTGGGTGATGGAGTAAGACCCTGTTTCAAAAAAAAAAGAAAAAAGGCCATGATGTTGGGCGTGTCCTCTGCAGGGAGGTTACTGCCCAGTGTGTTCTCCGTTGCCAAACAGGGCTGGCTCATGGTTCCTTTGGAAATGCTACGGCCCACAGGGCTCACGTGACCTCGAATGTATTGCCCATGAAGCCACCGAGGATGGGCATGTGCTGCTGCTCCAGCTCAGGCCTTGGTGCAGACCACACTGCCCTTGAAGGGAAGGGCTGCTGGCTTCCGGGTAACAGTGCCAAGTCCGGGAGATGCTAAACTCATGGACTAGGGGACTGAGGAAGGCTTACCCCTGGGGGGCAGCTGCGTGTTTTCTCTCCCCCTGAAACACAACACAGGGAGGAACAGAAATTCCTGCTGTGACAAAAAAAAAAAAAGTACCTCAATAGGAAACGGGCTCCAAATCCAGTGAATTTGAAAGATACGAGAGTGTTCTCTTCATGGGACCCTAAAAACCAGTTTCTCCACACCTTGGATGTTTAAAATGCAAAGTTACCTGAAAAAAGCAACTTGCAGGGTAAAGCTGTGCTTTGAATTCAGAAGTGTGAGGTTCAGGACGATTTAGAGCAGGGGTCTCCAGTCCCTGGGTTCCCACCCGTGAGCTGTTAGGAACTGGGCCACGTGTCAGGAGGTGGGCGGTGGGCGAGCGAGTGAAGCTTCGTCTGTATTTACAGCTGCTCCCATCACTCTCATGACCACCTAAGCTCCGCCTCCTGTCAGATGAGCAGCAGCATTAGATTCTCACAGGAGTGCAAACCCTATTGTGAACAGCACATGGAGGGCTCTAGGTTGTGGGCTCCTTATGAGAATCTAATGCCTCATCCTCTGAGGTGGAACATCCCAACACCATCCCCCCACCACCCCACCCCCCATCTGTGGAGAAATTGTCTTCCACAAAATTGGTCCCTGGTGCCAAAAAGGTTGGGGGCTGCTGATTTAGAATGTGGATGCGGTGACATCAACCCGCTGGCCTTCAGTCTGACAGCGTGGTGGAGCACCTGATGTAATCCACGTCTGCAGAGAAGACGGGGCACGCGTGGGTGTGAATTGCCCCCTCCCAGCAATTCACAGGCAATTCCAGGCGCGTCCTGGAGCGGGCTGGGGCTGTGGGCCTGATGTGTGGGCCTGCTGTGCCTCGGTCTCCTCACGGTGTGGAGGAGTGCCACTGTTTCTGTTTCTGGGGCTGGGCAGCCCTTTGCAACCCTCCAAAGCGACTCTTCCTGGTCGTGACGGTCTAAACACTGGAAGAAAACCACTGGAAACATATTTCCTGTATTAGTGAAATTACAATTTTTCACAAAAGAGAGTTGGGCCCTCAGGGCCGTGAAGACCATGTGACACTGTGCTGTTCTGCGTCCTATTAAATCCAAAAGGGGTCTTTTGTAAACCTTTCTCCTGTCGTCACCAGGGGAAACTGGAGCACGGTTAAATTCGTGAGGCTGTTTGCTGTGTACACAATGCTAAGCAGAAAATTGAAACCCAGGATTACTGGAGAAGAGACATTGTAGCCAGCAGTACAGCTGCATTATTTCTTCTTTATTAAGTCCAGACATGATAAAGAGCCCCGCTCCTCCCTGGGGTGTGGACAAGTGGATGTCTAGAACCCTTGCAGGCAACTATTATCTTGATAAATAGCCTGGTGGACGCACAGCCTCCCGTGTCCCCGCCTCAGAGCGCGGGAGTGCAGGTCCCATCCCACAAACAGCACTTGAGCCGTCACGAATGAGGGCACACAATACATCCAGGTATTAGTCACACAACTCGGGTCTAAGGGAGAAAGGCTGAGACGCCACGAGAGGTTAATCAATAGCAACCCCACCTGGAAAACGTGTTTTCAAAAACATTTTCACTTCCCACACTCCATTTTCCATTAGCAGAGAGCAGATGGAGCTCAGATGTCGGCCGTGTTGAACTTAGCCCAGGAAGGCGGTGGAGAGGGAGGATTTCTGGGAATCAGCAAGGTACAAGGCCTTCCATTTACATGTGGGTTCAGGCTGCAGGGAGCGCCCAGAGACTCCAACTTGCTCTGGGATGAAGGCCGTCTCTCCAGTCTCCTGTTCAGTGAGAAGCTCCTTCGGTTCCTGTAATTATCTTGTCCTTGAAATGGCCTCACTCTTGCTCCCAGGTGAAGCCGTGGACAGCAGGCATGGGGGGTTAGTATCAGAGAGGGGGCATCGGCCTCCCCAGGGCTGGGATGAGTCAGGTAGACACAAGGACCCCACACAAATAGGTCAATGTCATCGAAGAAAAGCACCAGCTCGGCACAACTCACAGCTCAACAGCAAACCATCCCAAAGCCTCGGGCTCCTTATTCGACCACGGGAATAAAAACAGCGGCCTGGTGGGGGTGCCAAATGCTTCCATGGCTTTGTGGAGCTGTGTGGGCTGCAGCTGCTCATGGCTCCACTGCACCCCGTGTCAGACACTCGACATCTAGCACGGTGGGGCGTGGGGACGGAGCAGCTTTGATGGAGAGGGGCCACAGAGACCATCCTGGCCAGAGGTTTCCTGTGTGGGTGACTCTGCCTCCTGCGGGCATTTGGGACTGGGGGTGGAGGGCATTTGGGACTGGCGGTGGACTAGGGCTCCTGGACACGGTGGATGGAATCAGGATGCTGAAGGGCCTGTGATCTGGGGCCAACCCTGGCCAAAATGCCAGCTGAGCAAACCAGGAGCAAACCTCTGTATTTTACATGGGAGAAACTGAGGCTCAGGGAAGTACAGTGAAGATCCAGAAAGAGAGCAGCTTTGGAGAGCGGACGGAGGGCACGAGGGCACCCAGATGGAGAGGGGCTGGGGCTCACACCCTGCAAACGCAGGGTCCTGAGCCCCCACACCTGATTCATTGTTGTTATTTGGGGCATTTTTGAGACAGAGTCTCGCTCTGTTACCCAGGCTGGAATGCAGTGGCGCGATCACAGCTCACCGCAGCCTTGACCTCCTGAGCTCCAGGGACTCTCCCACCTCAGCCTCCCAGGTAGCTGGGACCATGGACACGTGACACCATGTCTGGATAATTTTTTTGTTTTTATTGTAGTGATAGGGTCTCCCTATGTTGCCCAGGCTGGTCTCAAACTCCTGGGATCAAGCGATCCTCCTGCCTCACCTCCCAAAGTGCTGGCATTACAGGTGTGAGCCACCGCGCCCGGCCACCACGTATCTTGTGAGGGGGTCTTACCACCCCCATATTAGTCACAGAACTGAGGCTGGAGATGTAGCTAATTTCACCGCATCACACAGCTGCGAAGGGCAGAGTGTGGATCTAAAGTCCCTGCTCCTTTCACCAGGGCAGACACACTTCAAAGAAGCTCTTCCTGCCTTGGTGTTTGTTCACAGCCCAGGCTTGTTTTTAAAGTAAGGCAGCAATTTCCTAAACCACCAGAAGCACTGGGACAGGGGAGTTCTGGTGGTAAATGATGTGATCCAACATGATCAGGAAATATGGCCTAGTGTATCCTCCTTGGATATTTAAAAAAAAAAATCCATAAATGTGCTGATTCGTCTACAGTGAAGGCTTCGTGTAATTAGTGTTTTCACTCATCCTGTTAATAGTGAAAAGTGCTAGGAGAAACCTGAGTGCCCGCCGTGCCAGTCAGCACTGACTCAGCCACAAGGAACAGCAAAGCTGAACGTGGGTGCACACACACCAGTGAGTTTTTCTCACAGCACCAGAGGTCCTGAGGCTGCGGCACTGGCATCTAGACAGCCTGGGGGCCCTGACCCTGCAAATCTTCTGAGCCTCCTCATGGCTACAAGAGGGCTGCAGCGTTGCCACCGTCTCCATGCCATCCACTTGCAAGGCAGGAACGGGAGACATGGCCAAGGGGGATGGAAGGTGAGGTGGGCAAGGTGCTGGCCACTTCCTGCATTGGATGGGACATGGGGCTGGGCAGTGCTCCTGCCAGAGAGCAGGTGCTGCAGAGCATCACAGCCTCGCAGCAAGAGCCATGGAGGGGGGGACAGTGATGACAACCCCAGTCCCTCTTCCCATGCAATGTATAGGGGATATGAGGTATGGTTAGTTCTAGATTTCTATAACTTACTCTATGTATATATTTATGGCTACCCGACCTGTACATTATGTATGTTATTTCTATTTGTAGGCGAGACATTGAACGCATTACAAAGCACAGGCGATGCGGTCACAGGCTGCAGACTCCCTTGGTCTCCACCTTGGTGGTGGGGAGGGTGCTCAGTGTGTTTTCTGAAGCAGGAGGCCCCCAGGGCACTCCCATGAGTTTTGGTGGAAAGTCTAGAAATGGGGTTCCTGGGGTGCTTCTTCTCTGGGGTTCTCTAAAGGCTGTGCAGGTGGAACTATGCTGTGTCAACTGTCAGCGATGAGCTGTGGCTGCAGGAAAGGTGGGGGACACCGCCCTGCTGCTGCCCTGGAGGCCCTGGTGTGGAGGTCCCAGTGTGGAGGTCCCGGTGTGGAGGCCCCAGTGTGGAGGCCCCGGTGTGGAGGCTGCTGCCCTGGAGGCCCAGGTATGGAGGCCATGGGGCTGATCCAAGCGGAGGCTCTCAGCTGCCCGAGGCCCTGAGTGCACCCGGCAGGAGCCGAGGGCATCCTGCTGTTTGGAGCCAGATGAAGACCCCCTATCCTTCCGGGGGTCTGTGGTGCCAAGACAAAGTGGGACCACACCTGAGGCTAATGTGCACGCCCAGTGCTGCCTGGGGAGTCAGGGGATGCACAGGGCCACAGCCAGGCCGGCCCCAGTGGCAATTCATCCTGGCTGAGCCCCCCGTCACCTCCTCCTGCAGTCTCTCTCCTCTTCCTTCCCCAGCTGCCCACTGAGGGCATCGCCTGCCAGTCCCGGGAAATCCACGCCAGACCAGGAGGAAGGGCAGGAAGATAAGTGGCTCTGAGTGTTGGGAACAACACAAGGATGAGCCTTCAGTTTCACTTTGTTATACAACTTGACTGTTCATACATGTTACATGCATTTCTAGTGATGCATAGGATGGAGTGTGACTGTTCATAGATGTTACATACATGCATTTCTAGTGATGCATAGGACAGGGCATAGGACTGTTCATACATGTTACATACATGCATTTCTAGTGCTTCATCGGACAGGGTGTAGGACTGTTCATACGTGTAACGTACATGCATTTCTAGTGATGCATAGGACAGGGCGTGTGACTGTTCATACATGTTACATGCGTTTCTAGTGATGCATAGGACACGGAGTGGAGGAGCACGTTTCCTGAGGGAATCGGGAGTCCTCTGGAATCTGGAACTCTGCTCTGGCTGTGCTGTGGTGAAGGTGCCACTGGGCATCCCGGGGGCATTTCCAGCCGTCGTCGTTAGGGGAGTTTCCAGTGGTGGTTAGGGATGGGGAACGGGGAACCTCTCTGGTGGTCGTTAGGAGGCGGGGGGATGTCTCTGGTGGTCCTTAGGGGATGGGGGGACGTCTCTGGTGGGCGTTAGGGGACAGGGAACAGGGGACATCTCTGGTAGTCGTTAGGGGATGGGGGATGTCTATGGCGGGTGTTGGGGGATGGGGGGATGTATCTGGCAGTTGTTAGGGGACGGGGGCACGTCTCTGGCGGGTGTTAGGGGATGGGGAGATGTCTCTGGCGGTCGTTAGGGGAGGGAGGACCTATCTAGTGGTCATTAGAAAGACATCACAGCAGGCGTAGCTTGAGATGTTGATCTGGGAGTCATCAGTCCGAGAAAGCCTCTAGGCTGCCGTAGCACACACAGTGGGGTCTTAACCACAGAAATGCATTTTCTCCTGATTCTGGAGGCTGGGAGTCTGAGGCCGGGTGTGGGCAGGACGAGTTTTCCTGAGGCCTTTCTCCCCGGTGTGTGGACGCCGTCTTCTTCCGGGGGCCTCCACCCGCCGTCCCTGTGTGCGTGTCTGTGTCCCAATCTTCTTCTCTTGTAAAAGAAACGAGTCCGGCTGGATTAGGGCCCACCTCCATGCCCTCATTTTTCATTAATTACCTCTTTAAGGCCCTATCTCCAAACCATCACATTCTGAAGTGTGGGGCCTCGGGCTTCAGCGTGTTCATTGTGGGAGACGTGATTCAGCTGTGACAGTGTCTAGTGCCACGGAACGGGTGGACACGGGGCTTGGAGAAGCAGCCTTTGCGGGGCCTTGTTCACTGGGACACTTTGCACGTCATCGCCTTGGTGCTTCCGGCACCCCTGTCTCCTACGTCCTCGGAAACGGGCGGGTCACACGCCACGTCCTGAGAAGCTCTTGAGCAGCGCTGCATGGAGCTCACCTGGATTCCTCCTTCCTCCGTCTTGCTCTGGGGAGGAGGCTTTGCTCTCCATTGGCTTGAAAATTTATTTCCTGATTTACCCCCTCCAATCTCAGGAAGTCCCCAAATCTATCGGAATCACAAGGCCACCCTGGGAACCGTGGCTGCCAGACTCTTCACCCTGCTTGGCTGTCGGAGGCCTCTGTATTCCCTGCCCTGGGAGGGGCATGCGGGAAAGATCTGGGGCCCCTGCGTGCCAGCTCCCAGTGTGGCTGGAGGGCAAGGGCAGGTCCCCGTCCTCACGCTCCCTGTAGAAAGAGCCGCTGCACCCCCGTGACCGCTCCATGCTGGGGGCAGAGCTGGCGAGAAGCTCGAAAGTAGGGGACTGGGCCTGGTGCGGGGGCTCACGCCTGTAATCCCAGCACTTTGGGAGGCCAAGCAGGTGGATCATGAGGTCAGGAGTTCAAGACCAGCCTGGCCAAGATGGTGAAACCTTGCCTCTACTAAAAATACAAAAATTAGCCAGGCACAGTGGCAGGTGCCTGTAATCCCAGCTACTCAGGAGGCTGAGGCAGGAGAATTGCTTAAACCCAGGAGGCGGAGGTTGCAGTGAGCCGAGATCGCACCACTGCATTCCAGCCTGGGAGAGAGAGCAAGACTCTGTCTCAAAAAAAAAAAAAAAAGAAAGAAAGAAAGAAAGAAAGAAAGTACGGGACTGGAGGTTACAGCTGCCTGGGAGGCAGCCTGCAGGCACAGCCAATTCGTTGTTTGCAGTATAGTTATGGTCTATAAGGACCCCGCAGACACTGCATTAGCAGATCCCAAGACATTTCTCCAGGGGAAATGCGGGGTTAGGTTCCTGTGGGCCTCTGGTGAGCCAATCAATATATAACCTGACTTGCATGTGTCTGCTTAAAGACACCTTATTCAACGTACTGTTGATTCATTAACACTGAACCTGCACCCAGCAGCTGAATGAAGCTCCCCTAAGGCCCCCCAGCCTCTCCTGCTCAGGACACAAGACAGCACCAGGCACAGGGCCATTCCAAACAGCAAAGTCACCGGCGAAGAGCACCAAGTGTGGAAAGCTGGGCACTACGGAGGCCTCGGCCCTGTTTACAGTAAGCGCTGAAATGGGGGGGCAGCGCGCCCTGGCTGTCTCTCAGCGGGAGGGGCACATGCATGGCTCAGGTTCTCCTCCACTCTGCCCACCTCTGCAGATGGCCACGAGTCATTTTAGTGGGCAGGTGAATTCACAAATACAGAACCCGTGCATACTGGGGATCCGCTAAATACACGTCCTAGGAGATCAGAGACTTCTCCAAAGGCAGGCAGCCTAGCAGCAGGTCTTGGAGAGGAGGCTCCGGTTCACGCCCTGGCCCTGCCCTGTGGCTATGTGGCCTTGCTAAGGTTATTAACCTCTCAGCACTCCACTGTCCCTGTCTGTAAGATGGAGTGATTTATGTAACTCCAGGACACAGTGTCAAAGTGAGGTCTGAGTGGCATCATGCCTACAAAGCTTGCCTGGTGCCTGAAGCAGCCTCACTTCTGCCAATGTTAATTGCTGTTATTGTGCTGTTTTGTTATCGTCACCCCCTGCAGAACCTCAGGCTCACCTAAGAGAGAGGACTTGCTGACTGCAGTGTCCAGGGCGCTTCCAGGCCTAGGCAGGCTCTTACTGAAGACGAAGTATCTGATGTTTCTGAAGCCTGAATTCAAGGACAAAGCAAATTGCTCCTCTTCTTATTTAATCTGTACATCTTCAGGCTGCACATTTTCCTATTTGAGATCTGAACTAAATATAGAGAGCCTGTTTCTAAATTTAGTACGATGAATCTCTCTGTTCAATTCTGGAGCTTTTCACTGTCACCAACCAGCACTCCCCACAGAGGTTTAATGATGCAGGCCTTTGATGTGAGCTGAGAGAAAGTGCCCTCTATCAGGGCTGCAGTCTGGGAACAGGAGGGGGAGGGAAAAGGCCCTGAGACCCTCTGCAGAGAGGACAGGGAGAGACGAAGTCACAAGGGAGAAGCTCTCCTACCTGGTATTTGACTCTCCCTGGTTTCTCCCAGAGGAAAGGTCATGTGAACCACGGTGGGAAAAAGGGCAATAACCAAAGAATCAAAAATAATGATGCATATTTGGTGAGAAGGTGACATGGGCTAGAACAACTCTGATTTGTCCTGGAGAGACATGGAAATTGGCATGAATTTAGTAACAGGCTGAGGCAAACAATTAGCCTTTGGGAAGGGAACTAATCACACACTCATTGGGAAAAGTACTTACCAGTTATAATTAGGATTAGCACCTAAAAAAAAAAAAATGAAAGAACGGAACTAGAGCTGGTGTGATAGACATATGGTCTACAGGAATCCAAAACCTTCCCTGATTTCTGCTTTATCATTCTTTGGGGGGCAGGGTGGTCCTTACTCTCATGGTCCAGAATGGCTGCTGATGCTCCAGCCATCAAGTCATGTTCCCAACAGCAGGATGGAGGGGATAAGAAAAATGGTGTACTCCTTCCCTTTTCAAGAGACTACTCTGAGGTCTCATGGAACACACAACTTCTGCTTACACCTCATTGGAAAAAACTTGGTCACATGGTCACATATAATTGCAGAGAAGACCAGGAAATAGTGTAGCAATGTGCTCAGTGAAAAATCATGGTTTAGTTAATTTTGGAAAAAACGGAAAAGGATATTTGGAAGGTAAATGGATGTTTAGAAAGAAGGGACATGGATATTTGGAAGGTAAATGGATGTTTAGAAAGAAGGGACATGGATATTTGGAAGGTAAATGGATGTTTAGAAAGAAGGGACATGGATATTTGGAATGGTACATCAGGCATTCCCCAGAATGAATACGTAACTAGGTGAGCATTCACAACCCTCTGAGAAGGAATATGACAACTGCCTTAGAATCATCCGCAGTCGAGTCTTTGTGGGAGTTAGAGGAGAAAAACTAGGAATGTGGCTGTCAGAAAATATCTGCAGTGACACCCTCTAGGTAAATCAGTGACCACAATGGCACCATGCAGTGGGGAGGGGATTGGCCTTCCTAACAGGATATTGAATTACCGTATTGGTTAAAAGAAGGATGAGGGAGGGGTTGACCTGTTATGGAATTGGTCATGGGAAAATTGCTCCCCAGGAGTAATTAGTGTGCTGCCTAGAGAGGCTGCTTTCAAAAGAGAGGCCATCCTTACACTTGCTCAGTGGACCTGAGCCCCGAAGGACAGCCCGTCTTACACAGGTGCGCACCGCACACGTAGAGGAGGGTTGCACTGCCTCAGCCTCCAGGCGCGATCCACCGTGTGCTTCCATCAGCGTTAAAAATGACCTGAGAGAGAAGACATAGAGATTACCAGAAAAAGCACAATCAGGATTTCCTACAGTGTTCAAGCTCTGTGGGGAGAACGATGGAAGTGGAGGGAAAGAAGGATACGGGGGTAGGACATGCAGACGCAGGAAGAGGGCATCAGCAAGATGCGGGAGCGAAACCCTCCACAGGCAGGAACGCACAGCCTTCTGGTGCACCAAGCCTTCAGGCTTTTCTTCCTCTGCCGCTTTCCTCTGCTCTCACTGCCCTCCTAGTTGGGCTTAGACTAGTGCTATGCTGGGAAATATTTAAAATCCAGCCCAGGGAGTAGGGTTGCTGATTTGCAGCATTGGCCAATTTCTGTGGTGTAAATGCTCCCTGGAGGCAGATTTCCTGCAGCCAGTGTGACGTCACTGAACTCAGAGCTGAAAAGAGTCACACAGTAACCGCCATGGGGCAGCAGTTCAGCCTTCCAGACGGCATGATTCAAAATATCCTCAATACCAGCCCAGGCAACCTGGTGAAACCCTGTCTCTACAAAGAACACAGAAATTAGCCAGGCGTGGTAGCACATGCCTGTAGTCCCAGCTCCTTGGGAGGATCGCTGGAGCCTGGGAGGCAGAGGTGGCACTGAGCTGAGATGTTGCCACCGCCCTCCAGCCTGGGCAGCAGAGTGAGACCCTGTCTCAAAAAAAATAAATAACCTCAAGACCACAGATAGCAGTAAAGTGCTCTAATATAATCAGGAGGTGATGCTTTCTGAATGTTTACCTTGTTAAAAAAACACCATTTATTTAATGTAAGGTTGTATGGCTTGATCTTTATTTTTAATAATGGCGAAGTTCTGATGAGAGGCTTGGCTGCTCTGACAGCTTCCGAAATACCTGTTCATTGGTGCCTTATGAATGTGTGTTCACTTATGTATCATTATGTCTGAAGAAATGACATTCTTACTCCACGGGTGAGCCCTCTTCTCCACGGCATTAAAGTGTCATTTGTAACTTAACCTCTTGTTAACGAAGAGATACATGAACTTGTTGCCAAAATGACTTTTTGACTCTCACTGCCTTCGGTCTTCTCTCTGCAGGTGCTGCTATCACCACAGAGCAGCCCGATTGCGGCTGGCGTGTGCCTGAGCTGGCTGTCCCTCTGGCCACATGTCCGGTGCTACAGGGTCTTCAAGGGTGTGTGGGGCTGGGCAGCATCCGCCAGGCCCAGGCCCCGGGAACTGAAGGTGTTTCCTCCACGTCAGCCTCTGCACCTCCTAAGCACACACCTGCTGCAGGTGCCGGGAGTCAGTGCCTGAGACACCTGAGGACGCCTCCTCCTTGAAGGCTGGAGTCGACTGACTGCATCTTGTACTGATTTTGCGGGGATTTCTGGTCTTTTTTATCCAATGCACGCTGGTCCCCGCCGCTGCTGGAGTGAGGCTGGTTGTCTCTGAGTGGGCTCTGCACCCTCACAGCAGGCATCCTGACCCCTTTCTTTCCCACTCCAAGCTCACATGCTGGATCCCGCACCACAGACAGCCCCGAGGCCGCGCTCACAAGACCAGATGGCCAGCTCGCCATTTCTACCTTTCGGTGTCCAGGAGTTTTTCTTTTGTCTTTACTTGTTTATTGAGGAATGAAGAGTCAATGAAGACTGATCAAGACACTGCCTTGAAAGGGTTTCATGGGCAAAGAACAAAAGCAAATCAAAGGGTTCATCCAGGCAAGGGGCTGACGCTCTTCCCCTGTTGGGGAGGAGGAACAGATGAGGGCGGGGAGGACACAGCCCAGGACTCACAAGGCCCTGCCGTCCACATTTCCTGAGAACTGCGAAGCATCGTGCAGCCACGAGTTTCCCCAGACACCAGCACCCATCCCCAGGCCTGCGGGTCAGTGATTCTAGCTCATCTGATGGGCCGTCCATAGGGAAGGGATGGGCCCGCAGACCTGCCTGTTTGGTTGATTGAAGTGGGACCTCTTTCACGACGAACGCCAGATTGAAATTCATCACAGCAAATGCCTAAGTTTGGAGAACAATATATTTATAGTGAGCTGATTAGATATCAGATGCACCTTTTCTCAACAAGTCGTTCTCTCACCCGTCTGATTTCTAACCTCCTGAAGAGCAAAACCTGTCACCGACCCAGGAGCAGCAGGCAGAAGAGAAATTCCAAAACATCCTGAAGAGCAAGAGGCTCTGTGGAAAATACCAGGGCTTGTGCAGGCGGGGGAGCTCACCGCCCTGGGCCAGAAGCCCCTCACCTGGAGGCAGCGGGTGCTGCCCTGAGTCAGGGCCCACAGGAGGCTTCTGGGCACAGACACACCCTGCAGAGAGGGTCCTGCTGGAACGCTTTGACATTTCTAGGATCTGGACTGTCCACGGGGAGAGACCAGGAGGGCATGAGAAATACGCTGAGTTGGGGCCGGGTGCAGTGGCTCATGCCTGTCATCCTAGCACTTTGGGAGGCCAAGACGGGTGGATCACATGAGGCTAGGAGTTTGAGACCAGCTTGGCCAGCATGATGAAACCCCGTATCTACTAAAAATACAAATATTAGCTGGGCTTGATGGTGCACACCTGTAGTCCCAGCTACTTGGGAGGCTGAAGCAGGAGAATCACTTGAACTTGGGAGGCTGAGGCAGGAGAATCACTTGAACTTGGGAGGCTGAGGCAGGAGAATCACTTGAACCCAGGAGGCGGAGGAGGTTGCAGTGAGCAGAAATCGTGCCACTGCTCTCCAGCCTGGGCTACAGAGTAAGACTCTGTCTCAAAAAGAAAAAAAAAAAGAAACACACTGAGTTGGAACTCACTATATCACAAACATTGAGGCCTACTTGCATAACACAGTTGTTCCAAGCAACAAATGTCACCAAATGCACGCACTGTCGCCCAGTGTGACGTTTCTAAGGTGAATGCACAATGCGAGGACATGGAAGCCTGGAGGATGCGGGAAAGGCGCGTGTGGCCTGTGCTGGGCACCTCCCATCAGCCAGATGCACCTGCGCTCCTGGAGGATGTAGGAAAGGGGCATGTGGCCTGTGCTGGGCACCTCCCGTCAGCCAGACGCTCCTGCACTCCCACCCCGGCCATTCCCTTTCCTTTCTTCCGCCAACTCTTCACATAGCCCATGATTTTGGGGGGAAGAATTATTTACCAAATTTTTAAATCCATTTTTTCTTCCTCAATCTAGACTAATTTCTCAGGTCTGAGGCCTGGAAAGCTTTATTCCCCAGGCCACTGAACTGCCCTCCTGGAGAGCGGGCCAGTGCTATGATTGCCTCTGAGGCCGTTTGAACCTGGAGCTCCCTTTCCTCTCCTACTAAAATCCAGAAGAACGAGAGGTAAATAAACAAGGCTCTCCCAGACAGCATGGGGCAATGAGCCTGTTTCCTGAAGTCCCAGTGGCCACACAGCTGAACCTTGCAAACTTCTTATCAAACTCTCAGCCCAAGAACAATTAGCCAGGATCAACACCCCAGCAAAGGTCATTTGGGTTTGGATTACAAATTGCCATCACCTCAGAGAAGAGGAGAGGGGATCTGTTTGAGAAGAATGTTTCTCTGCAGCTAAGGATTAGCAGGCATCCACAAGCCCGCCCTGCAGAGATCTTCGAAAGGTAAGGCGTGTGCGTGCTTCCTGGGTTGGCTGCGGAAAGGGCTTCTCCAGGATGCAGCCAGATGGACAGGTCTGTGGAGCACTCACTTCTGTGAGGACAATTATCTTGTGTTCCTGAGGGATTGGGGTTTCATCTCTAGGACTCACATAATGTTGCTGCCATTTTCTGTTCCTTCCACTCTCAATTGCTCAGGTGAGGAGTCCTGGATGCATCATGAATTCACTTGGGTTCATGGGTCTCATTGATAGAGGAGAATCTCATCTGTTTGTTTCATGATTTAAAAAGTGGGGGGCTCTGGGAAATAAACCAACAGTATTAGGACACATTAAATGTTATAAATGACATTTAATGGAAAATGTTATAAATGGGATCCAATTCGTTTTAGAAAGCATTTCAATTTAGAGTACGCAGCTTAAATAAACTGGCTTTTCCTGGATCAGGGAAAGAATGAGGTCCAGGAGGTGCAGGATCCCAGTGAACAGCCACGGCCTCCTTGGGAAAACAGAGTATCTGAAATGATGAGGGAAAGGGATGTGGATTTAGCAAACCTTACAAGTTTCACCTGAAACAGAAGACGGCTGCGTGAGGGGAGTTTCCCCTAGTGTTCCCCTTGGCTCCCGGTGTGCCGGCTGGTTGTCCTGCCGCAGGCATTCCCCCCGTCTCCTGCTCAGCTTCCTTGGGCAGGGGGTGAGGGTGAGGGTGAGATGCCCGCAGTACAGCCCTCAGACTTCAGGAGAGGGCCAGTGGGGCTGAGGGTGGGTTCTGCTAAGCTTTCACAATGGCAAACTTTTCCACAGCCAAAGGTGAGAAGCAGAACCTCCCATGTCTCCAGAACTGGCTATTTATTATTTTTCTAGTTATGTGCATTCTTGTTCAGTTGATGAAATCATGTTCAAAAGTATAAAGCAAAAGTACTCAGCACACTCAGTACTTCCACACGGTACTGAGGGTGTGGACACTCTAGAGGGGAATCTTGCTGTTTCCAGAATCACCAAAATGATGATAACTTTGACCCTCTAATTCCAGCCTCAGAAATTTCTCCTAAGGAAACAAAGCTAAATAATGTACACGAAAAGATACATAATAATATAATAGACAATAATTGGTAAGAAAAAGGTGATGAGGGAGGCATTTGTAAACAATGGTGTTAGCTCTGTTGGAATTTTGTTTTGAAATCATTTAACCATATGGAAATTGTGAATGACAATGAAAAATGACCAAGGCAGATATGGATGTGTATGGTTCACATGGATTACATAGACAAGAAAAATTCACACAAAAAGGAAAGCCGGAAAGAAATGAGCGGTCTTTTTTTTAATCTGGTGATAAGGCGTTTTAGCTATTTTGTAGTAATTTTGGATATATTTGAATTTATATTTAGCCTCTTATACTTTCTACTTATTCCACCTGTGTTAGGCGGAATTCCAAATGTCCTCCGGTTCCCTCTCCATCATGGAGGCCCCTCCCCTGGAGTGTGGGCGGGACTGTGAACAGGTGCATCAGTGGCCACTTTGATTAGGCCACGTCACCCAGGACCCGTCTTATGGCCTACCTGCTGCCTTGTCTGAGAGGCCAGGACCTGGGGAGCTTCCAGAGCTAAAAGCAACCCCCACCCAACAGCCAGAAGAAAATTAGACTTCAGTACTGGAACCTCAGGGAACTCAGTTCTCCCCGCAACCAGTGAGCTTGGGAAAGGTCCTGAGCTTCAGATGCCATCACAGCCCTGGCTGCTGTGCTTTCGGCCTGGCGAGACCCTGACCGGAGGACGCAGCCCACCCACCTCCAGACCCGTGGCCCACTGAGACAGTGAGATGATGTGTGTGTGTGCTGTTTAAAGGCACTGAGTTTGTAATGATTTGTCACGCAGTATCACAGCACACAACACCATACACACCTGGTTCACAGTTCTTTGTTTTCTCTTGAATTGTTTTAGATTTGTTGGGTTTTTTCTCTGATTTTTTCTTTCTCCCCCTACTGGTATGGTAGTTATCAATTGTATTTCTGTTCCTTTAGTAGCTGTGGTTATTAACACAAAAAATTAACATATCAGAGTCTGAAGGTAGTCAATAGATTTAGCATCTGTAGGTGACTTTAGAAACAGAACAATTCCGTTCATCTCCTCCATCCTGACTTTTATACTATTGCTGCCACTTACTGGAATCCAGCATTGGTTGTTTTCCTTTTAATTCACTGGACATGATTATTACTGCTTTATACAGCCAGTGTTTACATGGGTTCCCCATGGACTTACCATGCTTCGCATCTCCACACCATCTTTCACTTCAGACCACACAGCTGGGATCACACCCTTCTGCTTAACATCACATTCCGCATTTCTGGCTTTCTGCAGGTGCCTTTCCTCCTCCTCTGCATCTGAAGGACAATTTAGCTGGGTATAGGATTTGAAGCACTCATTTTCTGTCCATTTGTTGAGGATATAACTCTACCTTTTCTGGCTTCCATTACTGATGAGTCAGCTGTTGGTTTCTCCTTGTTAAAAGTAGTTTATCCTTTCTCATTGGGTGCTTTGAAGACATATTCTTCCTCTCATTGCTCATGTTCTTTTACTGTGCTGTATCTAGGTATGCATTTTTCTTTATTATGATGTTTATGAATCATGGGCATTCTTCAATCTGCACAGTCTTATCTTCCATGAATTATGGAAAATCTCAGCTACTGTTTCTTCAAATATTGTCTCTGGCCCAGTCTTACTCTTTCACTTTTCTTTTGAGATTCGGGGTGGATATATGTCACAACCAAATAATACCCTCTGTGTTTTTAAGTCTTCCTCCATATTTTCTGTCTCTTTATTTCTCTGTGCTGCCTTCTCTATAACGTCTTCACATCTATCTCTTCCAGTTCATTAACTTTTTCTTCAGCTGAGCTAATCTGCTTTTAACCCTGTCAATTAAGGTTTTAAATTAGTATATTCTCTTAAAAAATTGTTTTTGGTTTCCAGTTTTCATGACACCTGTCCCTTTACCCCTATTTTAGATCTTTATTTAAACATATTAAACAGACTTTATTTCCTGTGTGTCAAATTTAACATCTTCAGCTGTTGCCATCTTTTTTATTCTCTTTTAGTTTTCATCTCTTTGCTGAAATTTCCCATCTGTTCATGAATAGTGTTCATCATTTCCACTAGTGCCATTAAAGTATTAATCATAGTTATTTGAAGTCTCTGTGTGCAGTAGTTCTGACTCTCGGGTCATATCTGAATCTAGTTCTATTGATTGCTTTATTTTTTAACAGTGAGCCGCCCTCCTCTGACCCTCTGCCTTCCTCCTTTCCCCACCGCCCCTCCGCTTCTCTCTCTCCTTTTCTTTATTTCTCTTACATGTTTTGGTTGAAAATGACACAATGTGTGGGGGCAATACTGAGTAAATATTCATGCCTGGGAGGCTGCAGGTCCTTTCTGCTTGGCTATTGAAGGCTGAGTCGGTCTAGCTGGGAGTTGAGCTGAGTTTGGGATATCTTGTTGCCTTCCAGGCACCACCAGCTTCAACTCCTCAAGCTTCACCAGAGGGAAGGGACTGCTTTGCCACAGAACTTTTCTTGAGGTTTGCTTCATTCTCAGTTTTGGGCTTTTCATTCTCACCGTGCCCCATGCGCTTGCCTGTCCCATGGTAGACTGTGTGTTTCCCACATGGCTCCTGCTGGCCTTGGTGGATGCCAAAGGGCCTTCTCTGTTGTCCTGGTACAGACTCAGTCTCAGGCAGGCATGGCCTCCCTGGTCTTGGAAGGGGAGACTTTTCTCAGTCATTCTTTCTGTCTCTGGGCAATAGGAAATCTGTAATGATTCAGACGCAAGATGGTTTCCTGCGCCTCACCCAGGGGTAGAGGGTTTTTCTTTTCCCTTCCTCCAGCCACATCGGGTTTTCATCTGTACTTTCAGGGGGAGTGACAGGTTTTGTTGGAGAAGGGTCCAGGTGAGGCTTTCTGCCATCCCACTCATGCCTGTGACTCTTGCAGGTTTCATGATCTCACATTAACCCACACTCTCAGCTAAATTCCTCTCGCCTGTCTCTAACCAATGGGCAGCCCCATCCTCTTCCTGTGCCCCAAGCCAGGTGAGACAACACTCTTGCCCCATCTCTTCTTGCAGGCACCTGTTTCTCTCTAGATTTCAGTCTAGTTGGATGACCTGCACCCTCAGCTCTCTGAGGTCCAAGGGAAGGCATGAGGATAGATCATCAGCTTTGTCGTGTGGCCAGGCATAAGCGACTGTCCTTCCCAGCTGCCTGGATCTGCTATTCAACTTCCAGCAACTGCTCACTATGATACCTTGAACCAGTTCCCTCTGAGCGCACTCCATTTTTCCCCCAATCCTTTGCTATTTCAAACACCTCTGTGAAAAATACCATTATTTCTCACACCTGTGAGTATGCCTGAATAAATGCCTAGAAGTGGAGTCGCTGAGTTGAAGGGATGCCGCCTCTGTAGTATTGACAGGAATTGCCACGTTGCTCTCTGCAAAGGTTGTAGGGGCTCCCGATACACAGCTCCCACCCTTACCATGGTTTTTTTTTTTTAATCTTTACCTGCTTAAGAAATGAAAAAATTGTTTCTATATAGTTTTAATTCACTTTTCTCTTATTAAAATGTGGTTCAGCTTCCTTTCATTTTAAAGCTATTCGCATTGAACTACAGTTAAAAATAGTGAAGTTTTACGAGTTTTTTACGACAGTAAAAAGCTAGTTACATTCTTGTCTATGAACTAAATATTCATATTTTAAACCACTTACAATTCATGTGTTGGTCTTTGTTCTGTTTCAGTTGTTTCTTCTGGGTTTCTGTGTAGATATTTTCCTCGAATAAGGCTAAAATTGTATTCTCCTTTAAATAATATTGGGAAGTGTTGGCATTCCTGTTTTCCCCTTGACTTTACCAGAAATCCTTTACTACTCTCAATTAACTGGGGGTTGGCTTTTGGTTTGATGGGGTCAGTATTTACCAGAAGAAAATTTCTATTCCTAGTTTCTTAAAAACATCTTTTAGTCATGAAGCATTTTGTTTTCCCCTTGAAAAATGTAATCAAAATTAAAATTAGTATTGCATTTAATTTGTGAATTTGTTTCAGGAAAACTATAGTTACATAAGTTTCTGGCGTTTAATCCTATGCATAAATGGATTAAATATTTACCACCAATCCTATCTACCATGGCACTCCCATTCTGGAGTCACTGCTTAGATTCTTTAATTAGTTCATCTATATATTTGAGTATTTTTTAAGGAACAATATGTGGAGGTTTGTTTTCTGAATTCTTAAGTAAGAATATCTTTCTCTTGCCTTCACCTATGAACAATAATGTGGCTAGACAATTCCTGGCCCCAATTTTTTACCCTCAGAATCCCGTAGTCCTTGCTCTATTGTAGCCTCACATCAAAACCAGCCTGATGTTTTTTCCGTTTAATATTTTATAAGCATCTACTTGGTTGCATGTCGACATTTTTATGCTTGGAAAGGAAAGATTTACCTGGGCTGTGTCTGCTTATAAGTCTTCCTTTTATTGTTTATTTTACTTGGAGTGTGGCATGTCATTTCAAACTAAAGATTCAGGTCTTCAGCTTAGAAATGTTTTCTTAAATTATAACTTTGACTCTTGTGTCTCTTTCACTTATTCCAGCCTCTTCTTCAGAAATGCCAGTTCCTTGTGTGTTTAATGTTTGCCGTATGTCCCCTGAACCTACTGCCTCCTTCTCACAGCGTTTGCTTCTTTGTTCATTTTCTTTACTTTCATCCTCTGTATCATTGAGCCAATGTTCTGCAACTTCATCTGGGATTTTTCTTTTCCAACACTGTTAGAAATTTTGCTACGATAGTCTTTCTTTTATTACATTCTTTCCATAATTGTTCCAGCTACTAGATAAAACTAGCCAGTTATCACATCCTTTAGCTCAAGTTCGTAGACTTCACGTTGTCATTATACTTTACGGAGAATGCAAAGCAGGTATATAAAACTTCCTTCTTTTTCCTGTAGTTAACCTTTTTCAAAACTGTGCTAGTCTTCTCCCTCAAATATTAGGTTTATCCCTTTTGTATAGAAAACTATTTCCATAGATGTTGTATGAAGATTTTGTTGTGCTTTCTGTAAACTTGCCTTTGGATCAGGAGAGGTTTACGTCAGCCTGGTATTTCCCTTGAGTGTTGTCTCTTAGTTTGTTCACTGTTCACCTGTGTGCTCTTAAAATTCTGTTATTTGCTTTTAAGCTAATAAATCACTTGATGATAATGTATATCTTTGTTTGGTAGTCTAACAGCATGGCCAGGCAGAGGTGCTGGGCAGGTGGGCAAACCTGCATATTAGTAGCCTTGTTTTTTCAGTACAGATGTGAGGTTGTGTGGCTTCCATTCTGTCTACAGAATGTGGTTGGATCTGAGTTTGTTACTGATGTCACCATCCCTGACATCCAGCAGGATTGCCATATTTCCTAGGAGGATGCCTGTGCATCAGAAAGAATGGAAGCAGGAAAAACTCTCACCACCCATGCTTGTTCTTGGGTCTTCTGACTGAGGGGTTTCAGATACTCTGCCACATAGCCATGAACTGTTCCAAACAGGAGTTCAGTGTCTCTCCCTCTAACAAGGAGACTTTTTGTATAGTTGAAGCCGAAATTGTTTCTGCTTGCATTCCATGACATTGCATATTTTCTCGAGAAAATCAGCTTGGTGTTCCACTGGGTACCAGATGCACTGTGATCGCTAAAAGAGTTTCGGGACTTCCATTTCTTACTGCAACACCTTAGCATGGAGCAGACCAGCCTTCCCATCAAGAGCCTGTAGAAGAGCATCACAGAATTCCTTCGAAATATCTGTGAGGGCACTGGAGAGCCACTAGGCCAGCTAGAGGTGCAGGGCCAAGCCCAGGGGATGGGAACTTGCTGAGGAGAGCCCCTTGTTCTGTACAGCTCTTGCTTCTGGGCCTTGGCTGATGTATAAACACCGCAGGCCAAGAAATGGAAACTCTCTGCAGAGCTCAGACCTCTCAGACCTCTGAGGAGCTAAGGGCACTAAGGGAGAGCTAAGAGGAGAACTTCTAGAAGTTTCACGGAGCTGGTGAGACTAAAAGTGGAGTTCAGGTTACAAAGGTAGTTGTGGCTGGAGGAACTCGGAGCCCAGACAAAAGGGGCAGACGCATAAGTGTGGGTGGTCTTTCAGCTGGAGGTGTTGCTGAATCCTCGCCATTCAAGGCAAGAGATCCAGCCATGGCAAAGAGCCCAGTGGTCTCGGAGTGCTTGGGATATAAAGGTTAGAGTCCAGGGCCCACTGAGGAGGAATTAGGAAAGCACTCCGGACTACTCCAGATTAATGTTTTACTCAGGAGATCGGGAGCGGGGGTGCAGGGGCTGAAGAAGATCCCCCAACCTTGTACACAGGTGTTCCCATCTAGTAAGCCAGCTGCACAAAGCTGGGACAGCCAAGAGGACAAGTGTCCCCGAGGGCCACCCCCATGTCCAAAGTAGAGTCACCTTCTAAGCTGACACCTCTGTTCTGCAAAGCTCCTCTAAGGGCTGATGATTTTTGGATGCCAATAATCTTGCAATGGGAATTAGAAGCAAACAGGCGTGGTGGGAAATGTCACAAATGCTTTGACTCTGCTGGTGGGGACGCTCTTGTGTGGAGAGGCCGTGGTTGGGGTTTGATCCCAGCTCTGCCACCAGGCAGCTTTGTTCCCTTAGTGCCTCGGCTTTCTTGTCTGAAGGGAATGGGCTGAACAGTTCTCTCTGGAGCTCCATTTGGCTCTGAATTGGGGTGCTGGGGATGGCAGTTGAATTGTGGTTCATTGCTATGCATATAGAGTGATGCCATCATTAAACTTGACATGAGGCTGGACAGTTAAGGCATTGGGCTAGTATAAAAGATATCCAGATGTGGCGGATTTGCATATTCATGCCTCACTGCTATTCCCAGGGAATCTGAAATGTCAGAACTGTATTCACGCCAGTTGTGGGCCTGCAGTGTCATGGTCCAAGGTCTGCTTGCCAAGCAGAGGAGGGCATCATACAGCCTCGCCGTGCAGAGGAGGGCGTCGCACAGCCAAAATCATGAAGTTGGGATGATTGTTGTTTCCTTGAACCTCCAAATCCCCAAAATGCCTCATCAGCCACTAAGTACTTAGGAAAAGTCCGCATATTTAGTGAAATTGGTGAAGTAATCACATTAATTTCAAGTGCAGAATGAAGGTAGCCTCAGCCATGGTACAATTTAAGAGGTGAAAAAATTGCTTACCTCCAAGAAGGCGACTGAGACAGGAACATGCATGAATTCACTCTGAACGTTGCCAATGTCAAGTTAGGTCCAGGGTGGCGGGGGCAGAGCTGCTGTTGGGCTCCAGGCCCAGCTGTCTCTAGTGGTCAGCTCCACCACCTCCTAAAGACTAACCTAGTCCAATCCATGGTTTTGTAGAAATAGAGGAAGCCCACCCAGATGAGAAAAGCAGAGCCCCCTGACTTGCTGTAGCATGGAGCCCAGCCATCATCACTGTGTTTGGAAGAGACTCACACACAGGCAGAAGACCAGGAAAGCTTCAGAATGGAAGAGGGGAAGGCTCAGGTGTGCCCGCACGGGAGGCTGTTGGCCTGAGGATGGTGGCAGCGGCAGACTAGAGACAGGGATCCCGTGTGGTTGGCGAGGGGTGCGTACTTGGCTTTCTCTATTAGTTCTGAGTTAGAAGTAGGGACAAAATTTACAAAGGCCGACTATTAATCAAGTGCTGGCCACTAGGGGCTGAGTGTTATGAGGGTGGTCATTTGATTTCCTTCATGGTTACTAGAGATTGACAGCAGGCTGACTTCCTGGGTCAGTTGCTGTAGATCATGGGTTGGTTTCCTGGGACCCGGGTCAGTTGCTATAGATCATGGGTTGGTTTCCTGGGACCCGGGTCAGTTGCTATAGATCATGGGTTGGTTTCCTGGGACTCGGGTCAGTTGCTGTAGATCATGGGTTGGTTTCCTGGGACCTGGGTCAGTTGCTATAGATCATGGGTTGGTTTCCTGGGACCTGGGTCAGTTGCTGTAGATCATGTTGGTTTCCTGGGACCCAGGTCAGTTGCTATAGATCATGGGTTGGTTTCCTGGGACCCGGGTCAGTTGCTATAGATCATGGGATGGTTTCCTGGGACCCGGGTCAGTTGCTATAGATCATGGGTTGGTTTCCTGGGACCCGGGTCAGTTGCTGTAGATCGTGGGTTGGTTTTCTGGGATCCGGGTCAGTTGCTGTAGATCATGGGTTGGTTTCCTGGGACTTGGGTCAGTTGCTGTAGATCATGGGTTGGTTTCCTAGGACCTGGTTCAATTGCTGTAGATCATGGATTGGTTTCCTGGGAAGGTTGCTGCAGGTCGTGGGTTGGATTTCCATCTTTCTGGACCACCTGGCCATTGTCCATTGGTATATTTAGTCTCTCAGTTTTTAAATATAGACAATGAGACCAAGGTCTTTCCCAAAACTTTAGGGAAATCAAGATCGCGCCCAATTCAGTCGCCTCATTAAAATATTCTAAACATCTTTTTAGGATGAAAAAAAATACTTGAATCCAAACAGGGAGAGCGGGATGATATTCTGAATCCAAATGGAGAGAGCAGGATGATATTCTGCTCTCGAGTAAAGGACACACACTCTAGTGGGTTATATGTGATCCCATAACAAAGAGGCAGAGGTCTGGGGGGGGCCCAGACCCTGGGGGATGAAAGTCCAGGCTTGAGGCTTTCGGGTGACGGAGCCAGAGTGCGGGGGAAGATGAAAGAACACCCGAGACTGCCCAGCGCCCACCACGCAGACCCTGTCATGTCTGAGCACACTTTGACTCATGACATGGCTTGATTTTCAGGTGACTGAATTTTGGCAAGGGTGTGCCCTGGAGAGCGTGGACAGGAATATCTCTATTACCGAAAGCGCACACATGGGCTGCCGGTCCTCTGTGAGTTTGCGTTGCCTGAGGGGGCAGATGGATAAAACCATTTACGGGCATTCAGACTAGACAGGTCCTACCCCAAGGAGGTTTTGATCCAGGGTTCCCTGTGGGAGCTCGGCCCTCAGGCCATCATCCTCAGCCTCTCTCTGGTGCCTTTTGAGCAACACCACAGCCCTCTTGGGGTGGACATAGAGGCTCTTAGTCAGTGCTGTGCTGAGCCACACGGGAGCTCGAGGGAAAAGGAAAAGTCAGTAATTCTGATGCTGTCTTTATTCCCAAGTTTGATATTTTGTTTTTCACAGATTTTTACATTGATGTGTGTAAACACTGCATTAAAATATTCTTTCTCTCAATGCCATTTTGCACCCAAGTGACTGTCTGGCCTGAGCCTGGTCCTGCCCGCAGTGTCCTGAAGACCCTAACAGAATGCTGGGTCTCTTCCTCCCCCAAACACTCCTCTCTTTACTTTATGCATTCCAAAGCTACTCAGCTGAGCCCTGATGCAAGGGAAAATGTGTAGTTAAAAATCCATTGTATGTGACGACATAATGTAATACAAATTGAGCAATGCAACATTGCTCCAAATTTTAGAAGTAACAGCAACAGAGAGACCCACTTACCATTCTGTTATTAGGGACAGATGCCTTCCTGCTTTTGAGCTTGGGAAACCCAAGTACTGCTAGACAGAGTTTCAGACACGGCAGACCATGTTACCAAATGAGAACAGAGTGAGATGGGTGAATGCTGGCCACATGCACCAGGAAGTGACATCCACGTGCACAGGAGGCCGCCCTGTCCACCCGGCAACCTCACTGCCCAGTACAGGGAAGCTGTTCATCAGACCGCAATGAATCCTCCTCCTTCTCGTGTGGCATTCCTGCTTGGACAGTGGCAGCATCAACAGAGTCCTCCTTGATGCAAGGCATGTGACAAATCGATGATGCTGAGGAGGATGGTGACATTTCAATGCCCTGGAAGGAGAAAAACTATAAGAAGAGCCTGATAAGGTGGGCACTGGTCTGTGCAGGGCATGGACCTCTAGGAAGAGCAGCACTGTCCCCCTGAAAGTGGCTCCAGTGAGTGCCGCTGCATGGGAAGGAGGCTCCCCTGGCAGCCTCCAGAGGACACTGCGGTGCACACAGAGGGCAGTGGGGTGAGTTCATGGGCTGCTGCATGACATAAAGGACGCCCAATGGAATTTGAATTTTGGATAAGCAATGAAGGCTTTTCTAGTATAAGTGTGACCCACATTGTGCACAGGCATCCTGTATTTTTACTTGCTACCTCTGGCAACCATGAGTGTGAAGGCTCAGAGGGCATGGAAGTCTCTATTTGTGTCTCCCATGCAAGACTGCTGGCAGCTATTGAGAGCCCAGGCGAGGGTACCTGGGTGAGCCACGGCTCCTTCTGTCCCAGCGGGGCTGTTGGGAGCTCAGGAACCTGGGTGGTTTTAGCTCCAGGTCTTTGTAATTTCTTAAGAAAAGCCACCGAGTTAGAAAGAGGCAGGAGAAGGGGAGGAGTTGCAGGGAAAAGGGAAGGGAATGATTAAGAGGGTATAGGACTACTTGATTTATGGCTTATGGGTAGGAATAGAAAGAACTAGATAGGATTTACCTTAATCGTACAGTGACTAATTGCTCAAAGATCGGTGACAGAGATGAATGCCGGTAAATATCTTTCTGGGCAAAAGCATCAAAGGTGATTAAACTCTGCTAGAATTAAGGACAATGCAACAGGGTTAAGAAAAGAGGGAAAAACATTTGTAAGATGAAGAAGTTTTCTCTAAAACCTTACCGCATCCTTATCCATCATGGGTCCTGCATGCTACATTGATCTCTGGTGTTTTACCCACTAACTTGTTCTTTGGATGTTTTCCTCATTCCTGAAAACTTTTGCTCCAGCCCTTTGGAAGTCACTATGGAATGGGGGTTTGGTGAAGGAAAGAGGAATCCGGGGATGTTTCTGTTTCTAAGACATGAAGTAAGCACAGTGTATTAGGAGAAGTGCAAAATTCTAGGGGTGGATGAAAATATCTTCCGAAGGTGGGGCAGGTAGGCAAGAAGCAACAGCACCCAGGGTAGCTACAATTTGCTTATAGACGTACATCTTTGGGACTTACTTCACACCAGGGTCTCCAGGGAATGAACCAGACAAACTTGCCAGGGAGAAGCTTCTATTTGGAAGGAAGGTCCTCCTTAGAGGCAAGCACACAGTTCTGAATACTGGGAAGCTACTGCAGGATCCAACTTTTCCTTTCATCAGGGCGTGGCGGTGAACTTCCTGTACCGCATGGCTGGTGAGAGCAGAGATGAGGCCTCAGTGCATAAACCATCCCCCCAGCCACCCCCACCCCATCTGTAGCAGCTCTGTTGACCCAGGTGAACTGATGAATGCTGTGCCCCTTCATGAGGGGGGTCTTCAAAGCATGCCACCTGCTTGTGTTGGTGACAGAAGTGATCTAGGAAAGGAACTCTCTACCAGACAACAGCTTCGTGAACAATTTTGATCCCATGTTTATACATTTAAAGTCTGAATGAGCTATTTCAATTTTTGAAATGTATCATTTATTGCATGTTATTGGGAATACAGTGTTGTTTGAGAATTTGGGGAGGGACACTCTTAGGATATGCCCATTACAAGTGTTGGGACATACCGTCATTTTTTTTATGGAGAGTAAAAAAGGGAAGAAAAAGAACCCCCCAACTTGAGTTGCTGCAACTTAGCTAGCAAGCCGACTCACTGTAGTCTCCCATCTGGAGAATGTCGCTCCTGCCTGCCTGTCGGTTGGACGATTAGAGGCTGAGTGGCCCTTCCAACGTGGAGAAGCGCGTTTGATGTACATTTTCTTCATGTCCATCAGCTCCCAGGTATGAACTTGCTGAAGGCTGCCCCAGGAACAGGACGGATACAGAATCAGAATCTTGGTTTTATAGAAAATACAGTTAATGATCCTCCGCGTAGAAATTGGTCTGTAAGAATATTATAATATATATTACGTGTGCACCAATCATTCTTCTCAGAACAACAGTGAATGTATTAGTCTTTTATTTACTGGGTTGTTTTTATTATTTGTCAACTATTTAGTTCAGCAATTAGAATATAAGCTTCAAGGCAAGAATGTGTATTCATAATTATAATTAGGTTTCGGAAAAATTAAAACCAAGTGAAAATAAATGGCTCCCTCTCTAGAAGAAACTTGCTGCTTTGTTGTCAAGTTAGCACTGAGGCATTAAGAATTGTAGATGGCTTACAACCCACTCTTATTTATGTAGTAGGGAATGCAGGAGCAAAGAATACGAGCAGCTCCTCTGCACATCTGTTCATATGAGGTGACTTGAATGTTCGTTTTGTGTTTGGTGCCTCAAGTCCAAGCATATTTAAAGCCAATTGGTAAGGACCTAAAGTTGGTGCATTGAAATTTGTGACTTTCTTTGGTATTATCCTGTTGACTGATGGTGCTGGTCTTACAGATTCTCTGGGGTGCAGTCAGGAGCAGGCAAACTGGCAATTTTAACACATTATAAGATGGTCTGGAAGCCCCAGAGAAAGCAATCCCCTGAGACGCTGGCAATTTTCTTTTTTTTCTTTTTTATTTTTTTATTTTCATTTTATTTTATTTTTTCCTTTTTTTATTATATTTTAAGTTCTAGGGTACACGTGCACAACTTGCAGGTTTGTTACATCTGTATACATGTGCCATGTTGGTGTGCTGCACCCATTAACTCATCATTTACATTAGGTATTTCTCCTAATGCTATCCCTCCCCGCTACCCCCACCCCATGACAGACCCCAGTGTGTGATGTTCCCCTTCCTGTGTCCAAGTGTTCTCAATGTTCAATTCACACCTATGAGTGAAAACATGTGGTGTTTGGTTTTCTGTCCTTGTGATAGTTTGCTGAGAATGATGGTTTCCAGCTTCATCCATGTCCCTACAAAGGACATGAACTCATCCTTTTTTATGGCTGCATAGTATTCCATGGTATATATGTGCCACATTTTCTTAATTCAGTCTATCATTGATGGGCATTTGGGTTGGTTCCAAGTCTTTGCAGTGTGGTGATTCCTCAAGGATCTAGAACTAGAAATACCATTTGACCCAGCCATCCCATTACGGGGTATATACCCCAAGGATTATAAATCATGCTGCTATAAAGACACATGAACATGTATGTTTATTGCGACACTGGCAGTTTTCTGCCTCTTGGAAAGAATTAAAGTCAACCTGAAGCAGGCCTCTCTGGTTCAGCAAGCATGGAACACAGCAGCTCCCTGGAAGCCCCCATAGAGCTTGTATGGCGACCGTAATATAATGGTGCTTGCAGGGGGCGAGGGATTCTTTTTGCCCCTCTGTGCTGAGGAAACCATTTCACTTTCTTGCCTGAATAAAAATGTTGCTGTTGTTTAATATAAGTAGCAGGAGGAGAACCCAGCACAGCAGGTACATGGCATCCAAAGACTCTCTGGAGAGACCTGGAGTTTTGTTTGGTAATGTTTTCTCTTTTAGGAGTGTCTCAGAGGTAACTCTGTGCTTACCTGATGACCCGTGGTCTGTCTGCCATAGGGAAAGCTCACGTCCACTCTGTATAAGCAAATAGCCCCTCCAGAGGGCCACCTGGAAACAGTGCTTGCTGCAGAAACCCTGCCGGGGGACTCAGGAGACACGGGGTTTAATTCTGCATAACCTTGGCGACTGCATAACCCTGGGCCAGTTGCTTGACTTCTCCAGGCCTTGGTTCCTTTATTTTCAAAACAAGTTTGGACTTGATCTTTTCTAGCTCTCAAGTTTTGCAATTCTATGTTTTATTGTTATAAAAATGTATTCTAAGCTCAATGTTTTTCTGACAGAAATTCGGGCTCATTTTGCTCAATCACTCTCTAGAACCAAAATCCAAAAATTAGAGCAGCCTGTGTGTGCATGTCCTCTTCCCACCAGAGCCCCTGAGCTCTGTGCTTCTGCTACCCAGGGCTGTTCCCGCAGTCAGCTGGAGCAGGGCCCCTGAGCTCTGTGCACCTGCCACCCAGGTCTGCTCCCACAGGCAGATTGAGCAGGACCCCTGAGCTCCCTGTGCCTGCCTGTTACCCAGGACTGCTCCCACGGGCAGATGGAGCAGAGCCCCTGAGCTCCGTGTACCTGCCACCCAGGACTGCTCCTGTAGGCAGATGGAGCGGGGCCCCTGAGCTCTGTGGGCTTGTTACCCAGGGCTGCTCCCGCAGGCAGATGGAGGAGGGGACATCCCACATCCCACATACTTTGGGATGTGCTCTTGTGCATATGGTCGCTTAGAAAACAAGGCATTCATCACGATTAAGTTGATCTCATTACCAAGCAATAAATTGGAAATTGCAATAAAATGAGGTTGATTTCTGACTGGCAAATTTTGGTTTCAGGGCGGAAAGGAAATAATCATATTTAAAGCTGCAACAGCTGTTGCATCGTATTATATTTTAAACCCTTTTAGAGGAATTAGTTAATTAATTTTAACATTGTTAAACTCTCTTTAATAGTGTTCCAAAATACCTAGCAGTGATTAATCATGATCGGAATTTTTATCAGTCATGATCTAATACGTTTTCCCAAAAAGAAGATTTCATTGCACATTAAAATTACTTAGTTCATATTCTTTAATTGTAGATCTTAATCCTGTTTGAAAATATAATCTTTATCCATTCAGTGTCGTGCAAAGTTAGTGCTTCTCCTCAAAAAAACATTTTCAAACTTTGCTTGGGTTCTTTTCTTCCCCTTTGCTAAGCCATATCATTTAATTTCATGTGGCTTTAATGAGTAATTGTTTTCAACAGTTTCTAAGAGTTTCAGTCAGCAATATTTCATTCCAGAATAAAAGGTAATGATCCGTAAATTCCTAATGCCATAATTTTATAGCCAGTAAATTAGTCTTTAATGGGTTCAATAAGTTCTGTGATGTATGTCATTAATTGTTAATGGTGTTTTAACTAGATAATTGTTAGGAAGGGCTGTTTATCATCACCACCGGTGAATGACTGATCCCTAGTTTTGGTTCCACTTCATATCATGGAGCTTATTTTATCTGGCTTTGTGTGCTGAGAGCTGATGAGGTGCGCGAAACGCACAGGCCAAGCATCCCCTTCCCACATTAGCATATCCTGCACTGAGACACATAACTCTACAGCCTTCCATGCCAATTTACTTTATCTTCTGTATCAGTTAGCTGTTGGTCCTGTTATGCTGGGTAACAACCCACACCAAAACGCAGTGGCTAAAATAACCATTGTTCATGCTCACTGTGATGGTTGGTTTCACGTGTCACATTGGTGAGACTGTGGTATCCAGTTATTCAGTCAAATAAGAATCTCGTGTGACCGTGAAGATACTTTGTAGATGTTAACATCATGATCCAAATATGAATCATGTTTGAAATCTCCTTTCTTGTAGAAGATTGTAGATCTCCCTACAATCAGGAGACTCTTGAGTCAAGCAGACGACTCTCCCTAATGTGGGTGGGCCTCATCCAATCAGCTGACATTCTTAAGAGCAAAGACCGAGGCTTCCCAGAGAAGGAGGACTGCAGTGTTAGCTCCTGCCTGTGTTTCTAGCCTGCAGCCTACCCCTCGATCCTGGACTTGCCAGCCCCCCTCGCACATGCGCAGGTTCTGTGGAGACGGGCTGGTCTCCTGTGGGCTCGGCTGGGGCAGGCTCTCCACTGCAGGTTGGGTCCACCTCTGTGCTTGCACCTCTCCTCCTCCTTGAGCAAGAAGGCTTCCAAGACATGCTCTTCCTGTGAGCAGCAGCAAAGAAGCAGGAGGGCTAGCCTCGTCTTTTTTTTTTTTTTTTTTTTTTTGAGACGGAGTCTTGCTCTTGTCACCCAGGCTAGAGTGCAATGGCATGATCTCTGCTCACTGCAGCCTCCACTCCACCTCCTGGGTTCAAGCTATTCTCCTGCCTCAGCCTCCCAAGTAGCTGGGATTATAGGTGCACGCCAACACACCCGGCTAATTTTTGTATTTTTAGTAGAGATGGGGTTTCACCATGTTGGCCAGGCTGGTCTTGAACTCCTAACCTCAGGTGATCTGTCCGCCTCAGCCTCCCAGAGTGCTGGGGTTACAGGCATGAGCCACCGTGCCCGGCCTGTGGCTTCATCCTTTGAGCATATTCCTCGCTGGTTTCAAGTTGGCCAACATCTCATTGGCCAATGCAGATCACAGGATGGAGCCCACAGTATGGGGCAGAGAAGTTCCCTCCACTCGTGTGGGAAAAACTATAAAGTCACTCAGCAAAGACAGGAGACAAAGGAAGGGTGGAGGAGCGTGGCAACAATTCCCTCTATCTCAGCTTCTCAGCCAAGTGAGGCCAGAGACCCAGGGACCCCAACAGACACATCTCCCAGTTGCTTCTTACATATCCTGGACCAGAGAGAATTAGTTCCAGCAAGTCAAAGACACACTCAAAGCTCCCGCAGAGGTATGGTTTTCTCTAAAAACCCCACCAAGGCGCCACTGGAGAGGAGCACAGAATTCTCATTTGACAGCCTTGATGTCCATCATGCTCACTGCCTGCTTTCGTGTGTCATGTTGGCAAGGCTGTAGTATCCAGTTATTTAGTCAAAAAGAATCTCATGTGACCATGAAGATATTTTGTAGATGTTTTTCCATTCAGGCAACCCTACGTGTGTCGACAAACAGGGGGTATACTTTTAGAGTTTTTGCCATTGTAAAAACGAGACAATGAGCACACATTCCCTCTCCTCTCTGCATTTATGACTATTTCAGGTAGATAGTGTTGGATGCTGCTGCCATGATAACTCAACAATTACATCTGCATGGGGACATCAGGTGGAGAAAGGGGGCACAAAGAAGATGTGGCAGGCCCCTTTGGAGGGAAGGGCATGGCTTTGCCAGTGAAGATGGATGAGCTTTGAAACAGGAATTCCTGGCCAAGGGAAAAACATGAGCAAATTCAGAGACAATGATAATTGGTGATAAATGATAATGACTTCAGCTTAACCAAGCCTAACTCAGCTGATGCACATTCCAAATATTAACGCTTGGGCATGCATGCCTTTGGTGATCTATGTAATCTAGAAAAAATTACTCTCAAAAAACGTGCATGGACACACACGAGACAGACTTCCAAAGCCTTCAATAGCGTAGCATAACACATGACTACAAAAAACTCGTAATGCATAACACACGATTACAGAACCCATAATTTTAAGGAGTTTGTGGGCTGCAGTACTATAAAAAAAAGGTATTTATGAAGCAGAATCCATAGGATGGTTGATCAATTGAGCATATGAGATTAGGAAAAGGGAAAAATCAAGAATTGCCGAGTTTTCCAAATTGATGGATTAAGTGGAGACAAGGGGGCTCGCTGTCCCGGGGCACATGGAAGGGCGGGGTCTCCGGAAGGTGAAGGTTTCGGGTGGACCCTGTGCGGCTCATCCATGCCCAGGAGGCAGCTGTCCCTCCCCATCTGAGGCCCAGGAGAGAACTGGGCTCTGAAAACAGAAACCAGGCATCACTAACACAGGAAGTGTTTGGGACATGCCTGTGTGGCCTCAACACTCCTGGGAAGCGGGTAAGGACCATGCCAGACCATGGGAGGCAGGCAGGAGAAGTGGAAGCACCTGCATAGAGCAGCGTCTCAGACTCAGGATGGAAGGGCACGCTCGGAGCAGAGAGCGATGGGAGAGTCAGGTGCCAGGGCGAGAAGAGCACTGAGCAGAGGACATGGATTTAGCACAAAGATCATTCGTTTTTAAATTAAATCACCCAACCCCTTTGGAGACGCCTGGACTACTTGCCTACCCCATCTGCCCTCATGGGAGACAGTGGAAGTGAGCTGAGGAGCTGCTGCAGGCTCTGGCAGTGGGTCCCAGGGTCCCTGGGAACAGGTGGAATCTGGAGTTAGTGAAGGGCCCCGGAGGGTCTGAAAGGCATCCACATCACCTACCATTGAGAAGCACTGGTCTTGAGGATGGTGTCGTGCCCACAGTTAAAATTCTGGATGCACTAACTGTTCCATGAAGTACTCCTTCCTTGAAATTCATGAGAATGGGACCTGGATTCCAATTCATCAAAAATATTCATTCTATACCACCCATGCAGAGAGTGGTATAGAAATACACTCTGGGCCCGATGGTGGGAGGTGCAGCCCCCACACAGAGTTCTTCCTGCTATCCGAGTCTGTCATCCAGAGAGGCTGGAGATCTTCGTGGGGTAAAACATTGCTGCTGCTGAGGAATGGTAAATGAGTTATGTGCAGAGTGACGCCGCATCAGTGGAGATAGAAAACCAATGACGCTTCCTTGTTCATGCTAATATCTAAAATATCCCTGAGCTCAGCTCATGTATTCATAGATTTTTGAAATGCAGCATATTGCACTGCCAATATGAAAGCACTGATAATATGCGGTGTCTAAGTAGTGCTAACAAAACAAAAGTAACATAGCTTACAGAAACCCCGGAATTCAGGCAATAATCAAAAGTACTATTGTTCAAATCAGAACAAATTTAATAAAGATAGTATCAGGTCTTGAAAAATAACCTCCTCATATTATATGTAATAATAACAACAATATGAATCAGTGGAAAGCAAGGTTGACTAAGCAGTAGAAAAAATATAAAACCACATCAACATTATCCTCGCTAGTTTCAAAATGCATACAAACTTTCTCACACATAGAAGTTCATAGAGATCAAACATAATCACTACAGCCACCAAGAAACAGTGCAGGTTGAACATAAGAAGAGTAGTAAGATTCATTCAGCACACTTGAGGAGCTACTATGGGCCAGGCAATACGTGAGGTTCAAGCACACAGAGATTAGTAATAGTTCATTGCTGCCATTGAAGAGTTAGCATCTTAATAAGTGAAATAACCTAAGGGAAGTATTTCAATGTTTATAGCAATCCATTGATCAACACATCACTGTTCATCTCTGAATACTTTTCCTTCCTTAGTTTTTTAAAATTTTATTTTCAATTTACGTATAATAAAATTCACCCTTTTTGGTGTACAGTTATGTGAGTTTTGGCCCATATGTATGGTCATGTACCCACCACCACACCAAGATGCAGAACCCTTTCACCACACCTCGAAACCACCCCCCAGTACAGCTTCGTGCCACACCTCCCTTTACCCTGAATCCCTGATAACCATAGATCACTTCTTTTCCAGAATGACATATGAATGGAATAGTACAATATGTAACATTTGGAGACTTTTTTTTTTTTTTGAGGCAGGGTCTTGCTCTGTCACCCGGGCTGGAGTGTGGTGGCATGATCTCAGCTCACTGCAGTCTTGACCTCCCAGACTCAAGCCATCCTCCCACCTCAGCCTCTCGAGTAGCTGGGACCACAGGCACGCACCAACACGACTGGCTACTTTTTGTATTTTCCGTACAGACAGGGTCTCACCATGTTGTCCAGGCTGGTCTCAAATGCCTGAGCTCAAGCCATCCACCGACCTCAGCCTCCCAAAGTACTGGGATGACAGGTGTGAGCCACCGTGCCCAGCCTACCTTCTCTCATCATAAAACACTTGAGGGTCACCATGTTGGTGCTTACGTGCTGCTCAGCATTCCGTGGTGCGGTGAAATACACATTCCCCAACTGAGGAACATGTGGCTGGTGACTAACTTTTGGTAATTATGGCAAGAGCTACTGTACACATTCATGTATAGGTCTTTGTGCAAACAAGTTTTCATTTCACTTGGATAAATATCAGGAGTGGGATTGCTGTCTTGTATGGTAAGGGCACACCTATTAGAAGAAAAGATAGGAGAAAATATTCATGATCTTAGGCAAAGAAATAAGTCTTGGCAATAGCACCCGAAACAAGATGTTTTAAACAAAGAATATAAATTAGACTTTATCCAGACTAAAAGATTTTGCTGTATGGAAGATTCTGTTAAGAGAAAAGCCAAAGGCTAGGAGAAAATATTTGCAAATTATTTATCTGACAAAGGACTTATATTCAGAATACCTAAAGAACAGTCAAAACTCAACAATAAGTAGTACTCAACCAATTAAAAAATGGGCAAAAACTAAACCTATTTTACTATGGCAAATAAGCACATAAAATGCTCAACATCAGGCCGGGGGCACGGTGGCTCACACCTGTAATCCTAGCACTTTGGGAGGCCAAGGCGCAACACCTGAGGTCAGGAGTTTGGGACCAGCCTGCCCACCATGGTGAAACCCCGTCTCTACTAAATATACAAAAAAAAAAAAATTAGCCAGGTGGGCATCTATAATCCCAGCTACTTGCGAGGCTGAGGCAGGAGAACTGCTTGAACCCAGGAGGTGGAGGTTGCAGTGAGCTGAGATTGCACCATTGCATTCCAGCCTGGGCAACAAAGGTGAGACTCCATCTCAAAAGCTCAGCGTCATTAGTCATCACAGAAATGCAAAATAAAACCACAACAACAAACCACTAGGCACCCTTCAGAATGTCTAGAAAAGAAGCAAACTGACCACAGCACATGTTGGTGGGGATGAGAGCAATGGGAACACACTGCTGGTGGGAATGCAAAATGGTGAATTCACGTTGGAAGATGGTTTATTCACTCATCAGTTGATAGAGCTTTGGATTGTTTTTACTTTTTGGTTATGAATAATGCTCCTGTAAATATATGTGTACAAATTTTTGTGTATGTTTCTAATCCTCTTGAGTATATAAGTAACATTTCTGGGTCATATGGTGACTCCATGTTTAAGTTTTGGGGAACTTTCACACTGCTTTCCATAGCATCTGCCACATTCTGTATTTCCACAAGACAAGAATTGGAGTTCCAACTTTCCATACCCTCATCAACACTTATTATCTTTTTGATCATAGTAAGCTGGCACGTATGAAGCAATATCTCATTGTGGATTTGATATGCATTTCCCCGATGACTTATGATGTTGAATACGTCTGCCTACATTTATTGGCCATTTGTATATTGTCTTTGAGGACGTTCTATTCAAATCCTTTGACCATTTTATAAATTAGGTGACTGGTCTTTTTATTGTTGAGTTGTAAGAGTACCTTTCATATTCTGGTTACTAGACCTATGTCAGGTATATAATTTGAAAATCTCCCATCCTGTAGATTTGTCTTTTCACTTTCTTGGTGTTGTCTCTGTGAAGGACAAAAGGTTATAATTTCAATAATATCCAGTTTATCTATTTTTTTTATTTTGTTGCTTGTGTTTTTGGTGCCATATTTAAGAACCATTGCCTACTTCAAGGTCATGAAGTTCTGTGCCTAAGTTTTCTTCCAAGAGTTTTGCAGTTTTAGCACTTACGTTTAAGTCTTTGATCCATTTTCAGTTAAACTTTGTATAGGGTATCATGTAAAGGTCCAACTTTATTTGTTTGCATTGTGTATCCAATCGTCCCAGCACGATTTGTTGAAAAGACAACTCTTTGCCCATTGAATTGTCTTGGCACCTTGATTGAAAATTGATTGACTCTAAGTGTGATGGTTGATTTTTGGACTCTCAGTTCTTCTCCTCCATTGATCTATGAGTCTATTCTTATGCTCAGACGACACTGCCTTGTTTATTTTAGCTTTGTAGTAAGTTTTGAAATCAAGAAATGTATCGTCCAACTTCTTTTACAAGATTGTCTTGGCAGTTTTGGGTCTCTTGCATTTCCATATACATTTTAGGCTTACCTTAAAATGTCTACAAAAAAGCCAGCTGGGATTTTGATAGCATCAAATCTGGGGCATTTTCCCATCTTAATACTATTCAGTCTCTTGTTCTGTAAACAGTGAATGTCTTTTTATTTTTTTAGGTCTTCTTTAATTGTTTTCAGTAACATTTTATAGTTCTTAGTGTACAAGTTTTGCATTTATTTTGTTAAATTTTTATGCTATTGTAAATGTAATTGGTTTTGAATTTTATTTTTAGATAGCTCATTAGTAGTATATAGACATAAAATTGATATTTGCTTGTATCTTGAAACAGGGCAGAACTTGTTTATACTAATTTTTGTGTGTGTGGATTTTGGGGATATCATATATGCACACTTAGGTCATTTGTGAATAGAGATGGTTTTACTTCTTTCTTTACAATCTGAATGCTTTTCTCCCCTTACCTAATTGCTCTGGCTAGAATATCCAGTACAATGTTGAATAAAATTCTTAAAAGCACTTCTTTTTTTGTCTTGTTCCTGATTTTAGTAGAAAATATTTCAGTATGTCATTATTATACATGATATTAACTGTGGATTTTTATATATGTCTTCTCTGAAGTTGAGAAAGTTCCTTTCTATTCATAATTTGTTGATTGTTTTTTATCAGCAAAGGATGTTGGGATTTGTCAAATGATTTATCTTGTGAGTTAACCATGTGGCATTTATTCTTTATTTTATTAGCATGATCAGTTTTCATATGTATTCACTTTTCTTTTCTTGTGATGTCTTTGCCTGGCTTTGGGATCACAGTAATACTAGCTTAATGTAAAGAGTTAAGAATTATTCCCTTCTCTTCTGTTTTTTGAAGAGTTTATAAAGAAAAAGTATTCATTATTCTTTAAATATTTGGTAATATTTACCATTGAAATTATTTGGTCTTTGTGGGAAATTATTTGATTATCAATTAAATCTCTTGTTACAGGTCTATTCAGATTTTTTTTTCTTGAGTCAGTTTCAGTAGCTTGTTTCTTTCTAGGCATTTGCACCTTTTATCTAAGTTATCTAATTCATTGGCATGTAACTGTTCATAGCATTCACTTGTAATCCTTTTTATTTCTGTTAGGAGTATTATTCCTTTCTTCATTCCTGATTTTAGTGATTTGAATCTTCTTTTTCTTCGCAGTCTAAAGTGTATCAATATTATTGATCTTTGAAAAGAGAAAAGCTTTTGCTTTTGTTGATTTTCTCTATTGGTTTTAATTCCTGATTTTACTTGTTTCTATCTACTCTCATTTTTACTATTTTCTTCCTTTTGCTTGCTTTAGATTTATTTTGCTCCTCATTTTTCAATGTCTTAAGAGCGTTAGCTTACTGATTTGAAATTTTTATTTTTTTAAAAAGGTACATATTTACAGCTATAAATACTCTGAAAAGCACTGGCTTAGTTGCATCCCGTAAGTTTTGTTATGCTGTGTCCTTGTTTTCAATCATCTCAATGTGCTTCCTAATTTCCTTTGTGATTTCTTCTTTGACTCATGGGTTATTTAGGAGGATGTAAATTTATTTCCACCTTTTAATTTTCCCAGATTTCCTTCCATTATTGATTTCTAGTTTCATTGCATTGTGATCAGAAATCATACTCTTTATTATCTTAATCATTTTAAATTTATTGAATTTTAAATTTAAATTTAAATCCTTTAAAAAAGTTTTAATAAATTTAGAATTACTGAATACACTATGGCCTAACATTTAGTCTATTCTGGAGAATGTTCCATGTTTACTTGAGAAGAGTATGTATTCTACTGTTGGATAAAATGTTATGTATGTATTGTTTAGGTTTAGTTGATGTATAGTGTTTTGTAGACTTTCTATTTATCAATTGATCTTAAGTGTAATCGTTCCATTCATTATTAAAAGTCAGATACTGAAGTATTTGGGTATTATTATTAACTATTTCTACCTTCAATTCTGTCAGTTGTTGCTTCGTGTATTTTAGCCTCTGTTTTTAAATGCATATTGTTTATAGTTGTTATATCTTCTTGATAGATTGATCTTTTATCATTAAAATTGTCCTACTTTGTCTTTAGCAGCAGCTTTGTCTCAAAGTTTATTTTAGTATAGCTATGCCAGCTCATTTTTGGTTATTGTTTGCACAGTATATCTTTATCCATCCCTTCACTTTCAACCTACTTATGTCATTTGAAATAAAGTATATCACTGCAGACAGCATATAGTTGAATCATGCCATTTTTATTCATCCTGCCAATATCTATCTTTTGACTAGAGCATTTAATTCATTCATATTTTATGTAGTTATTTATAAGGTCTGGTTTACATCTGCCATTTTGCTAATTGTTTTCTATACGCCTTATGTCTTTTGGGTTCCCATATCTTATCATTACTGTTTCCCTTTGTGCTAAATGTATATTTTCTAGTGTACAATTTTAAGTCCCTTGTTTCTTTTAGTATATTGTTTGAGTTATGGAGTTATTTTCTTAGTAGTTGACCGAGGATTACCATTAGTATCTTAAAATCATCTAGTTTGGATTAATACCAATTTAATTCTAATTGTACACAAAACTTTACTCCTCTGTAGCTTTATCCTCCCCCATTTATGGTGTTATTATCCTATAATTGGCATCTTTACAGAATGCATGTCTATCATCACAGATCTATAATTGTTGCTTTATGCTATTTCCTTTTAAATCAGATAGGAGAAGAAAGGTACAAACAAAAAATACTTTTATGCTGTGTTTTATATTTAGCTATATTACATTTACTGGTGGTACTTTAGAAAAAAATTCTTTATTTGGATGTGAGTTACAGTCTAATGTTCTTTCATTCCACCCTGAAAGATTCTAGTATTTCTTGTGGGGCAGATCTGACAGTGAAAGTCTCTCAGGTTTTTGTTTATTTGGAAATGTCTTAATTTCTCCTTCATTTTTGAAGAACAGTTTTGCTGGATACGGAACTCTTACTTGACTTTCTTTTCTTTCAGCATTTTGTAAATGTTACTCCACTGCCTTCTTGCCTTTATAGTTTCTAATGTAAAACCAGCTGTGGATCTTATCGAGAATCCCTCGTATGTCATGAAGCACTTCCCTGTTGCTGCTTTCAAGAGTTTCTTTGAAAATTTGTCTTTGTCAAAAGATACCCTACTTGGAATTCAGAGAGCTCCTTGGTTATATAGATTAATGTTTTTTATTCAATTTGGGAAGTTTTTTGCCATTATTTCTTCAAATAGTCTTTCTTTCCCTTTTTGTCTTTCCTTTCATTCTGAGACTCCCATTACACATATGTTTATTTATTGGATCATTTCCCACAGGTTTCTGAGGCTCTCTTTATTTCCCTTCATTTTCTTTCTTCTGTTTCTCAGAATGAATAATCTCAGTTGATGTATCTCTAAGTTTGCCGATTCTTTAACCTTACTAAAATCTGCTATTGGTTCCTTCTGGTGAATTTTTAATTTCAGTTACTGTAGTTTTTAGCTCCAGACTTTCTATTTGGTTATTTTCTTATAATTTCTGCCTCTGTATTGATATTTTTGATTTGGTGAGACATTGTTTTCATACTTTCCATTGGTTCTTTGAGCATATTAACAATAGAAGATTTAAATAAAGGCTTTGTCTAAAAAGTTCAATGTCTGGGCTTCCCCGGGAATAATTTGTATCACATATCTTTTTCTTTGTGTGTGGGTCACACTTTCTTGTCTCTTTCCTTGTCCCACAGCTTTTTGTTGAGAGCTGGACATTTTATGTAATATAATGCACCAACTCTGGAAATCAGATTCTTCCCCTTCCTCCAGGCTGGTTGTTATTCTTTGTTTAGTAAATTTCCTAAACAAATTTTATAAAGTCTATAATTTTTAAAATCATATGTGGCCAATGAAGTCTCTGCTCAGTTATCTTAGTGGTCAACTAATGATTAGACAAAAATGTCTAAGGTCTTAAATGTCTGGAACCAAGAAGTCTCCCATTTTTGCTGAGGGTCCAGGCTGAGTGTTCTCACTGTTCTTAAAGATCCTGCCTTTAACCTACATTTGGTTGATTGCAGTTCTGAACTGTTTCTGATTTTAGGGTTAATTTTTCCAACCCTGGGTTTTCTATTTGTTCCTTCAATAAAGAAGCATTTTAGAAGCTTTTTTTTTTTTTCAAATATTTGGCTAGAGAATTTTATATAGCTTAGATATAACAGAAAATAGACATAATGGGATAATCTTAAGAATTATTATTTTTTAATAAGGACATTTAAAAAAAAAAGTCAGGTAGAGCAAGATAGACAAGCAAGATCTTCCTGGGGCTGGAAAGAGACCCCTTCCTCTGTCACCCTGTGAGCCCTGGGCTATACATTGGTTACCTACCACAGTTGGCACAGGCATCCTGACATTCAATATACAGGTATGTACACTTGTGTTTCACTGGCTAGGGGATCACAGAGCACAGAGGTCTTTGACATCTCTTATCACCCAAAGTATGTGGCTCAGCACCGTGCTTATAGGACACTCTCAATACATTTTTTGACAGTGATGGCAAAAGATTGGATTTCCACACCCAGGTCTCTCCCTGGTTTGTTCAGAGCCTGGAGTATTTATTTACCCTCACTCCTCAAAATGGACCAATTCATTCTTGTCATAAACGTAAGGTTTGCGGGACTTCCTCTGGCAATTACTTAAGGCTATCATTCATTCTGCAGAAATCGCTTTGTAAATCAGCTTGATTATTTGGCTCAGTTTATATTTGAAAATTTTGATATGGAGGAATTCATTGCCCAACCAAAGACATACGCCCTATTCAAATGCACAGACAAATGCAGACCTCAGAAAACAAAACAAATGCACTCCCTATACCGTTCCTTTAGATCACTGGTCTCCGATTCCAAGCTTTAGTGGAAATAATGAAATGTCAGCCCTCGCATGCCACAAAATTCAAATCACAATGAAAAAGAGGGAAAGGCTGTTTGCCGTTTGCTTCAATATATACAGAACACCAAACAGTGATCTGGACACCAGCAATTTATGACGAGGCAAGGAAACAAACAAACAACAAACACAAATCCACAGGTGGGTTTATTTTTTAAAGTCCCTTCACAACAGCGGCAAACAGCCTTGGGCAGCAGGAAACCTTCAGACCCGCTTCTCATCCTGCGTGAGTCCTGGAGGCGGGAACGTGGCTGGTTGAGGTTCAAAGACCTGCGCTCTAATTACCAGCATAATTAGAATAAGAACATGTTGCTCACTCCAGAGGGGCCCGCCCCGCGCCTCTGCTGCTCTGGGAGAAAGCGTGTTTAAGAATTCCCATGGAGTTGCATGGGAGGAAAAGCGACCCCACGCTGAGCTGCCAACGTGGTTGTCAGCGCGCCCCGTGTGATTTCGTGCCGCTGTTTTCAATGCGCTAACGAGGCACGTTATTCTTAGCCGCGTCCGGGAGGGGATCACATTCCTGCGCAGTTGCGCTGCTGGCGGAAGTGACTTGTTTTCTAACGACCCTCGTGACAGCCAGAGAATGTCCGTTTCTCGGAGCGCAGCACAGCCTGTCCCATCGAGAAGCCTCGGGTGAGGGGCCCGGTGGGCGCCCGGAGGCCGCTGGAGGGCTGTGGGAGGGACGGTGGCTCCCCACTCCCGTGGCGAAGGGCAGGCAAACCAGAAGCCTCTTTTGAGAGCCGTTTGGGATTGAGACGAGTAAGCCACAGCGAGTGGTTAGAAGTAGGTTAGGAAGAAGGGGAGGTAAGAAAGCCGAGTAGGGTTCTGGGCCGGAGCCGTTCACTGAGACAGGAACCCTGGGGGAGATGCGCTGTCTCCCTGGCGTCTCGGTGCAAATGCCCAGAGAGCGGCTGGAACCCCTCGAGGCTGGAGCACGGGGACGCCGGCCTGGGGTGTAGGTCTGGGAGCAGTCGGCCGTCAGGTAGTTCACGGACACCACGAGTCTGGAGGGGCAGCCCGAGCTGTTGGGGGGTGGCGGTGCTGTGGAGGGAGAAGGGTCTGGTTCTGCCCCAGGGGCTGGGAGCAGCGACAGTGAGGGAGTGGGAAGGGAGGGGACCACAGAGAAGGCCAGGGAGGCAGTTGGGGGGCCGGGGACCCCAGCCCTGGAGCCATGGGCGCAGGAGAACCATCTGCCGGGGGCCTAAGGGACTGAGTAGCACCCACTGGGAGTCATCACCCCGGGTTCCGGGCAAGGCTGGCTCATGGGCAGGGAGAGGAAGCAGACCTGGGTGACTGGAAGAGCAGGAAAAGTGAGAAGTCTGGGAGAGGGGGTGGTAGCAGGAGGGTCTTAGGAGCAGGAAAAGACTTTACAGAACACCCCAGGGGAGACTTAGGAAGAGGAAATCCGGAGGCCTGGGGCTCGGTGGGGGTCCTGAAGGGCGTGCACCTTCTCCAGCTTCCCAGAGACCGTGACAAAAGACATCATTCTACGCTGCACAAAAGCAGCCAGAGGCGGCCTCTCCCACGCTCCGGGAGCGAAGGGAATGATCTGGCTAGAGAGCAGCACTCCAGGGTGACTCCGTCCTGCTGTCTAACCGGCCTCCGGCAGAGTGGCAGATCATCTGACTCTCTGAACCACTCTGAACATCAGTCTCTTCATCTCTAAATGAGGGTGCTGGCCGTGTGGATCCGCAGGGGTATCCTGAGGTTTGCCACGTACAAAAAGCTTAGGACAGTAAATACTAATAGGCTGGTGCAAAATAAATTGCGTTTTTGTCACTAAAAAAAAGTAGCAAAACCCGCAATTATTTTCCACCAACCTAATATTAAATGTGAGTGACTGGGTCAACTTGATGCAGCTTTCTGATCCCTGCTCAACCTGCGACCAGCTTCTAGAAGGACAGGAGTGGCCTGTGGCCGTGGGTCTTAAGGGCAAGAGAACAACAGAGAGATGTTTCTGGCCCCTCTTGTGTGAAATGAAGACTTTTTAATGTGAATGTAGAAGTAAGTCTTGGGAGCAAAAACAAAATCAGACCCTGGAGAATGGCAGAAACTCCAAAGGAGTTGAATGCTGGAGAACCCCAGGCGAAGTTAAATCAACTCGACAGAAGAGCACAGACATGTGATGGGGCACCAGGTGGGGGTGACAGGACGGCACAAGCTGCCTTCTGGGGTGATGGAATGCTCTGTAGCTTGCTCAGGATGTGGGGTACTCACAAACGAGCACTGGTCAGAACTCATTGAATGGTAGCACTTGAGATCTGACCAGTTCAATACATGCTCACTAGACCTCACTCTAAAAAAGGAAAAGGAGAAAAAAAAAAAGAGTTAGAAACTAAGGGCTAGAGGAAATATGTGACAGACAAGGAAAGGCTTCTGTAAGCAGAATGTGTCTTTTCCATGGGGAAATATGAACGATATGTCTATACACATGTGCACATATGAACATGAATCTGTGAATGTGCACACACATGCATACACATGTACATGCACACATACGCACAAATGCATGTGTGTACACCCGCGTGGGAGCGTATACACATGTACATGAGCACGTATGCACAAATGCATGTGTGTACACCCACGTAGGAGCATATACATAAGTACATACACATGTACACACAAATGCATGTGTGTGCACCCGCATGAGAGTGTATACATATGTACATGCACAAATGCATGTGTGTACACCCGTGTGGGAGTATATACAGATGTACATGCACAAATGCATGTGTGTACACCCGCATGAGAGCATATACATATGTACATGCAAAAATACATGTGTGTACACCCGCATGGGAGCGTATACATAAACCCTAACATGTACATGCACACGTATGCACAAATACATGTGTGTACACCCATGTGGGAGTATTTGCAGATGTACATGCACATGCATGCACAAATGCATATGTGTACTGTGTGTACACCCACATGGGAGCATATACATATGTATACATATGCACATGAATACACACATGGGCATTTATCCATGCATACATGTACACACACGTGCATGCATATGTATAAACCCAACACACGCAGATGAAAGTGAAAGAGGACACAGAAAAGTGAATCTGGGCTTTTGCCAACTCACACTTCTACTTGAACAAGTCAACAGGTGGTCCCTGCCCAGTGCACATCAAAAAGGCCTGTGCATCCCTCACGGTCCACCCTCTGCACTGCACGGACACTTGGCATTTCCCAACAGAGCCGGGGCCCGTCGGAAACGTGGGTTGGGTTCAGAGGTCGGTTTCCATGGCATCCTGCCACATTCCAGCTGCTGGTCTCGCACATAGCCGTCTAACTTCCCCACACATCAGTCGTCATCCTACAGCTGCAGACGAGCAGAGCAAAGAGAGAACACATGTGTAAGGCACTTATCCTGCACCCAAAACAGACACGTGCTCAGTACAGGATGGCTCACACCATCTCCGTCATCATTATCACCGTCATCGTCACCTCATCATCATCGCCATCACCATAAGGGGAACAGCTCTGCCTTCTCCAGGATCTCTTCTTTAGCCATGATCTGTCTTTGGAACCCTAATGGAACAGAGGAAGACAGCGTTACAAAGGCAGGCTCCAGGCCCCACACAGTGGGCAGGCCCCGTTCCCAGTGGGCCCTCAGCTCCGAGAGCAGGAGGCTGGGAAGGCTTGTGCTGGGTACAGGGCCAGGTGGGTCCTGCACGTGTGAATGGGCACAGAGGTGGGAAAGGCATCTAGGGTGGGAGGAGCCACACACACAAAGGCTCTGAGCTAGGAAAGGGCAGACAGCTAGCGGAGTTCGCGTGGAGGCCTCTGGGTGTTGCAGCTGGTGCCGGCTTGGGCACCCTGTGTCAGTCCTGAACAGAGGAGACATGCTCCCTGTCTGCTTTAGTCCATTCTCACACTGCTGGAAAGAACGGTCCGAGACTGGGTAATTTATAAACAAAGGAGGTTTAATCGACACAGTTCCGCATGGCTGGGGAGGCCTCAGGAAACTTACAATGATGGCACAAGGGGAAGCAGGCACATCTCACCCTGTGGCAGGTGAGAGAGAGCATGTGAAGGAGGAACTGTATAAAACCATCGGATCTGGTGAGAACTCACTATCACAAGGACAGCATGGGGGAAACCACCCCCAAACAGAGGAGCCATTTGAACATGTCCAGGCTCTCTGAGGAAGTCACACCCAGAATCTGAGCACCTTTATAAGGATGGAGGCCAAGGTTCCAGCTCTACCCAGTTTCTGTGCTGAAACCTAGCCTCCAATGCCGTAGTATTGAGAGGTGGAGCTTTGGGAGGGGATTAGGTCAGGAGGACAGAGCCTGCATAAATGGGATTAATGACTTATAAAAGAGGCACCACTCACAAAGCAGAAAAAGCCCTTACCAGACACGGAATCTGCCAGCACCGTGATCTTGGACTTCTCAGCTTCTAGAATGGTGAGCAACACGTTTCTGGTGTTTAACAATCACTCAGTCTGAGATGTTTTGTTATTGCAGCGTCAGCAAAGTAAGGTAGTCACTAGCAAGCCCAGGCTGCAGGACGCCCTCTGTACAAGCCAGGTGCCTGCTCCCTGAGCCCCAGAGTGTAGCCGTGGCAGCTGTGCCCACGTGGCCTCAGCCCCTGTGGCGTGATGGAGTTGGGGAGGTCATGCTTCCTGGGCTCCTCACTCCCAGGAGAAAGAAGGAGGGCCAGGATAGACATGCCCAGCGTTCCTCCCAGATGCACCAGGTCAGGCCCCCACCTCCCCGGGGTAGAGGGAGGCCCGAGTTACAGTGGAAGCCTCCTTCAGGGGAGGGCCATCCCCTCAGGAAAGAGAAACCTAAGATGTGGTTAGTGGTGAATTAGGAGGTGGGTGGAGGACGTGTGTCCAAAAGCCCTCAGGCCAGATAGCAAGTCCCGTGCTGGAGAGAGTGAGAGGGGTCCCCACGGTTGGGCCCAGAAAACGGGGTACAGTACAAGAGGGAACACAACAGCCGGGGGGGGGCCATGCAGGGGACTCCGCTCTGATTCGGCCTCTGGGCGTGTTTCACAAGGAAACTCATCACGTTTTTAAACAACTTCTGTGGAAGACGTGGAGGAGGGCTGTGGGTAGGCCATCTCCATAGACAGACTGGGGAATTTTGTAAGGGTCAGTGAGACAGGATGGCACCCTTGCTGCTCCAGGATCTAGTGGCGGCTTGAGAAGGAGGTCGAGGGGACGGACAGCTAGGTGCTGAGCCACAGAGAAGGGGAGTGACTCAGGGAGGAGCAGGGACAGACCTCGGGCAGCAGGAAGCTCTGGAGTGATTTGGGACGGCAGCTCTGAGATGCCTGGGAGCTCCAGCAGGAACCCAGCGGGGACATCCATGCTTTGAGACAGCAACTCTGTGCTTCCTTCAGCTGCACCAGAAACTGATTCTAAAACGTTGAGATTTGCCCTTCTGAAGCCCAATTTTTATTATTCTTATTTTATTTTTATTTTTTTGAGACAGAGTCTCGCTCTGTCACCCAGGCTGGAGTGCAATGGTGCTATCTCAGCTCACTGCAACTTCCGCCTCCCAGTTCAAGTGATTCTTCTGCTTCAGCCTCCTGAGTAGCTGGGAATTACAGGCGTGTACCACCACACCTGGCTAATTTTTGTATTTTTAATAGAGATGGGGTTTCACCATGTTGGCCATGCTGGTCTCGAACTCCTGACCCCAGGTGATCTGCCCGCCTCATCCTCCCAAAAGTGCTAGGATTACAGGCATAAGCCACCCTACCTGGCCAAAAGCAACCCTGAAGCCCAATTTTTAAATGACATTAAAAGTGTATCACAAAAGTCAAATAGGCATATAAAAAAGATGCTCTGCATAATAAGATTGCTGGATCTAAAAACCAAAAATTGAACAGTTTAAGACAGGAGGGAACTGGCTCCCATGAGGGCGTCGGGTTGGACAGATTCCCTCTGAGCATGTCCTGTTGCCGTGATCACACAGTTGTGGGCTCGCAGGGGACTGCTCCTTGCTCTGGGACGTGGCCAAGAGTTCAGATTCACCACTATAAATAGTAACACTGAAAAACTCCAGCTGAACCTTAGAACCCACCTTTGAGCCAGGTTTCAGCCAGTTTATCTCATTCTGCAATTTCACCGTGAGTCACACTGCATATTCCACGGATAAATCTCAGAGTGCAAACATCTGCTTTGGCATCCTTGGACAGAATGCAGACGCAGGCACACCAAAGCTCGGGTCTCGTCCTACGCCGGAAAAGATGGGGAAAGAATACAAAGTGGCATATGTGGTATTTAGTTTGGGGTCAAGGACAGTTGCTAAGTGAATCAACATCACACACAAAACACAGCCCACCCACATCCCAGTGGCAACCCGGGCCTCCCCATGCTGCTGTCCCTGCCCAGGCTAATCACAGCAAAGGGTTGGCGTATCCCAGTGGCAACCCAGCCCCCCCAACTGCCGCCGTCCTTGCCCGGGCTGATCACGACAAGGGTTGGCATATCCCAGTGGCAACCCGGGCCCCTCCACTGCTGCCATCCCTGCCCGGGCTAATCACGACAAGGGTTGGCACATCCCAGCGGCAGCCCGGCGCCCCCCCACCCCGCCCCACTGCTGCCGTCCTTGCCCGGGCTAATCACGACAAGCGTTGCCGTATCCCAGTGGCAACCCGGGCCCCTCCACTGCCACCGTCCCTGCCCAGGCTAATCACAACAAGGGCTGGCGTATCCCAGTGGCAACCTGACCCCCCCCAACTACCGCCGTCCCTGCCCGGGCTAATCACGACAAGGGTTGGCATATCCCAGTGGCAATCCGGGCCCCCCCACTGCCGCCGTCCCTGCCTGGGCTAATCACAGCAAAGGGTTGATGTCACTGGAATGCACTCTTATGTTCATGCTGATTTATCTATCCAAGTGGTCGGCCATTGTTATCATCGGGTTCCTTTCTTGGTTGGTTAAATCTAGAGTGGCCAGTGAGGCTTAGTTTTTAATTGCCCTCACTGATGTACTTTGGAGAACCTTCTGTGACCTCCGTGTCAGCCTGGCAAGCAGAAATGCTTTTTGTCCCTGAACAGCGACAGGTGCACTGTGTATGGGAGACAAATGACTAGAATGTGGCATGTTCCTCCAAAGCCAACCCTGACTGGCAGCATGTGGCATGGCGCTGCAAGGTGCTACGTCACTCTTGCTCAACTGCCTTTTGTACCTTTCAGGTGGACATGGACTCCATGGAAGCCTGAGCTGCCAGGGGCTTCCCTGGGGCAGCACTGCTTCGCGTAGGCTCACGAGAAACTTCCAGGGTTCCTGGGTAAGGAAGACACAGCAAGAGCTGGCCTCTGCCGCATCTGCCTTTGTCACCAGACGCCCATCTTTAGGGCACCTCTCTCTCCGCTGCTTGAGTTTTAGGGTCTTGCCATAAAACTTCATTAAGGCCTCCCAGGCGAGGCTCAAAGCACCCTGCCCCGCGTAGGAAAAGGTTCAGAGCACATAGAGAAAAGAGCAAGGTTGCACCCCAAAAGAATGACAGGCAGGGAGACAAATGCTGGCTCAGCCAGCCTGACTCCATTCCCTGGGGGGCCGAGAGGGATGTACGATGGGTCTTGTGAGGGTGGAGGGTGCCTGCCTCGCCCGAGGGATGCTGTGCCCATGCCCCTGCTGCCAGTTCACCCAAAGCAGTTGACGTTTTTAAACGAGCACAAAGTCTCTGCTCTTCAGAGTGTGACGGGCTGCCCCTGTCTGCAAAAGCTGTCCCCGAATAGGCTTTCTCTGAGCTTGTTACCGTGGAGGGCTGGGCCCGGTTTCTAATCGCCCCCTTCACCGGGCTGCCTGCCGCTGGCTGCGGAAAGTGTGGGTTTGGCTGCATGATGGCCTCGTAATGGCTGTGGTGACGCCCTCTGCGTCTTCTCCCAGCGCCAGCCTTTCAACAGAGCAGCACATTATGCCTGGATAAGACTCAAAGAGCAGCTTAATATCAGGTTCTCTGGGGCTGTAATCATCGGTTCAGGATGGAGCAGACACAGCCGCAGCAAGGCCTCTGTGCAGCCCCCGGTTTAAAACACATCAACGCATCCGTGGGCACTTTTGTGAGTTAAAGCTCAACTTACACATCTGCCTGTATCCATAGGAAATGAATGAAAATAAACAAACAAATTCCTTGCATTCAACGCAGCGTAAGAAAAATCACATCCTGTTCCCCAGTAGCTGAGGAAAGCCGGCTCACGAGAGTATACAGGGAGAAGAGGCCAGCATTGTGTGGCTGCCAGCAAAGCTCACTTGTATGTCAAATGCAGCGCTTTTCTTAGCCCATTATGTATTTTTTTTTTCTTGAACACTCCTGTGTCTACTGGGATCTCCTGTTTTTATTGTTTTGGGATGAGATTTTAAAAACACCATTTAATGTAGCCTGTGTGCTCTTGTTCATTAAACCAAAAAGAAACCCTGGATCACGGCACAGGAGACTCTCCTCCCCGTTCTCTAGGGATGCGCCCTCATGGGGAAACCCTCTTTTCTCATTATTTTTGATGGTGTGCTCTAACAAGACGATCTGGAGGAAACTCCATGTTCACAGGACACATTCCTGCAACGTGGCTTGAAGGGCCCACACCAGGGTTTGGCTCATCCATGTCGCAAACTAGAGGGGAGGAGGGTGCTGGCTATTTCCCATCTGCAGTCTCAGTTTCCCCACCAGAGGACTGGAGGGAGTACTTGGGTGGGCTGTGATGCAATCCCGGCACGAACCCCCCAGCACTGGCATTGGAGTCGGAGGTTTGGGCATAGTCGCCAACATCGCACTTACTTCCATGCCAGCACCAAGTCTGCGGCTCCCCAGGCCACTCTCACTTCTGACCACAAGTTCAAGGCTCCCACAGCCTCTCTGGGGTCCGTAGTTCACTAGAACGACTCGCAGAACTCAGAAAAGCTCTGTCCTCACAACTGCAGCCCTACCACCGAGGCCACGCTGAGGACCCAGCAGCGGAGACGCATCCAGGGCCGGTCGAGATCAGGAGGGTCCCAACCTGGGGTTCCCGGGCCCTCTCCCTGTGGAAGGGGGCAGGGGGCACTTCCCCTCCCGCACGTCTGCGAGTTCTCACCGGGGCCTCCTTCTGTAGGGATCACTGCCCAGGTGATGAGCTCCTTCTCAAGCCTCCTCCCTTTTGGGAGGTCAAAGTTCAGCTATACCATGCGGCCCCACCCTGTAATTGCATAGTTGGCCTTTCTGGTGTGGCCAGCCCCATGCAGACCCTAAGATGCCTAGGGACCTCCTTGAGTAACAAATTCCCATCACTCAGGAAATTCCGCAGGCTTAGATGTTACCTCCTAGGAACCCAGGACAAAGACCAGGCACATTTCTTACTATGCAACAATAATGGTAAGCTATGGCAGGAGTGTCATGAGGATGAAATGGGAAGATGCAGGTCAAGCATGAGTGGCGGGGCCTGTGATCCATGCTTTATGTACTGAGTGAGTGCTTAATAAACGTTAGCTAGTGTCGTCAGCACCATCGCTACATCATCACGCTCCTGAGTCCAAACCCAAGCCAGTCCAAGCCCAACAACACCTTCAGTTAAGGTTCCAGCAAACTTACACGACAGGGTCCATTTGATAAATTCTCTATAAACCTATCCATAAATTATCATTTCTGTATGAGCTAAGACATAGGCAAACAATTTTTGTCAATGTTTAAAATTTTCACTGCTTCTCAGAAAAATAGTAGGTCAGAATCTTAAACTGTATTTTACTTAATCACACACAAATAATGTGGTATTCTGGTGTATTTTATGGAAGATTGATTAGCACTAAAGACTCACAGGCAAACGAATAAATGCAAATCATTTTTACACTCATCTGTAATTTTATCCTGCCAGTGCTACTTTGAAATTAGCATTCTTGTCCACAGTTTCTAAGTAATGATTCTGATGAGCCTCAGAGAGGGGATGTGACTACCCAAGTTCATAAAGCTGGTCAGCGATGAAACATTTCAGCAAAACCACAGAGTTATTGAATAGGAAGAAGTACACGTGGTGGCCTCTGGTTCGAGGTATCCAGCGCTGTCCTCGGGTGGGGGAGAATCAGTGTCACCTCCCATCCAGCACGAGGCTTGCCCTGCTCCAGAGCAGGGTGTGGGGGTGCGTGTTCTGTTGCTCCAGCACTTACACGGGTAAGGCGAGGTACCAAGACTCATTTCAGGTACCAAAGCAGATCAGGGGACAGACTGAAATTCTGTAGAAATTTCACATTAGGTGGTCAAGAACTAGTGAAATGATTCACTTGCATTAAGGCTATACACAGTTTCACTAGGTAGTGTGCTTGATAAATATCTTGCAACCGGCTCTCCAGAAAGCAGAAAGAGAGCTTCCTTACAGTGTGCCAGTGCCCATGGTGTAAATGCCCTTACCATGGCAGATTCCAGAAAGCAGAAGGAGCTGACTCACAGCATGCCAATGTCCATGGTGCAAATACCCTCACTGTGGCAGATTCCAGAAAGCAGAGCTGACTCACAGTGTGCCAGTGTCCATGGTGCAAATACCCTCACCGTAGCAGATTCCAGAAAGCAGAGCTGACTCACAGTGTGCCAATGTCCATGGTGCAAATACCCTCACCGTAGCAGATTCCAGAAAGCAGAGCTGACTCACAGCATGCCAATGTCCATGGTGCAAATACCCTCACCGTGGCAGATTCCAGAAAGCAGAAAGAGAGCTGCCTTGCAGCGTGCAAATGTCCCTGGTGCAATTCCCTCACCGTGGCAGATTCCAGCCCCCCAGTGCAACATTGCTGAATGCAGACTTGGGAAAAGATGTGCACGTAAGTCCTTGCAAGACGCTCAGCACACCACTGGTTTCAGTCTGGGGCTCCTACCCCTCACGACGATTTTGAATCTTGATTTTGTTATCAATCATGTTTATGTTAGTTACCTGCCCAAGTCACCTTCAGTGTTGTGAGGGTGCCCTATGGATAGGATGGTGAGTGGGCAGACTGAAGGCAGTCTTAGGGCACCCTGTAGGGCCCTCCTGGGCACATGTCACCTTATCTACTTTGAGCAAAATTCTTTGCTCAATGTAAGTCTCCCTACCTATATTCTTACCTAAATCATATTTCTCTACTTTCAATGTTAAATAAAAAATAAATAATTACGCTTAGGGCATTTTCCAGTCAGCAAACCTTCATTTCATTCTGACACTGGTCTCATCTATCTCTCTCACAGCATGGGTCTTCTGCAGATGTGTAAGAATGCCCTGTAGCCAAATTCGATGTGGCCAAATGTTGTATTCCCAAGTTCAGGAAGGGCGGGGCTAGCTTTATAGCAATGCATGGAGAATAAAAGTTTGTGCTGATTGAGTTACAAAAACCAGGTTAATAGAACTTTGGAGAAGCAGAACTTTGGTGGAGGATATTGAGGTGTGTGAATAAAGGCATGAGAGGGTCCGAAAGATGTTGCTGAGGGAAAATAGCAAGATGTGACTGGGCTTTAGAGGGAGGGCATGGAGGGGGAGTGGAGTGTCGGAAAGGACCCCAGACCTAGAGCCTGGGAGCGAGGAACCTGGTGAGGCCAGGCTGGAGGTCATGATCCACAGTAAGCAACAAGAAAGCAGCGCCTGACAAGGCAGCCGTGGAGAGCCAAGGGCTGCCATCAGCCTCTTCATCACCCTTGGGGTGAAGGCAGAGGAAGAAGCAGCCTGTGGGAAGCATGTGGTAAAAACCTAGCAGAGGCTCCAACTAACCCAAAGTGCATCGTAAAATATCATAAGAACAGGATGCCGTGGGGGAAATCTACAAAAGACTGTTGTTTCAAAAAAGAGAATCTTTTATGCAACAACCAGGAGACCACAGGCTTTCCCAGCCCTGCGTTTGAAGGTTTCTGCGGGAATTTCACCTTGTTTTCACCTGGCTGTGCTTTCTGTGCATTTGGCAATGATGCCACCCGCATGTATCTGTGTGGCAGCAAAATCCAGGCCACGGCCTTCCATCATTTTCCTGCCAGAAGCCCGCAGAGCCCGCTCCAGCCCAGCGCCGGCTCAGCACCTCCCGGCAGGCCCTGGAGGCCACCCATGGCACCCCATGGCTAATTGGCTGCCGCTGGTGCTGCCGGAAGTCAGGAGCAATGTGGCCACCACTGCCCCCCACTTCCTCCATCAGTATTTTAGCATCTTTTCTCTGCCAGCCCAACTCACAGGCGTGCCACATGCGTTCACCTGCAGGAGCAGTTTAGATACTCTGCTGTTTAATAGCCTTCGCACTTATGCAGACCCGAGAGCAGGACTGCGTGGTTGAATACAGTGACAAAGCCCAGGGACAGGACACGTTGCAGGTCAGCCGCTCGCAGCTGCTGGGTGGGCGGTGTCCACTCTTACCGGCCTTGGTTCCATTGGAAACCTGATCGTATCTTGGTAATGCGGTGCCGCTGGGCTCCAAGAAGCTTCCTGCCTTTTAAAGCATTTTTCTTGTGAAGCCCATCGTGACATGACAAATAAGCAGTCCATGTACCTTCGTATGTTCACAGAGAGTTCCCGGCAGGGGATGTGGCTTCTGTGGCTCAGGTTAGAACCCAGCCTCTGTCCCTGTCCGTCTGTGTTCTAGCTCGCCAGACTTAAACAGTGGACTAGCAAGGCGGGAGGAGCACGTGTTTGGAGTGTGGCCCCACGTCCCCGCCCCCTTCTGCGTCCCCGCCCCCTTCCGCGTCCCCGCCCCCTTCCGCGTCCCCGCCCCCTTCCGCGTCCCCGCCCCCTTCTGCGTCCCCGCCCCCTTCCGCGTCCCCGCCCCCTCCACCCTCAGTGACTGTCACTTTCTCTCTCAAGCTGCCCTCTCACGCCTGTGTGCCAGTGAAGGCAGGGTCAGAGCTCTGCTCACAGCTCTGACACTTCAGTGGCTTCACGTGACACAAGTTTTATTTGTCCTTACTTCGCAGTGCTGTATGTTGGTTTTTGGGGTGGAAGACAGACCCTACTCCGTTCCGTGGTTCAGAGACTGTTGGCTGGAACTCAGCCTCATAGCTGCACTGATGGTGGCTTAGGCACGTGAAGTCACCGGTGGGCCAGGAAGATGGTGGATGCGTGTCATGAGCATCAAGCCAGCCTCTGACTCTCCTGAGACTTACGAAGAAAAATGCAATTGCTTCACAGTCCACATTCTAAAAACCTTAATTTTTTATTTGTATTATTTTTTGTTTGTTTGTTTTTGAGACAGAGTCTCAGTCTTGTCACCCAAGCTGGAGTATCAAGCCAGCCTCTGACTCTCCTGAGACTTACAAAGAAAAATGCAGTTGCTTCACAGTCCACATTCTAAAAACCTTTTTATTTTTTGTTTGTTTTTGAGACAGTCTCAGTCTTGTCACCCAAGCTGGAGTATCAAGCCAGCCCCTGACTCTCCTGAGACTTACGAAGAAAAATGCAATTGCTTCACCGTCCACATTCTAAAAACCTTTTATTTTATTTTTTATTTGTATTATTTTTTGTTTGTTTGTTTGTTTTTGAGACAGAGTCTCAGTCTTGTCACCCAAGCTGGAGTGCAGTGGTGTGATCTTGGCTCACTGCAACCACCACCTCCCAGGTTCAGGTGGTTCTCCTGCCTCAGCCTCCAGAGTAGCTGGGATTACAGGCACGTGCCGCCACACCTGGCTAATTTCTGTATTTTTAGTAGAGATGTGGTTTTGCTGTGTTGGCCAGGCTGGTCTCAAACTCCTGACCTCAGGTGAACCACCTGCCTTGGCCTCCCACAGCGTTGGGATTACAGACATGAGCCACCGTGCCAGGCCCATAGTCCACATTCTTATTTGGGATGGGAAGCAGTGGTTTAAATTTTAAAGATTCCAAATCTACCACCTCATAATCAGTTGGGAGCAGGCAGTGCCTGGCCGCTACGCACCTGGAGCACTTCCAGGCACCGACGCTGCTGCACACTTTATGATCTCTTTGTGGCCATGTTGAGCTGATTGAAATGGAAGATATTCCCTAAAATCAGAATCATAAAAATCTGCAATGAGATTTCCAGTTTTGATCCTGCTCCCAGGGCAACATTGTACTTAACTTTGAGACTTAGCTCTCATGTTACTTCCCTCTGAAGCCTCCCCAGCTCTTTTCTTGCTTTCCTCAAGCTCAGTGTCTGGGTTCCCACATTTTCCTAATGACCTGCGAATCCCCATGGATCCCAGATCTGGGCTGTGCTGTCCCTGATGTTTCTTCTCCCACAATGCGCGCCCTTGGGACCGTGGCTGCCCTGTCTGCACTTGGAGCAAGCACCGTGTACACTGTTGGTGCTCAGTCAATGCCTATGAAATGGACCCAGGTCACGGCCTCCAATACAGCTACACAGAATGGGACTGGAGACCTGAAATGCTGCCTGTGCCTCGTGGCTTCTGTCAGAGGGGTCATTACCAAGGAAATGGAGAGGGGCTCGGTTCTTGACCCTAGTTCGCATATTTCTCAATTTTTGAGAAAACAGTTCTTCAAATTCTGCCTGTGTCTCTTTTCCTTTTTTCTTTTTCATGTTTAATGTTTGTGGGTACATGAGATATTTTGATACAGGCATGTAACATGTAATAATCATGTCTCTTTTCTAATGGACAAATGAGCTTCTGTTCTGTTGGGGCTGTTATTAGGGAGCATAATTCTTCCCTGAAAGGACAGGGCTAATGTCAGGCACTGAGGAACGGGCAGAGGCTCCAGGGACAGAAAGCGTGGAGTGGGGCGGAAGCCTCAGCCCAGGGAAAGAGAGCCCCTTCCTCTGCCTGGCTGTGCTCTTGGAAGCTTAACCCCAAGGCTACAGGGACCCTGGTGGTGCAGAAGGAGAGGCTTCTACTCCAGGACAGGGGCCTACCCAGTGGAAGGGAGCTGGAGAGGCTTCTACTCCAGGACAGGGGCCTACCCAGTGGAAGGGGGGCTGGCACCAGGTGCCTCCAGGAAGGTCACATCTGAGGAGTCGGAGCTGGTGTCTCTTCTCTGAAGTTCTCTCACCCTGAGCCTGCAGGGAAGTCATGTGAACACAACAGCCTGACCTCCTGGGAGCTCTGGGAAGTCCAGGTGTCTGAACCTTGCTTGATCTGGAGATATAAGAGGGAGAGGCTCCTGGGGCCCAGGGGTGTTGATGGCTTGATGGGTGAGAAGCGCAAGTGGGGAGAGTTTGAGAAGTGAAGACGCTCCCTGCATGGTAGGACAGTGGACGAAGCTCGCGTATTCAACCTGGCCGCTGTCTTCATGGAGCAAAGGGACTGATTCCTTTTTAAGCATAAGTAGATGTCCAAGATGGCATCTGGCAACAGATTCTTTCTTCTCTGTGCACTAAGAGTGGAGATTTCTTTGATCTCAAAAAGAGGAATTAGAAAGTAGCAAACATTCATACCTTCTCTTGGCAAGATATAAAATGTTGCAGACATACACCATAAGATGTAAAATACATTCTGTAAAATATAAAATGTGTGCATTACTTACTTTTGTACATGGGCATTACACATATACACACACATTCCCTCCAAGGAGTGAATGAATAGCGTCTTCTGATTCCTCTGGAGCAGCATAGAATGTGGTTTGGAAAATGCTGTCTTGACCCAGTTTGGAGGTCCTGGCTAGAGGTGGCCAGGTCCCCTTCTTCAGCCCACATCCTGACCGCCTGCTTATTGGGTCACCCTCCGGGCCACTATCTGTCTGAGCTGATCACACTGGGGCAGGTGCCAGACAGCTAGAGACAGCCCCAGTGCCACAGGGCCTGCCAGAATTATTCAAACCAGTCAATCCTAAGCCTGCCTTCCCTGCCCCGGAAACGGCCATAAAGGCTGGTAGATAGAGGCTCCTGCCATAGCCCGTCTCCCTCCCGGCCGACCCGGCCTTCCCTGCGTGCCCTACAGGGTGCTGCTTGCCTCCTTCTCCTGGAAGCAGTGACTGTAACAAACTCTTCTCAATGGCAGTCGTCTCCCGATCTGCTGGCCTCTTCCACTTAAATCATAATAAAATCTGGCCAGGCACAGTGACTCATGCCTGTAATCGTGGCGTGGGAGGCAGAGGTGGGTGGATCACCTGAGGTCAGGAGTTTGAGACCAGCCTGACCAATATGGTGAAACCCCATCTCTACTAAAAATACAAAAATTAGCCAGGCGTGGTGACAGGTACCTGTAATCCCAGCTACTCAGGAAGCTGAGGCAGGAGAATCACTTGAACCTGGGGAGGCAGAGGTTGGAGTGAGCGGAAATTGTACCACCGCACTCCAGCCTGGGCAGCAGAGCTCAACTCTATCTCAAAATAATAATAATAACAAAAACTATTAAAACACAGTGGTTAATCAGCCTGTCTTTTTCCAGATGAAGGATCAAGAAGTCCACTGGCTTCCAGGCCAAGGCTGTGCTGGCATCCCTGACACTGTCCACCCCTGCTCCTCTCCAACCACCGGAGGCGAGACAAGGCGGGTGGCCACATCTAGACCCGCAGCAGCCGGGGCAGGGGGCCGTTATCTCGCTCCTAATGGGAAAAGGCTCTGGGTGAACCCCTGGCACAGCAGCAGCCAGGCGGTGGCTGTAATGGCCAGGAGAGAGTCTGGACACTCTAATTTGTGTTCTATGCTTGCCTGTGGTTGACCTCACTTGATTTCTAACTGCAGCCTCTAGGTTTTGCATCCACATTTTATCTTCTACCTGCATAGGGTTCTGTTTCCATCTGATTCAGAATAAGACTCTCTGTCACCTGAGATCGGATCTCAGTCCACTGGATTTGAGGGTGAGACCCTGGTACACCTTTTCCTTCAGCCAATAAGGTGATGCCCCCCCCCCCCCGAAGGTCTCTCTAGCATTGTGGGCCCTGGGCACAGAGGGGCCCAGGGGTGAGTAGGGGCCGCACGTCCTAGGATAACGAGTGGACAGGGTGGGGTTGGTGAAGGGAAGTCGTATCCCGCCGTGAGTGGTGCTGGCGGTGCTAGGAGGTGCTGGGCAGGTGCCGTGCTGGCCTGGGGGAATGTCACTCAGGCCACAAGGTTCTTAGGGTTCCAGATCCTGGATGAACGGACTCCCTGTCCCTGTGGAGCTCATGGCTGTGACTCGGTGGGCATGGAGCCTTCTCTTCCTTATGCCTTGGCCTCCAGATACTTACCCCACGTCTTGCCTTTCATTCTTTCTCTAGTCCTTTTGGCAAATGGGAAAGTGGGGAATTCCTGCTTTTCTCACAAACCTCCAGCTCCTGGCCTCTGGGTGGATGTGTGCTGAGGTAGCCCTGTTTATGCCCCTTACTGCTCCTCAGTATCTGGGCTTCAATACTGCCCCTCACCAAAAGGGTGATGGGACCCCCCATTGAAATTACCATCAAAATGGGGTGGGAATCTCAGCCAATGGATCCCCAGAGACTGGCTCCATCCACCCCAGACCGAGGGCTCCTTCCTCAGGTCCAGGTACCCAGAACGCAGGGGTCCCTGCGTCGTCTACCTGACGATGGGACCCATAGTACCTTCGGGAGGCTGGGAGCTGGCCCAGGTGCTCCTTTACCTCCACAGAGGCCATGAGCCCCACAGCCTCCATTGTCTCCCAAGGACATGGGTGTACCCACAGCCATTGCTCCTGCCTTGGAGAAGAGCCATCTGTGAGCCAGCCAGCCAGACGCCTGCAGGCCAGCATCTCACGGAGAGCAGGACACCAAGATAAATGGTGCACCTGCTAAGTGAACCTGATGAACGTCGGTGGCCAAAACCATCAGGAGGAGGAAGAGCCAGACCTAGGACCACACACCAGAGAGGGCAACATGAGAAAGAGCTCCCGACCCCATCAGCGAGGAGCCGGCCCGGCCAGGGGGACCTCACGCCGGTTCTGATGTGCACAGTCAACCTCTAGGAGCTCTTGACACTGCTGAGGGGCCACCCAGGGAGGGAGAGCTGGTGGGGGGACCCACAGCCCCCATCCCCACCTTCTTCAATGCTGTGGCTGCTCCTGCTCCTGCAGGGGCCCAGGCAGCCTCACACTCCTCATTTTATAGAGGAAGAATGGAGGCTCCAACAACACAAGCCTGCTGTAGTTCCTGCAGGCTTCGTGGGCTCCGCACGTGTGTCTAGGGGCTGATCCTCCCAGAGTCACAATAACTCCATCCCTGTCACCTACAAGACTGGCACGTGGTGTTTATTTCATTCTCCTTGTTGAACTGATATGGTGGCTGCAGCCACTCACCTCCTCAATATCTGCAATGCTCCAGGTTTAAATTTCTAAGGTTTCATCTTGCTCCTGACTCTGAGTCCTAAAAGTCCTCCAAATGCATGAATATTTTATTTTGTCCAAAAGTCTCAGGGTTCTGTAGGCAGATCTGACACTGCAGTGCCTCTGGAGAGAAAGAGTTGGTGTCCTCGAGTCTCTCCTGAAGAGAGCCCGGCCTGATTCTTACTCTGTAGGACCAGACTCCTCAAACTCTGAAATGCCTGAACAAATCAAGGAGAGGCTGCAGAAGCACTCTTTTCAGATATGGGGGTTTCACTCTCATCCTGCAGAAACTGGCCAGGGGCCCAGCAACATGGGACCATCACACCCGAAGGAGCAGAGGGCACCAGCATCGCTCATCAGGAATCAGGGCTGTTAGGAAGAAATTGCAGCAAATCACCTGCAGACACTGGTCCTGACGCTTTCTCTGGAGGGAGGGTGACTGCCTTGGAAGGCTCGCATCAAATGGGGCAGAACTCTTGCTTTCTCTCTTGTCCTGAAGGTGCTGTCTTTTATGTACCGGTGAAGTATGCCGCCAGGCATTGTGAGTACTCTCTGAGCGTCAATGAGCTGCTATTAGGATACTTTCTTCAAGGTCGTTCTGGGTACAAGATTGTCATGACCTGCAGTACCAACTGCTTTGAAACCGTCACGGCCTCCCAACAGCAAGTTTCCTGGAACAGGAGCCCTCATTTCTGATGGCCTTGCATCCACATACGTTAGGGTCTGATTGAAGAGGTTCTTGGATTAATTCTGCCACTGAGAGAGGAATTGGGAGCTCAGCATTTGCTGCTGGAAAGAATTAAAGAATTCACAACAGTGCGTTCATGCTAAATCTGCTGCATCCATATTTGGGTCCTTAGTTCAGTGTGCATCATCCCCTGCCTGAATTTGCATGACCTTCTTCTAGCAGGTCAGCCTGCCCAGGGTCTCCCATGGGCCCAGCGCACGCCTGCTGAGACGTCACAGTCCACTTACTACAGGCCGGCCTGACTGTGGGTTCCTAGCTTGAACCTCTTCTCCAACGTCCCGTTGCCAAGAAATTATCCACTTGACCTACAAAGCCCGGCAGCACCTGGCCCCTGCAGGCGTCCCTAGACTCTTCTTCCACGCAGAGTCCTCCCATTCCACTCACTTTATATCTCCAGGCCCCTGCACACCATTTCCCTAAATGCTCTTCCTCCCCACACTGTTCCACATCCTTCACCCAACTAACCCTGCCTTTCCCTGATGAACTTGGCAGGTACCTTCTTACAGATGGATCCCCCGCCCAGCATCCCAGTCTGGTTTAGGTAGCCCCTCAGTGTGTTCATAGCCCTTGCTCCTCTTCACCAAAGCATTTTTTTTAGACAGGGTCTCACTCTGTGGCCCAGGCTGGAGTGTGGTGGTGTGATCCTGGCTCGCTCAGCCTCCAACTCCTAGGTTCAAGCCATCCTCCCACCTCAACCTCTCAAAGTATTGAGATTTTTAGTTGTGTACCACTGCATCCAGCCCCAAAGCACTTTGCCATTGTCCATTTTTCCTCCCTGAACCATGAACACCCATATATGAGGTGCGATCCGTGCCTGAATCCTCTCGGCGTTCACCTGTGTGGTTGATCACCGCCAATGCCTGTGACTACCTGGGGCGTGTCTCGAGGTTGCAGGGGTGAACAGCTAGCGTGTGGGGCAGGCTGGAAGTAGCCTTGCAAGCAGCTCTGGCCAGAATTGATGGGGAGCTGGAGATGAGCTCCAGCCTCCTTGCCCCTTCACAAGGGCAGTTCTGGGGTGGGTTCCATACTGCCTCCTGGGGTCCCGCCATGGGGTTAGGCTGCAGTGGACCGCAGCTGTCACTTGCCTGGTGGGCACCGTTTCTTACCCCGCCCCACACCCCTCCGTGCGAGTGAGCCGCTGCGTCTCTCCTGGGATCACTTTCCACTTAAGCTTCTTGCCCTCAAGTCCTTGTCTAGGGTCCCCTCCTGGAGGAACACACACTGAGACCACCTAGGAAGCAGGTATGGGTGGGCGTCAAGAAATACTACTTAAGTAAAATACAATACACTTCAAATAGGTCTATTTTGTCAATATCTCTAGGGAAGAGTCTGGTACGAGGAAAGACATGGAGAAAAATCATGACCAAAATGAGATCACCCGCAAATGGCAAGGCTTGGAATCCTCGTGAAGAACGGGGATGCTTCGCTCCAACTCCAGTAGGCGGAGCCTCTGTGTGCGGTGACAGGACTTTCGGACCCTGAAGCCAAGCCCAAGGGCAATGAGATTTCCTGTTTCTTCCCTGCACACCACAAGCCGCTTTCTCCCGCTCCCCAGCCCTGCCGCAGTGGCACCGTGGAGCTCCCCATGCTGAAACTCATCTTAGATCTCAGACTCAGCTTCTACCAAAGCAGCACCTGCTGAGCATGGAGCTTGAGGAGAGAGAGGTATTCAGGAGGTGGGGGGCCCTGGGAAGAGTGCACAGGGCCAGGGGTCCAGGCTTCTCCTCCTCCCTCTCTGTCACCTTAGAGGTGACCAGTTCCTCAGGTTTCCACATCTAAAGGCTTCCAGGGACCGCGCTGACCAGCTGTCCAGCTCATTATGTGAGGTTCGCACGCCTTGCTCCCTTTCCGCCTCCCATGCTGCCTCTCTTCCGCCACCCTGCCCCGCTCAGCCTCCTCTCCTTGTAGTTCCACTAAGTGCAGAGCTTGGAGTGAGCCTCTGGCCCCAGGCTCAGCCAGCACTGCATTCCTCAGCATGAGGCTCTGGGGGTCAGGCTGTGACACGCGTTTAACCTGCCCGGCTCAGTGCCGCAGTGAGTGACCCAACAAGGCGTGGTGGGAAAGTGGCCTGGGAAATTGAACCGTAATGTATATGCACCCTTCTTGCTGTCAACAAGAGCAATTTGAGAATAAAATGCTCCCTTTCTCAATGAAAGCCTCAGGCCATCTTTCTCCCTCTCGTATGCCCTTTCCTGGAAGCTCTGCGTCAGGACAGCTGCTGCCTCAGCAGTGATGACATTACCCGATTGTTGGAACTTCTCACAACTAAACACAGACTCTTACACAAAGCATCCAGGGCCGCTCAGCCACCTGGGAGGGACCTAGCGAGTCACTATCTCAGCTTTGGAGTAGAAGACGCTAGCGCTTCTGGAGGTGGCACTGTGGCTTCACCGAGTGACCACGGAAACTGCAGACAGGCTCTGATAATGAACTTGTTAGTTGATTAAGGCTAGAAGTGAACACCTGCCTAGGACTATTTGCCAGTGCTTCAGTTACTGGAGTTACACATGGTGGAATATGCAGTCTGTAAGATTGGAATTAGAGTGAATCCATTTAGAAAAAGCTAGAAAACAAATTATCTGCTCTATCTGATCAAATAGAAGATGGGGTGGGAAAGTGTTCCTGGCACTTGCCTCTAGAACAGGCTGGAACCCGTTGTGTGTCGCAGCCTCTCCCCGCCATGCCTAAGTGTGAGCGAACGGCTGTGGGTCACAGTGACACTGTCCTCGTAACACATCCTGACAAAGGGTGGGAGGTGGTGCCTCCCTGTAGGACCAGGGGGAAAGGACTGGGCCAGGTGCATTTCTTTCTGCCCCTGGTGCTCATCCCCTGAGGGCCTCTCTGTGTCCCACTGAGGAGATACTGGACCACCCCCAGGTGTGTGGATGCCCACCCCACATTCTGTCCTCTCATTCCTTGTCTAGCTTGTTCTCTCTCCTTTCTCATCTTCAAACAAATGGTTTTCTTTTCTTTTAAAAAGGCTTCTTTATAATATTGTGTCCACTGGTCTCACTGGCTAACTGTGGGTGTTTCTGGGGAGGCCTGCCCTTTGCAGCAGGTCTGCAGTCCTGGTGTGCACCTCCTCTGGCCTTCTGAGGTCAGCCCCCTCTGCTGACTTGAAGGGGAAGGTGGCTGGATCATGGTTCGCCCCACACAGGGCCTTAAGACAAACAGAAACAGCTCTGAGCCCACTGGACACCCTCTTGATTTTGGGGAACTCATTTGGGGCCACCCAAGCCCACCAAGCGTAGTACTAAGAAACAGGCCCCTCCAGCCGCAGGCCAAGGTCTCCTGTCTGGGAGGCGCACGTGGGAGCTGGGGCTGCTTTCTCCCATCCGCTGAGCTTCCCCAACCAGAAAGACAATTTTCTCCTGGAAGGGAGATTTTAATAAGCTGTAAGATTCAGGTGGTGACTCAAGAGACCGTGGTTTAGCCCCCACCTGCCAGTCCCCTCCCAGCCGTCCAGCCCTGCTGCCTCTTCCCGGGCCTTCTTCCCCTGCCACCTCCACCTGCCTGCAGATCTCAGCATCTGCTGGCCGCCCTGGGCTCAGGAAGTCAGCCTGTTGGAGTGACTCGCCAGTAGTCGGACCCGAGAGTGGGAGAGATGGGACCTGGGGAGGCCTCTGGGGCTGTTGCATCCAGAAACTGCTGCTCTCTCATCTTCCCTCTCAGGCCAGTGAGTGAGGTGTGCACACCTCTCAGTCGTCCACATGGCCACGAGTGTTTTCAGGGCTCCTAAGCGCTGGCAAAGACCGCAGCTGCCCCTCTGGATCCATCACATTCCAGCAATGTTCCTGCCTGGCCTCCGATGGCCCTGTCTGGGAATCCAGGTGCACCTCGAGTTACCAATCTTGCAATGCTTCTTTGTTGGCTCAGCCAGTGGCCCAGCCCCTCCTACAGCGATTTCATCTACACATCGAGTATGAAGAAGTGTTTACCCCTCGCTGGGGTGTTCTGAGGGTTCAGCAAGATAATGTCTGCAGATAGTGAAACATAGACCTGGTGCCTGGCAAGTGATAGTTAAGCATTATTAGGACTAATCCAGTGGATCTGGATTGTTAAACTTCGCTATGATTAAGTCAGGAGTGTTGGCATTCTCATTCGGAAACAGTGTAGGTCCTAGTCAGAGCCCTGTTATGTCGGGAAATCCACTCTATAGGTTATTTGGGGTTTGGACGGAGTGGAAGAGTGAGTTTGAGGGAAAATCCTTCTGTGAATAGTTCTTCTGTGGATCGCCTCTTGCCCTCTGAGTTTTTGGTTTGCTTTTGCTTTTTAACCCTACTGCAAAGACTTCTGAAACAGCCAGGTTATTTCTCCCTCTGTTCACTGTTACCAGGTTGCCCATAGTTTATAACTAATTTCGGCCTCACTGGGTGATGCTTACCTGATCTGAGGAGAACCAGAAACCAAAAAACAATCCAACCAGGTGGGCATGAGGACATGAGAAATGAACATTAGGAGAGACACCTGGCTTTATTACATTTAAATCTCATCAGTCCACTAAGTGTCTTGGGGAAAGTACAAATCTAATGTCCACATAGAAAGGTCTGAGTGTAGCCTGCAGAGCTGGTGGACACCTCCATTTTAGGACATCAGTGCTGACGTGTGGGATTGGCAGGTTCTGCCACAAGATCCAGACCCTGGGTACCCCTGGGCACCACCCAGTGGGCCCCAGACACGGCCCCTCATAATGTATAATTTGAAAAATCAGGAATGTGGGAAGAACAGTGGAGGCCTGGCTCTGGCCAGCCTCAGTGTGGGGCTTCCACCAGCCTCAGTGTGGGGCTGGATCCACAGGAGGCAGGGAAAGGCCAGCCTAGACCTAGAGGTGGAGACCGAGCACTCCCCACGGTCCCTGATGCCAGGGCAGAATCTGACCGCTAATGTCACTCTAGAGCTGAGGTCCACGAATGATAAATCATAAAGTTTCCTGTGGACATTTTTAAAACAGGAAAGTTTTTTTTTTTGCTATGTTCCTCCCTATTTGATTTATATTCTAATGACTTCGTATGGGTTGTAAGTGGGTTTCATGCGGCCCCAGGAGAAAAAGATGCCTGCTGTCAGTGTCTATGTGCTGTTCCATTGTCAAGAGGAAATCGGCCTAAACAACCGGCCCCCAGATCTTATAACTGCCCCAAACCGCCACTGGCCACGCTCTAGGACCACATCCATATTTTTGGCCACCACTCCCACCCAAGCCTGGCCTCTCTTTTGAAATCCATGTGACTTGGAGGAACAGGCACCCCACCCCTTCCTACTGGGTCTCCCTACAAGCGTTTGTGGCCAAGACGAATGTCAAGTTACACCCACTTTGAGACTGTCCTGGGTCAATTCCATCTTGAGGAACTGGGGGGCTCTTCTACCAAGTTCTGGAGCAGACCCCAAACTGCATGGAATGGACTTGGTCCAGGGGTGTCCTCCTCGGCCACTCCCAGCGGAAAGGAAGTCCAGCTCACACTGCTTTCATCAGCTCTTCCCTGGGGTCAGCCTGCCAGGCTGACAGTCACAGTGTGGCTGGACCCTTCACCATTCCCAGGAGACGACTGTGTTCTGACACTGCAGATCCCTCCTGACGGGCCGTCATCGGAGGCAGGATCAAGAGCAGCCCTGTTTACCGAGGACAGCCCTTCCACGGGGTCTTGGATCCACTTCTTACCTGGGCTGTGTTATTTCAGCTCCTGCAAAGCGTTGCTCTCTTGAATTTCTCTTTGCTGTTTTCCACTGTCTTACTCTGGGGGCAGAAACGTGACACGGCCCCACAGGCGTGTTCCTCTGCTTACCTTAGAGCTGTCGGTGGAGACACTGCTCCTTACCGTGTGTGTGTCTCCCACATAGGCACCTTCAGGGGACGTATTTCTGGATTTAGCACTAGAATTTTAGGGTTTTCTCCTAGACAAATAGTTTATTTTTATGTTACTGATGTTTATTCACCTATCTGATCACACTGCGCTTTTTGCAGTAGTTGCTAGAAAGTTTGGAACTAAATGCGTGGCCAGCTTCTAGCAAGGGTACCAGTCCTCACCATACGGCTCTGTTTACTTGTCCTGGACTTCTCAGGGTCGTCATTTCTTCCCAAACTCCCTTTGGACTGCTTTCCTCCTTCTTCTTTGTTTTGCTGTATTTATGTAAGCCATCATCAATTCCGATCGTAAATGCTTTTTCTTAGAATAAGATGGAGGGTGTGAAAGGATGAACATACACTCCATTGAGTAGGAAACAATTCAGCCTGGTTTCTGGAGTTCCAGTGCTGTCACAGGTGGAGTTAGCCTTGGACGGCCTCTTCATGTGCTGGGGGGACCAGGGGGCTGCACTACTCCCACGCGGAGGTAGCGCCAGAAGGCAGCCATAAGGAATGAGAGATGGGTGGGTGCAGATGGGAGGACCTCACGTGCATATGGGCCGCCTGGGCCTCGGCGTTCCTGTGTGTCAGGCTGTGGGAGTCTCTCTGTGTCCCCAGCCCGCCCCATGTGGTTCTGGGACCTGCTGGGCCGGAGGGTTCCCTTCACTGGTGGATCTGATTCTATGTCATACTCCTCCTCCACCCGACGTCGGGAAACCGGCCAGCCCACGTAGCTCAGGACTCCAGGATCGTCCAGCACCCTTATGGTAGCAACTTGTCCTGAATCATAGACAATGTTCAGACAAGACGTTTATGAATTTGTGAACTTATATACCACTGGGGACATCAACTTTTATCTAACACCAAGGCCATCACCTTTCTGATAAGAGGGGGCTCCTTAAAAATAAATCAGAACAGAGAAATAAAATCAATACTCATGATAGACCAAAATAAAACAAAAAACCACAGGGAACTTAACAGAAAAACAGGAAAGACGTCTAGACCCGGAAGAAATCAGATGTCATAAATATTTCAACCCAGTGCACACTGACTCTACACTTTGTTTATTTGATGTCCACATGGACCTGCGCCTGGAGCCAATCCTAGTACACTTGCTGCAGAGAGGTTTCTTAGCCCTTCATTTCATCCTATTGGAAAAAATACACAAATACATGGAGATAGGATAACTGTGCATTTTGTGGGCCAGGTAGAATTTCTGAGCATTTTGTGGGCCAGGTAGAATTTCTGAGCATTTTGTGGGCCAGGTAGAATTTCTGAGCATTTTGTGGGCCAGGTAGAATTTCTGAGCATCTTGTGGGCCAGTTAGAATTTCTGTGGCGTCCAGTGGTTTTTGAAAGCTACTTGCCAGGTAGACCCCCAAGTTTTTACTCACCTGCCTGGCCATGGCACGAAGGACTTCGTTCAGGAGCAGGGAGAGATGCTTTTCCTAGAAGGAATGATAAGTGGTACCTAGTACCCAGACATCAAGCTTCTTCCCAAAGCCTGTGCACAGAAAGCACGTTGAGCCTCATAACGACCACACGGCTGAACACCTGCCCATGCCAGGGACTGCATGAGAGCCGCCACACCTCATAAGGACCACACGGCTGAACACCTGCCCATGCCGGGGACTGCGTGAGAGCCCCCATACCTCATAAGGACCACACGGCTGAACACCTGCCCATGCCGGGGACTGCGTGAGAGCCCCCATACCTCATAAGGACCACACGGCTGAACACCTGCCCATGCCGGGGACTGCGTGAGAGCCGCCACACCTCATAAGGACCACACGGCTGAACACCTGCCCATGCCAGGGACTGCGTGAGAGCCCCCACAGTGGCCCAGCAGGGTGGGGGCTACTGTCCCTGTTGTAAGGAGGAGGCGATTCGGCAGACCTAAGCCCGTCTGATCGCAAAGACCCGGCCCTTCCTTGCGTGCGTCAGGAATGCTTCTCTACGCTGCCGTGGGGGTCTCCCGTGGGGTTCTGTCAGACACATCTGTTTCTAGAGTAAAAATGTCCTCACACGCAGCACCCAGGCAAAGCAAAGCTCCCAGCAGCCAGGCATCCTCCCATTACACAGAGCCTGGAGTCACTCACACCTGGGATGCCCACTGGGTCAGAAAAGTGCATTTGAATTTGAAGGATTTTAAAATACTAAATGTTTCATGTCCTATTAATTAAAAATGTAAAAACTCAAGAGTTACAACTTCCTGGTCTTTCTCCCACCCGGAGTGAGACGGCCCAAGGCATTTAACACATCCCGTTCTCTCCAGCTCTCCCCTTTCAACCCAAAGGGCGTCTCTCCTTTGCTCTTAGGATGTCAGCAAAATGCTGAGACTTAGTGCAGCTGAGAGTGTGCTCTGCACAGCTCCAGTCCGCGTTCTCAGGGGCCACTTGGCGTCCCCACCACCTGGTCTTCGCCCCAGCCCCGTCTCATCTGCCGCTAGAGTTGCGTAACGTGAGTCCTGGACAGTTGATTCCACCTGAAGTCGACATCCGTGCCCCAGATCCCTAGCAGAGCTCACCGTGAGCCTGTGCTGAGGCGCCTCTGAGCCATGGAGCTGGGCCCAGCTGGGGACAGGGTTCCCACGGAGCCTCTGGTGTTAGGTGTCCAGTTCCCAGGGCCTAGGCTCTGTCAGGTCCCACATGGGCAGCATAATCATTCAGATGAGCTGAAATCCATTATATAATGAGTCCCATATGATACTCATCTTGGAGGAGAAATGAATAAATCATTGTGCCCAACAGGAGACTTATTTATGCGCAGCCTGCCCTGGGAAGAGGCGTGGGGGTGCTGTGATGAGCAGTGCCAGGAGACAGCAGCAATTCAGGAATGAATGCACCTTTCTGTCCCGGCCCCCCGAGGCCCTGGCACCTGCTGAAACTAGACCTGGGCACAGGGCACAGCCCCGCAGCTAAAGAAAGGCAGTGGGAACAAAGCTGTCTGCCCTGGCCCCACTCGCCCAGGCTGGGGACGCGCCATGGCTGCACAGACGCCTCCAGAAGCCCCCAAGCCTGCGGCCCCTCCTCCTGGAACTCAGCTCCCCTGCATGGAGCCCCGTCTGTTGAGGCAGTGGGGCCAGGCAATTCCTCACTCTGTCCAGTTTGCCTTTCCTCAATAGGATTCTCATTTTTGTCCGAGATGTCCCACTGTGTTCACGGACAGACAGTGTGGCATCGTGCCGAGATGGGGGCTTGGGGCACAGGTGCCGGTCTACCTGTTCTCTACCCAGGCGTGATGGAACAGACACCGCTTTGCAGAGTACCCAGGTGCTGAGGATAAAACCCTTGGTAGGGCCCCACTCGGTAACAGTGGCCGCAATAGGTGCAGGATGGTAAAGTGGCCACCGCTCAGAAACACTGTGGAGACCTCCGTGCCTCCGGCCCTTTATGGGCCTGGATATGACACAAACAGCTGAAGTGCAAGCCCCGGCGTGTGGGAGCCTCCAAGGCCCTGCCTACTGTTGGACACAGGAAAGGGGATGTGAAGAGAGAGAGGAAGAGGAGAGAGAGGAAAAAGAAAGAGCTTCCTGGTGTTGGCGTCTCGACCTGTGTGTGCGCAGTGGTGATAATCCAGTGTGAAATCCAATCAGACAAACAAGCCTCAGCTCTCTCAGAAGCAGACGCCCACCGGAGCTGGTGGACAGGCATCCCAAACACAGAAAGGTTCTCAGAGAAGGACACCATACGTCACCCACAGGTTTTAGCAAATGACTGCTTCCTTCACTGAGAGAATATTTCATCAAAAGGGCCAGCTTTTCTTTCCCTTTCTCAGTTTCTTTTTATAGAAATAAAATATAGAAACAGCAATGTTCATCACAAAGGAATCATGATCCAGGGGATGGGCGCCGGTTCCTGAGGACACAGAAAGGGTGTGTCTGGGGAGCAAGAGCCGTAGTTTCGGCGCCAGACACCGAGGCAGGAGCTGCCGCAGCAGCCCTTGGGGACCCCGAACCTGCCAGTGGAGAGCCAGGTGGGGCGTTCTCTGAGGAGGGTGAATAGAGTTCCCGCCCCCAGCCCTCCCGTTCCTGCTTCCTTTAGGGTCACCGTGCGTTCCTGCTTCCTTTAGGGTCACCGCGCGTTCCCTGCAGAGAACACGCTGGGAAGGCTTTGTTGGGACAACAGCTTCTGCAGCCGCCGGCGCCCTCCTGGCCGGGCTGCCCCCACGTCTTTTCCCTCTGTGTGCTGGGTGCGCACTCTGTTCCCTTGGCTTCTGTATCCGTTCCCTGAAGCTTCAGTGGCTTAGACAAGACTCTATTCCAAATAGGGCCACATTCAGAGGCACGGGAGTGAGGACCCCAAAACATGAATTCGGAAGCACAGTTTGACCACAGCAGCCTTTAGCCTGTGTTCCTGGTCCTGGCTTCCCTAGACCTGGCATCTCCAGGCTTTAACCGTCTTCGTTTATGAGCCCCTAATACTTCTGTAAAACTGTGTACCAGCTCACACATCCTTAGGATGACATTTAAAGTTTTGTAGCATACTTTTCTACAGTTGCACTGGATGTGTTTTCTAATATATGTTGAAGCAACATCATTTGGCTTATTTGTTTTGTAGAAAATGTTCACCTTATACATTAATTAGAAAATGCAATCCTCGTTTTCAAATCAACATGCCAATCAGATGTAATTTCCTCATTAGTCAGGGCATGCTGCGTTATACTACGTAATAACCCCAAACCTCCACAATATCACACGAGGCCTCCAGGTTCAAGGCAGCTCAGCCTGGGTGCCTGGGTTGGCAGAGGTTGGCCCAGCTCCCCCAGGGACACAGAGAGCTCGGCTGAGGGAGGCTTCTCAACACGTGGCTATGATCACCACGTTCACGAGAAGGAGTGGAACGCTCATGCTGGAAGTAACATGCGTCACTTCTGCTCATGGCTTTGTAGTGCCCAAGACTGGTCATAGGACCAGCCCTGGATTCAGAGAGGAAAGAAAGTAAAATGTCCTCAGTGCCCAGAAGAAGGGCCCAATTGTTTGAAAACAGCCGTAACAATTACAGTCTGACTTCATTTTTAGTTAATGTGTATTAATACATAACCCTGCACAGTCTTCTTTGAATTCTGACTCTGAGATATAGACAGACAGATGGGTGGATGGACAGGTAGTTGGGTAGGTAGGTAAGTAGATGATAGATAGACAGACAGACAGATAGAAAAATAGATGATGGATGGACAGACAGAACGGTCACAGCCTTCCCACCTCCAGTATTTTTGCTCTGTTCCACGGTCTTTCCCTCAGGACCGATGTATTCTCCAATCACCCTCCCAGAGGTTCTGCTCCCCACAATGATGCACCTTGGTGAATTAAGGGCAGGTGAGAGGTTTGCCTTTCTTTTTAGTGTGAGAGACGGGAGGACGGGCAGACGGCAGGCACCTTTCCAAGCACATTGGTCTTAGAAAAGAAGCACGAGGAAATTGAAGATCCAGAACTTTATTTTATGAAAGTCACTGGCCTTTGCTTGCACCAGGTAGCTTAGAGATCTCGGCTGTGGTCCACACTGCAACACCTACTTGTTCCTGACTGTACTGATTAACCTTTCTGGGTTTGACCCGCGTCCTCCCTAACCTTCGGGACATGCTTAGTTGCATTCTTTCCAGGGCAGCCCTTTTTCCTACCCTCCTTGGCCCAATTTGAGCCCCAAACCCTGGTGTAATCCGATGATGATTCCTTCAAATAACAGCAATGTTTGAACATTTTCACCATCCACACCCTTTTTTCTAATGAAATCATACAGGAAGCCCATTACAAGACTGAGAAGGGTGAAGCTGGTCTGGCTGAGGAAGGGCCAGGGTGCCGGGGACTCAGGCCCCACCCTCAGGCTGCACGAGGCACCCAGAGCAGCCCCTGAGGCAATTCTGCTGACCTGGGAGTCCTGGGAGGCACCTTCTGAGAACCCCCACATGACATCAGGGTGATTACAGGGGTTCACTGGGAAGAGCAGGGGTCCCTTCAACCCGGTCACTTCACACAGAAGCAACTGGATTGCAGCCATGTAGACAGGCCCTCCTCCAAGAGAACCGTCTGCAGCATTTCTGCCCAAGTAGACACGCCGAATACTGTCATTTGGTCACATTCAGGAATCTGGCGGTACTTAAGTCCCTCATTTGCAATAAAGGATTGTGTCAGCATTTCTGTTCTGAATTCCTATTTTCAATGATTTATAATGAAGCATCTTTTTAAAATGGTTTCAGCTGTTTGAGCTATATGCAGCCAAGAGAATAGATCCTAGGGCTTTTTTAGCACTCCACTAACTATGAAATTGTTTGATTTTTACAAAACATATTTAGCAAATTGTTAAAAGTATTGGCTAAACACAGCATTTCATAAATGAAATGTTGAAGTGATCAAGATGTTGAACTTTAAAATCATCTGCTTTCGCTGAACAGTGTCTTTTTTTACAAAGTTCAATAAGAATTTCTAACATAATTTTATACAACATCATAAGTGCATTGCTACATGTTGTAAATATCACGCCATTACACATTCTAATTACCTGATTACATTCATTTACATTAAATTTGTAATTAAATGTAATTTCATGCTTATTGAGTGAAAATCCTTTTGAAACATTGCGATCGTCCTCTCCATCGCAATGTGTGAAACCAAGAGCAGCCCTGACCTGGGATGTCTGCAAAAGCAATTAGCGATTCGCATCCATTAAATCGCGGTCGCTTAAAGACTCTGCAGACAGCAAGATCACGCATCACAGTTAACTTATTGTGAAGGTGGTGTTGGAAACAAGATTCTTGTTTCTGCAGCTTTGGTCTTTTGGGGTCTTGGGCTAATGTCGTAAGATGCTGCTTTGGCTTACAAATTAGAAAATTTTGATCTGTGTTATGACTGTTATGTTATGGGAAGCAGGCAGTGGAAGTCACCTGACTATATTCTAACCAAGGCTTTTTAAGTCGTAAGAATCCTTTCTTCATTTGCAACAACCTACAGTCTTTTTCCAAATTCTATCTCCCACCATCACCATAGCAACTACGTCTTATGGCAAGCCTGGGGACATTATCAGATCAACTCGGAGGAGTCTTAGCCCTGAATTTGGCCTTGAATGACTAATTTTATCTTCTCCTTGTGAACATTTGGCATCACGTGACAGGTCAGCAGCCAAGCTCATGCAGCGAAAGGTTTCTCAGTGGCTCTTGGCTTCCCTTGACACCTTGGTACTGAAGATGGTGTCTGAGTCCTCCCCTGTGTCTCGTGTGGAAAGATCAGGAAAAACCAAAACCACCGATGTCTTGAATGCTAACGATGGAAGAGTGGAGGGAGAGGCAGCATGCCTGGAGATGAGAGAGGGCAGACCTTCCCGTCCAGCAGCCTGAAAGCAGGTTTCACCCTGGGGCCAGCTGCTCACAGGAGGCCTGGAATGACCTCTTCGGTTCTGATTGGGGTCACTCTCCAAACAAACAAAGCAAAACACAAATCGCTCTTCCTGAAGGAGGGGATGGGGGTAGAGTTGTGGTGCCCAACCTTAGCTGTGCATCAGAATTACCCAGCAGGCTTTGTGAAAACCCAGATTGCTGGGCCATTTCCCCAGAGCTGCTGATTCAGGAGGTCTAGGTGGGCCTGAGAACTTGCATGTCTCACAAGCTCCCAGGGAAGCTGCTGCTGCTGGCCCAGGAACCACACTTCGTGAACCTCCCGCCTGGGTGAAGCCTCCTCTCAATCACAGTATCTACACATCTTAAGCGACTCCCAATACAGAGTCCCATTGATCTCAGGAACAGCACTGGATCTGAATTGCAGATTGTCCACTTGGACCACACAGCCCCTGGCTCCTCTCTGGACCACTATGCGGCCTCGGAGTGTGCAGGCTGAGCTCACCACCTGGGCTGTGCCTGCCCGCACCTCTGTACCTTCCAAAGAAGAGGGCTCTGGGGGATGGTGGGCAGGAGAGAGTGCCCATTCGATCTGTGCCCCCCACAGCAGGATTGGTAGCTCTGGTTTAGAGAGAGCCTTGTGGCCAAGCATTCACCTGGAAAGAGAAAGTAAATGTCCTCTCTGAGCCACATTCCTCCCAGAAACCGATTTATGGAACAGAAGCAGAGATCACCAGACTGTGGGATCCTGTTCAATAGAGCCAGTCCCGTGAACACTTATTGCGGGCATGTTACACTGTGCCCAGGAGGAGGCCTGGGACAAATGAGGCCACCAGGTCTCCAGTGGGTGTCCGTGGGCATAGAGCTGGGCAGAGTCGCAGCGGGAGTGGAAGGGGCACACTAAAGACTTGGAGTCCTCAAGGAACCCATGCATTCAAGATTTCTAGGACCAATTCCAGGTCCAAAGAATGTTCTTACCTAGTAAAGATGTCCACTTTGGGAATCATATTTTAAAGTGTGCATTTCTCACCTAACTCCATCACAAGTATAGCAGGAAAGTGAGCAATTACATCTTCCTCACATTTGGTTTTAATAATGGAAGTCGATGGTTTGTTTCTTAACTCAGTATGCAAGATTCTCTTGAAATTGAAGACATTCTGTCAGTATTAAAAATAAGCAGGCTGGGCGCAGTGGCTCATGCCTGTAATCCCAGCACTTTGGGAGGCCAAGGCAGGCTGATCACGAGGTCAGGAGTTCAAGACCAGTCTGGCCAATATGGTGAAACCCCGTCTCTACTAAAAATACAAAAATAAGCAGGCTACAGTGGCGCAAGCCCGTAATCCCAGCTACTCAGGAGGTTGAGGCAGGAGAATTGCTTGAATCCAGGAGGCAGAGGTTTCAGTGAGCCAAGATCACACCACTGCACTCCAGCCTGGGTGGCAGAGCGATACTCTGTCTCAAAAATAAATAAGCAAAAAGACGCCACCATCAAAATAAGCGCTATTTCTGGAAGCAGAAGAGGGTGGCAGGTGTTACGTAGAACTCCCATATAGACTCCTAAGTGCCATTTTACCTTTTCAGCATTGTTGGAAAGAGGTGCAGAGTAACGCATGCAAGGATATTATTTCAAAACTGAGTGATTTCTGACAATGCAGTAGACTCACAAATAACCGCTAGTCTGCAAACACGGGAACATCATGTTCATTTTCCACCCTACTCACTCTGGAGTGCACGGCTGCTCCTAGTGTGCAGAGAAACTCCCTGCAGTGTGGCACCTGTGCGTCTGCGCCTGGCCTCAGTGCTCATGGCTCACGAACTGCAATTTGCTCTCCCTGACTGTTCCCTGCCACAGAGAGGGAAGGGGAGACCCCCGTGAGTGCCCCTTCCCATCAAATAGCTGTGGCTGACACCTCTTGGGGTCACCGGATGTCACAAACAGGTCCCACGTGTATCTATTCATTGATTTTTACAGTATTTTCAGGCAAGCTCAGCGCATGTATTGTACCCAACAGGCAAAGGAAAGAGGGGTAAGACTCCAGGGGTGACATGAGGCTTCCACCCTCAAGGGAAGTAATATCATGCACATAACATAAATATATAAACAGCAGCAACACAGAGCCTACAGAGCCACCACCTCCTGTGTGGAGAAAGGGAAAGGACGGGCAGCCAGGAGGAGGCTGGGGATGCACGAGGCCACCCGAGCTTCGGGAGCACATCCCTGGGTATAGAGCAGAGCAGGGTCCCAGTAGGGGTGGAAGGGGTACAGTTGACTGACATCTCTGAGGTTCCCGAGAAAATAATTTGAGCAAAATCTTGCAAGTTCCATGAGAAAACAAATAACCCTGAATTTCTAGAATAGGTTTGCAATCTAAAGAGGAAATCAGGCATAAAGAACGACTGTGAAATGGGGAGGTCAGGGAAAGTGTTGGAAGACCGTACCTCTGCAGGCAGGCAGGTGTGGTACCAGGGCTCGCTCCGGACCGGCACAGCCCTGCTGCCCGTCTGCTCCCAGGCCTTTCGGCAAGGCTCAATAGAAGGAGCCGGCCTCTCCTTGGGGCGCACTCCTGCACCCCGTCAGCACCCCCATCTCCAGCCCCTACCTTCGTCTCCCAGTTCATGCCCTTTTGTTCCCCCTCCCCACCTGCTGCATATCCCAAACTGCAAGAGCATGACTGCCATTCTGTGTTCTGCGCATAGGGCTTCTGTTCTTATCAATGGTTTTAAAAGTAAGCAATTTGATCCTTTTATATTTCTATTTAGGAAAAAGAAAAATTAAAACTCCAGTAGGTTTCTTATTTGTTATCATAGCCTGTGAGTAGCTCAGGGCCCTTTAGAGAAAGTTTTCTTGTTTCTCTTTAGGTAAATGGGAATGATGTTCGTGTCGGGGGCCTTGGCCTTGAGCGGAACATGCACGGCAGCATTATTTTCTCTGAAGTATCAAATCCATAAGGAAAGGTGGCTGCTGCCACCACAATTGTGCTCAGAGCTGTAGCAGCAGCAGCTACTGTTGGTTCCGGGCACTGTTTGTGAGCGCTTCATCATTAACCATCACCGCAACCCCATGTGGAAGAGACTGCAAATGACCCCATTTTACAGACGGGGAAATTTAGGGTCGTCAAACTGCAGCAACTTTCCCAAGATCACACGGACTAAAGATCTGAGTGGTATTTTCACTGTGTGGCTTGAATACGTGTGAAAACTACATTCCCTCCTCTGTGATACTGACTTTAAGTGTTAACTCATCCTGGGGAGCACTTTGCATCAATAGAAGGAATTCTCATCCTACTTGGGATCCAGGTCCTCTTCTCAATCTGGATCCATTACTATTCTTAAAGCTCCCCCAATCTTCCAGTCTCAAAGCACATTCTTAATGCTTTGGCTCTCGGTGAGCTGGGATGATGGTGGAGAACGGGGCTATTTCCTTGGTGCAGGCACCAAGGCCCCAGGTTGTTGGATCTGCTGTGCTTTCTGCCCGAGGCCCATCTGCACCGCCCCAGCCTTCCCTTCTCCTGCACCTTACTTTCTCCTGGTGCGCCACATTGTCAGTTGATTGCAGCTCCAGCATTAGACCAAACTGTCTGAGATGTGTGTCTGACATTTCTGAAGCTAAGCAGGTGCAGGAGGAAAAAAAAAGGCTCAGCCGCTTTTTAGGGAGTCAGGTGGCATTGTGCAGCAAACAGAAGGCGCACGGCGGATTCCGGAGCCCAAATCAGATCCTTTTATGTGTGTAGAATATATCAATTTGGAATGCACAGTTTGAAATTGCTGGTTATAGAATGTGATCTGTTTTATTGTAGTATAATTTCCCAGGGGCTGCAATATCCAAATCCCAGCGTAGGGGTGACAGGCTGCTGCTCAGGTTTCTCTCTCCGGAAATCATCACCCGGTGCTCTGAGAACCGGGGTCTGTAGGACACGCCATTCCTGCTCCCTGTTTTAATGTGGAAAACACTCTGGGGGCCTTGGGTCTTCTGAACCACCTGCCTGGTTGCTTCATGCTGCTGCTTAGGGCCTTTCAGAATGGATTTGTATTTATGCTCTCACTCCCTTCTTACTGATTTCTGCTTAACTAAACTTCCATGCCAACAAAACAGTGGGAAGATCCCTAGATTGTAGCATCCGTCCCACCTCTCTTGAGCTCAGAGGCCACAGTTCTTTGGACTTTGCCTGCCTGCCTTGAAACTGTGCCCAGCTCAGAGGGGAGGATTTGGTTCAGCATCACAGCCCTCCACGGAAGTGCCCCTGGCAAATGCGATGGCTGTGGCCACTGAGTCCACTCAGCTCACAGATAAAAAGATGGGCCTTCATTCATGTGGTCAAGAAAGCTGCAGCCAAGACATCATCATCAGGGGAGGCAAGGAGGGGTGCTCCCTGGGGGAACGGCAGAGACAGAAGGGACTGTCTCAGGGAGGGCGGGAGGGTCCTGAGCTCTGGGTTGTTCCTGGCCTCTCCAGCCCAGTGTGAAGTGGGAGCTTGAGTCTCATCCCAATGGCCACAGGTCGGAAGTCAGCCCTCCTAGGCCGGGAAGGCACTTTGCCATCTGCCTCTCTGGCATCACAGCATCCACCTGTGGACAACTGTGAAGGGGGGCCAGAGGCGGGGGCCCAGCCCCTGCTACCTCCGCAGCTTACTGTCTCATCTCAGGTGCAGTGCTCCACATGGCCACTGCCACCAGGCAGTGTGACCCTGGATGCAATCACAGGAGTGGACTCCAGGGCCAATTTCTTTTCCATTTCCTCCTTCACTGCCATTTTTGAACCAACAGGAGAAAAACATGCATAGAAGGCTTTATCTTAGAAAGAAACAAACACATAAATGGGGAAGGGGGAGGAAGGAAGGAACGACAGGAAAGTTAGAAGGAAGAAAAGGGGGGGCATGGAGGGAGGAAGGAAGAGAAGAAGGGAAAAGAGAGAAAGGGAGAGTTAATTTTCATTGATTATTTTAGTCATTAAAATAATAAAGAAAGTCACATTAAATAAGACACACAAATTAAAATACTTAATAACTATGCTTCTAATTTTCCCATTATTTGTGACTTTTGTTATAAATTGCAACCCTAAGTGGTTAAGGTAGCTGTAAACACCCAGCCTTTCCTTTGTTTCTTCTGTGATTTTTTCCTTTAGACTCACATGTTCCCTGTAGACATTGATTTATTTCCCTGAGGTGAACACCATCCAATTTTTTACAAGTAGAGTAAACATGGGTCATAAGATCCCTCAGATGAGTTACAGAATTAAAATTCAGGAAGCATTTTGTGGCCCCACCTGTGGATGCCCGCCATGGACTTTTATACTGTGGATGCCCACCGTGGACTTTTATCCTAGGGTCCTTGTGGGGAGCAATCTCATGTGCTTCCTTCAAATCTTTTTCCTGTTTGTTTGCTGTCCTATTTTATGACTTCATTTTATTTATTTATTTTTTTTTTGAGACAGAGCCTCACTCTGTCGCCCAGGCTGGAGTGCAGTGGCACGATCTTGGCTCACTGCAACCTCTGCCCCCCCGGGTTCACACCATTTTCCTGCCTCAGCCTCCCGAGTAGCTGGGACTACAGGCCCAAGTCACCATGCCCGACTAATTCTTTGTATTTTTAGTAGAGACGGTGTTTCACCATGTTAGCCAGGATAGTCTTGATCTCCTGACCTCATGATCTGCCCGCCTCAGCCTCCCAAAGGTATCTTACCAGTTTCTAAACACAAATGGCATTGCATCCTCCACACAGCTTCACAACTTGGTTTTTTGCTTCGTCTACATTGTGGCGGTCCTTCCACATCAGCACGTTGATCCATTTTACTCTTTTGATTTTTAATGGCTGCATCATATTTCTTGTCTGAATGATTTTGTAATTTTTTGTTTTGTTTTTACCTTTTTGTTTTGAAATGGTTATAGAATCACACGAAGTTGCAAAGATAATACAGAAAGGTGCCATGTACCCTTCACCGAGTTTCCCCCAATGGTTACATTTTACGTAATGATAGTACAGTATCAAAGCCAGGAAATTCATATGGGCACAGTCCATGTTTGTGTCATTACCATTTTATCCCACATGTAGATTCGTGCAGCCCCTACTTCAATCAAGATACAGAACGATTCCATTGTCACAAAATCTCCCTCATGCTAGCTCTTTATAGGTACAGCCATGTCACTATATCCAGCCATGCCTAACCCCAACCACTCATCTGTTCTCCGTCTCTATAACCTTGTCATTTTGAGAATGTTATGCAAATGGAATCTAACAGCACGTGCCCTTTGAGACTGGCTTTTTTGACTTAGCTTAATGTCCTTGAGGTCTCCGTCCAAGTTTTTGCCAGTATCAAGAGTTCGTTTCTTTTTATTGCTGAGTAGTATTCCATTGTACAGATGTACCCACCATCTCTTTTTAAATGACCTATGAACTCAAAGTTAGTTTTACATTTTTAAATTTTTTTATTTCCATAGGTTATTGGGGAACAGGTGGCGTTTTGTTACATGAGTAAGTTCTTTAGTGGTGATTTGTGGGATTTTGGTGCACCCATCACCCAAGCAGTATACCCGGCACCCAATTTGTAGTCTTTTATCCCTCGCCCCTTTCCCACCCTTTCCCCTTGAGTCCCCAAAGTCCATTGTGTCATTCTTATGCCTTTGCATCCTCATAGCTTAGCACCCACTTATGAATGAGAACATACGATGTTTGATTTTCCAATCCTGAGTTACTTCACTGAGAATAATAGTCTCTAATTTCATCCAGGTTGCTGCAAATGCCATTAATTCATTTCTTTTTATAGTTGAGTAGTATAGCACTATATATATATATATATATACATACACACATACATATACATATACATATATATTACAGTATTCCATCATATGTATATATATTTGTTCCTTGTAGATTCTGGATATTAGTCCTTTGTCAGATGTATGGATTGGAAGATTTTCTCCCACTCTGTGGGTTGTCTGTTTACTCTGCTGATTATTCATTTTGCTGTGCAAAAGCCCTTTAGTTTAATTAGGTCCCAGCTATTTATCTTTGTTTTTATTGAATTTGCTTTTGGGTTCTTGGTCATGAATTCCTTGCCTCAGTTAATGTCTAGAAGGGTTTTTCCAAAGTTATCTTCTAGAATTTTTGTAGTTTCCGGTCTTAGATTTAAGTTATTGATCCATCTTGTGTTGATTTTTGTATAAGGTGAGAGATGAGGATCCAGTTTCATTTTCCTACATGTGGCTTGCCAATTATTCCAGCACCATTTGTTGAATAGGGTGTCTTTTCCCCACTTTATGTTTTTGTTTGCTTGGTCAAAGATCAGTTGGCTGTAAGTATTTGGGTTTATTTCTGGGTTATTTATTCTGTTCCACTGGTCTATGTGCCTATTTTTACACCAGTACCATGCTGTTTTGGTGACTATGGCTTTATAGCATAGTTTAAAATCAGGTAATGTGATGCCTCCAGATTTGTTCTTTTTGCTTAGTCTTGCTTTGGCTATGCAGGCTCTTTTTCGATTCCATATGAATTTTAGGATTGTTTTTTCTAGTTCTGTAAAGAATGATGGTGGTATTTTGATGTGAATTGCATTGAATCTGTAGATTGTTTTTGGCAGTATGGTCATTTTTACAATATTGATTCTACCCATCCATGAGTATAGGATGTATTTCCATTTGTTTGTGTCATCTGTAATTTCTTTCAGCAGTGTTTTGTACTTTTCCTTGTAGAGGTCTTTCACCTCCTTGGTTAGGTATATTTCTAAGTATTTTATTTTTTTTACAGCTATTGTAAAGGGGGTTAAGTTCTTGATTTGATTCTCAGCTTGGCTGATGTTGGTGTATAGGAGAGCTACTGATCTGTGTACATTAATTTTGTACCTGGAAACTTTGCTGAATTCTTTTATCAGTTCTAGGAGCTTTCTGGAGGAGGCTTTAGGGTTTTCTAGGTATACAATCACATCATCAGAAAACAGTGACAGTTTGACTTCTTCATTACCGATTTGGACGCCCTTTATTTCTTTCTCTTGTCTGATTGCTCTGGCTGGGACTTCCAGTACTATGTTGAAGAGAAGTGGTGAAAATGGGCATCCTTGTCCTGTTGTACTTCTCAGAAGGAAATCTTTCAATGTTTCCCCACTTGGTATTATGTTGGCTGTGCGTTTGTCACAGATGGCTTTATATTACACTGAGGTATGTCCCTCGTATGCTGATTTTGCTGATAGTTTTAACCATAAAGGGATGCTGAATTTTGTCAAATGCTTTTCCTGCATTTATTGAGATGATCATGTGATTTTTGTTTTTGATTTTTGTTTCTAATTCTGTTTGTGTGGTGTACCACATTTATTGACTTGCGTATCTTGAACCATCCCTGCATCCCTGGTATGAAGCCCACTTGATCATGATGGATTATCTTTTTGATATGTTGTTGGATTCGGTTGGCTAGTATTTTGTTAGGGATGTTTGCATCTATGTTCATCAGGGATATTGGTCTGTAGTTTTCTTTTTTGGTTATTTCCTTTCCTGGTTTTGGCATTAGGGCAATACTGGCCTAATAGAAAGATTTATGGAGGATTTCCTCTTTCTCTATCTTGTGGAATAGTGTCGATAGGATTGGTGCCAATTCTTCTTTGAATGTCTGGTAGAATTCAGCTGTGAATCCATCTGGTCCTGGACTTTTTTTTGTTGGTAATTTTTGTATTACCATTTCAATCTCGCTGCTTGTTATTGATCAGGGTATCTAATTCTTCCTTATTTAAGCTAGGAGGACTGTATCTTTCCAGGAATTTGTCCATCTCCTCTAGGTTCTCTAGTTTATGCATGTAAAGGTGTCAATAGTAGCCTTGAATGATCTTTTGTCTTTCTGTGGTATCAGTTGTAATATCTCCCATTTTGTTTCTAATTGAGCTTATTTGGATTTTCTCTCTTCTTTTCTTGGTTAATCCTGCTAATGGTCTATCCATTTTATTTATTTTTAAAAGAATCAGCTTTCTCTTTTATTCATCTTTTGTAATTTTTTTGTTTGTTTCAATTTCATTTAGTTCTGCTCTGATCTTGGTTACTTCCTTTCTTCTGCTGGGTTTGGATTTGGTTTGTTCTTGTTTCTCTAGTTCCTTGTGGTGTGACCTTAGATTGTCGGCTTTTGCTCTTTCAGACTTTTTGATGTAGAAATTTAGGGCTATGAACTTTCCTCTTAGCAACACCTTTGCTGCATTCCAGAGGTTTCAACAGGTTGTGTCACTATTGTCATTCAGTTTGAACAATTTTTTAAATTTTCATCTTGATTTTACCGTTGACCCAATGATCATTTAAGGGCAGTTTATTTAATTTCCATGTGTTCGCATAGTTTTGAAGGTTCTTTTTGGAGTTAATTTCCAGTTTTATTCCACTGTGGTCTGAGACAGTGCTTGGTATAATTTCCATTTTCTTAAATTTATTGAGGCTTGTTCTGTGGCCTGTCATATGGTCTATCTTGGAGAAAGTTCCATGTGCTGATAAATAGAAAGTATATTCTGTGGTTGTTGGGTAAAATGTTCTGTAAATATCTGTTAAGTCTATTTGTCCCAGGGTGTAGTTTAAATCCGTTGTTTCTTTGTTGACTTTCTGTCTTGATGACCTGTCTAGTGCTGTCAGTGGAGTGTTGAAGTCCCCCACTGTTACTGTGTTGCTGTCTATATCATTTCTTAGGTCTAGTAGTAACTGTTTTATAAATTTGGGAACTCAGTGTTAGGTGGATATATGTTTAGGATTGTGATATTTTCCTGTTGGACTAAGGCCTTCTATCATTATATAATGTCCCTCTTTGTCTTTTTAAACTGCTGTTGCTTTAGAATTTGTTTTGTCTGATATGAGAATAGCTAATCCTGCTTGCTTTTGGTGTCTATTTGCATGGAATATCTTTTTCTATCCCTTTACCCTAAGTTTATATGAGTCCTCGTGTTAAGTGTGTCTCTAGAAGACTGCAGATAGTTGGCTGGTAAATTCTTATCCATTCTGTGATTCTGCATCTTTTAAGTGGAGTATTTAGGCTATTTACATTCAATGTTAGTATTGAGATGTGAGGTACCATTCCATTCATCATGCTATTTGTTGCCTGTATACCTTGGTTTTTGTGTGTGTGTGCTTTTTTTGCATTTGTATTTTTGTTTTATAGGTCCTATGAGATTTATGCTTTAAAAAGGTTTTGTTTTGATGTGTCTCCAGGATTTGTTTCAAGATTTACAGCTCCTTTTAGCAGTTCTTATAGTGATGGCTTGGTAGTGGCAAATTCTCTCAGCATTTGTTTGCCTGAAGAAGACTGTATCTTTCCTTCGGTTATGAAGCTTAGTTTCACTGGATACAAAAGTCTTGGCCAATAAGTGTTTTGTTTAAGGAGGCTGAAGATAGGGCCCCTATCCCTTCTAGCTTGTAAGGTTTCTGCTGAGAAATTTGCTGTTAGTCTCATAGGTTTTCCTTTATAGGTTACCTGGTGCTTTTGCCTCACAGATCTTAAGATTCTTTCCTTTGTCTTAACTTTACATAACCTGATGACAATGCGCCTAGGAGATAATCTTTTTGTGATGTATTTCCCAGGTGTTCTTTGAGCTTCTTGTATTTGGATGTCTAGGTCTCTAGCAAGACTATGGAAGTTTTCCTCAATTATTCCCCCAAATATGTTTTCCCAACTTTCAGATTTCTCTTTTTCCTCAGGAACGCCGATTATTCTTAGGTTTATCGTTTAACATAATCCCAGATTTCTTGGAGGCTTTGTTCATATTTTCTTATTCTTCCTTCTTCATCTTTGTTGGATTGGATTAATTCGAAAACCTTGTCTTCAAGCTCTGAAATTTTTTCTTCTGCTTCGATTCTATTGCTGAGACTTTCTAGAGCATTTTGCATTTCTATAAGTGTGTCCATTGTTTCCTGAAGTTTTGTTTTTTATTTATGCTATCTTTTCATTGAAGATTTCTCCCCTCATTTCATGTATCTTTTTAAAATTTATTTCCTTAAATTGGGCTTCACCTTTTCTGGTGCCTCCTTGATTCACTTAATAACTGACCTTCTGAATTCTTTTTCAGGTAGGTCAGAGATTTCTTCTTGGTTTGGATCCACTGCTGATGAGCTAGTGTGGGTTTTATTTTGCGGGGGGTGTTAAAGAACCTCATTTTGTCATATTACCAGAGTTGGTTTTCTTGTTCCTTCTCATTTGAGTAGGCTCTGTCAGAGGGAAAGTGTAGGGCTCAAGACTGTTGTTCAGATTCTTTTGTCTCATGGGGGGTTCCCTTGATGTAGTACTCTCCCCCTTTTCCTAGGGATGTGGCTTCCTGAGAGCCGAGCTGTAGCAATTGTTATCTCTCTTCTGGATCTAGCCACCCAGCAGGTCTACCAGTCTCTGGGCTGGTACTGAGAGGTGTCTGCAAAGAGTCCTGTGATGTGAGCCATCTGTGTGTCTCTCAGTTGTGGATACCAGTACCTGCTCCAGTGGAGGTAGCAGTGGGGTGAAATAGACTCTGTGAGGGTCCTTAGTTTTTTTGTGTGTGCTGGGTGGCCTCCTGCTGGGAGGTGACATTTTCAAGTCAGCATCAGCTGTGGTAGTATAGAGAGGATCAAGTGGTGGGCAGGGCCCTAGAACTCCCAAGAGTATATGTCCTTGGTCTTCAGCTACCGGCATGGGTAAGAAAAGGCCATCGGGTGGGGGCAGGGCTAGGTGTGTCTGAGCTCAGACTCTCCTTGGGCAGGTCTTGCTGTGGCTGCTGTAGAAGATAGGGGTGTGGTTCCCATGTCAATGGAGTTATGTTCCTAGGAGAATTATGGCTGCCTTTGCTATGTCATGCAGGTTGTCAGGGAAGTGGAGGAAAGCTGGCTGTCACAGGCCTCACCCAGCTCTTATGAAACCCAGAAGGCTGGTCTCACTCCTACCATGCCCTCCACAACAGCACCAAGTCTATTTCCAGGCAGTGGGCAAGCAGGGCTGAGAACTCACCCCAGGCTACCAGCCTCCCATCCTCCCAGCCTCCCAGCTGCAAAAGCAAGTAAGGCTTTCATGCTTCCCCACCTGTGGAGTCTGCTCACTGGATTCACACTCTCCCCTAAGTTCTGGCCAGGAGGCTTCTTGTTCGGTTAGAATTGTTGCAAAGTTCAGATGGAGGTTTCCTTCTCCCTGTGGCTTTTCCCAGTTCCACTGGCAGCCCTCCCCAAGTAGCCCTGTGAGACAAGTCAGAAACGGCTTCCCTGGTAACCCAGCAACTCCACAAGGCTTTTCCTGCTGCTTCCTCTACCCCTGTATTTCATTCAGCTCTCTACATTGACTCAGCTCCAGGTAAAGTCAGAATCTTCTCCCGTGATCTAGACCTTCAGGTTCCCCCGTGAGGGTGTGCGTTTGGAGGTGGACGATCTTCCTTTCCTGCTTCCACAGTTTGGGCACTCACAGTATTTGGGGTGTCTCCTGGGTCCTGCAGGAGCAATCCACTTCCTTCAGAGGGTCTGTGGGTTCTCTCGGCTTTCCTGAATTATTCCTGCAGTAGTTCTGGAGCAAAAGTTCATGATGCGAGTCAACACATGTTGCTCTGTCCATCTGAGTGGGAGCTGCAATCTAGTCATGCCTCCTGTCCGCTATGATCCCTCCAAAGTCCCTGTAATTTATTTTTTAACCACTCTGTAAGTGAGGGTCATTAGATTTACTTCCAATTTTTTTTCTCCGATAATCATTCCCAATGCTTCCAAACAATGCCATGATGAGCGTTATCTCCCAGGTGTTACACTTCGGGAGTGTTTCTGTAGCGTGAATTCCTAGGAGTGGAAATGTGAACCGCTGAGAGCAATGAAATGTTAACACTGCTGCCAGTAGTGCTGCCTGCCCAGTTTTTGCCACTCTCGTCTTAGTGCTCATCAATTAGGGTCCGTTCCCATTTCTACCATCTTGCAAGCATGACCAGGGAGCCCTCACAAACACCAAACCTTTTCATTTCCCAACCTAAAAACAATCCCCCAGTGTCAACATAATCCATAAGTTTGGGAAAAAAATGGGTGTTTTTCCCCAATGCAACTTCCTCCAGGCCCAGGCTGCCTTGCACATGTTGCAATGGGAGCTCTGGTTTCTCAGCTCCAAAGCTCATCTGTACTTCTCTGTGTGTGTGTGTGTGTGTTTTTTGTTTATTTTGTTTCCTTGGTGAAAGGCTGATGACTAAATTAAAAGCTTTCCTGAATTCCGTCGGTTGACTCCAGCTTTCCCCTAGCTGTGCACTTAGAGGGTTTAGCTGCGCGTTCCAAGCCAGCTGGTGCCCAGGGCTCCCCTGTTTCCATCTGCTGAGTGCGGGCACCTGCCAGGCGGCCATCAGCACCCGAGGGCCTGGAGGTGGGAAGGGCTTTGTACCCACTGAGCGGCCCCTTCAGGGCTGCAGGCTCCCTGGCTTCAGGTCTCTGTGATATGAGCAGACAGAGGGAATCTGGGAGCAAGCTCAGACATGCTGTGCTCTCCTCGGACCTGTGTGTTTCTAGGTGGCCTGACTCACAGGGTAAGTTTGAGGAGTGAATGAATCCTATGGACTAATGTTTGTAAACTGTGTAAAAAGCACCTTGCAAGGTAAGCACTAAAGAAGTGTTTTCAGAATGAAGAAGTAAAATAGGAGGAAAGCCTTCTTGCATTATTATTATTATTATAACATAAACACTAGATCTTTGTCAGTTTTTTAAAGGGGCTGAATACTTCATTTTTTCCCTAGTCAATTCATTGAGTGTTTAACAAATCCTTCATTTATCAGGTTAAACATACAATAAAATTCGGATTTACCAGAGAGGATTCATACCTGAATAAACTGTGATTTCACATGCAAGAGAAGAATTTACTTTTTTATTAGGGAAATTGACTATTGGCAGTAATAGGTAAATAAGAACCAAACAAGGTAATACTACGGGTTTATTTTTAACTCCTATCCTTTACACAATTAGAAGAGAGAACAATACAAGAAAACTCATGCAAACTTCCATCTGGCAATTATCAATATTTTACCATCATGTTTTAGCAGTTTCCCCTCCCAGTTCGACTTCATTTTTTCTAGATCATGTTAGAGGAGTGCCTTTCAAACTTTCCTCTGCCTCTGCAACACCCGGGCATGGTGCCGAAGTGCAGGTTCTGTGTTAGCAGATCTGGGAGAGACCTGAGACTCCACGTTTCTAACAGGCTCCTGAGCCCACCTCCCAGGTGGCGCAGACTGCACTGGCCAGATTTTAAGGCAAAACACGGCCATCAGATCAATTGCTGACACCAGGTACTTTTTTAAGTATAAAAGAAAATAAAGAAATAAATTCAAACTAGTGTCCTCCACCTCCGGCACACACATCTCAGCATTTTATAACAAGAATGGGCATCCAGCGTGATGACTCACAGGACTGTGAGATTTAGAACAAGCCAAACAGAGTAAATGTGTTTTCCATATTCACAAAGGCAGAAAAAAAAATATCCTTACACATTTTACAAAGATTTCTAACAGCACCTCTCAAAAACAAGAATCATATCTGGGTTAATTGTGCTAAGCAAGAAAAAAATGTAAGATCTGGGTTAATTGTGCTATGCAGGAAAAAAATACAAGATCTACCCAAATGCCTTATTTTCTGAGCATTCCCATTCATTGGATTTTCCTGCTGGGTGGCGTCTCAGAGCCAGAGCTCTGGCAGGCACAGCCCTGGGCTGGGGCTCCAGCATCCGTTAGTGTCCCCGCCTGCGGGGAAGCCGCTCTGCCACTCACCTGGCTCCACTTCTCCTACAGGTGTGTCTCCACGGCATCTGCATTTATTTCCTCCTGTGGCAGGGATTTTAGCTGGTCCCCAAAGGAACATTTTTTTTATTTTAATGGTTATAAATTTATTCTAATCTCTATTAGGTGAAAAAAACCCTAAAACTAGCACTTCAAAGTGATAATTTCCCAAGTATTATTGCTAAGTACAAAAAAAAATGAGCCAATTTGAAGTCAACCTAAAAAAATATTAAGTAAATAGCAGTAAAGGTGGTTGGGGCTGTGGTGAGAGTTGTGGGCTGGTCATTGATGGCAGGACCCCAAGAGGCCACCACCCCTCATCGTCTGCACGTGAGGGAGGTCACTGCACTCCAGCCTGCCCGAGTAAGGACATCTCTGCTCTCTCAGCACTTAGTTTCCTGGACATGCATGTGTGCTCACTCACACACACACACACACACACACAGACATACACACTCACACAGAGACACACACACAGACATACACACTCACAGACATACACACTCACAGAAACACACACACTCAGAGACATACACAGTCACACAGAGACACACACACACAGAGACATACTCACACAGAGACACAGACATACACACTCAGAGACACACATACACACAGACATACACACTTACACAGACACACACATATGCACTCAGATAAACACACTCAGAGAAACACACACACAGACATGCAGAGACACACACACAGACATACACACTCACACATACACACTCACAGAGACACACAGATACAGACATACACACAGACACACACACATATACTCACACAGAGACACAGACATACACACTCACACAGAGACACACACAGACATACACAGACACACACACACAGACATACACACTCACACAGAGACACACACACACACAAACATCTTTTCTATTTCTCATTGAATAGATACAGAATGACACACAGAATCATCTGCTTATTTAAATTTTCTGGTTAACTGAGAGTTAACCCTGATCTCTTTTTTATTTCAATAATTCAGTTTAAAAATTTTGAAAAAAATCTTCATCGTCTACATATGCTTATTTACAAGATTTTTTTAAACTATGGAACTAACTCATGCTTGTTGTTTTAAAAAAAAAGTGCAAACAGAAAGAATGTATATGATTAAAAAAAAACCAAAGCAAGCCAAAAAAACATAGCAACTGCATCCTAGGAAATGAAACTTAATTCCAGTCTCTCTCGTGGCACACACACACATGCATACATTTGTGGACTGTGTAATCATGTGCCTTGTAGCACCTTCCTTGCACAATTGTCCCGTGTAGAAATTTCAGTTATCTCAGTTTAGTTAAATAACACCAGTTTCCCAAATTTCACTTACCATGGTATATGAGCTACAAATAATTGCATGGAATACAAACTTCAGTGCTAGCTCCTCAGTCATAAGTCACAGCTGTGTCTGTGACTGAGCTCCTGCACAGACAGCAAAGCATGCAGTTGTACCACCTCCTCATCTCCCAGGGACACCCCTACGGCATTGTGCAGAGATGCATTCTCAACAGAGGGGATTGGCTGGCAAAGGCAGAGTGCACCAAAGAACTGGAAACTGGTAACAAGGAAAAGGAAATTCAAACTGAACAGAAACAAGGTTTAAGAATAAAGCACAACTGTGATACGAGGGACACTGCCCTTGGGCAGCTCGGAGGAATCGTGTCAGTGTGATGAGGGCAGTGGCTGTCACAGGATGGAGGCATCCCAGGGAAATGAGGCTGGCAAGACACTTCACACAAAAGGAACACTCGTGTTTCCTGGCCCTAAGGGTGCAAAGAGCAAAATACTGAGAAAGGAATCCGAATTCTCCAAGGCATAGAAAACATGCTCGCTCTAGACTGTAAGTTACACAGAGAGACAAAAAGCAAGCCCTGCGCTTGGTAATTTTTAACAAAGAAACATAACATTATTTCCCAGCATTTCCATTGTTTTAAACTACAGTGCACTAAATAAATATTAAATATTACAAATATATAATTATTTTTCACTGTCTATACAGGATAATTGACAGTAAGAGAGTTTTTAATGGTTTAACAACAACCTTCAGTGATCCCTGAACACCTGGAATGTCCCCATTGATGACAAAGATCACTCTGCCTGGCTTCAGCTGGCATGGCCAGTGTTAGGCTCTGGCCCCACTGTGCAGAGTGAGGACTGCCTGTGTATTCAGAATGGAACTATTCTGCATTTAGTTCTTCTCACAACACATGGTACCTTTTTTCTGTGCCAGTGCCCATACGCATACCTTGTTCTTTTCCGTTGTTTTGTAGGAACTGACTGGATTCCATAGGGTTGCCGTTCTTTATTCAACAAACCTTTCTCGATGGATTTTAGGAAGCCCCATTTTTAATTTGCTTTTTGCTATTACAGACTACCACAGAAGAGCACACGTGCCTGTGAGTGTGCATGCGCACACCCACACACAGTCACACAATCACACACACAACCACACACACACAATCACAAAATCACACTCGCACACAATCACACAGTCACACACACAATCACACATATACACACAGACACACACAATCACACTTGCACACAATCACACACAGTCACACACACAATCACACATATACACACAGACACACACAATCACAAAATCACACACAATCACAAAATCACACACAATCACACACACACTCATACACACACAGCACCAGCTCCTGCTGCTGCCCAGGCTGCAGTGCCCCCCTCCAGGCAGGAGCTCAGCCTGACGCCTCCTGCAGTCAGCTCGTGTTCTTCCTCACCCTCCTCCTCGCCTTCCTCTAACACTTGCTCCTAAGGTGGTAGTGAGTCTTTTCAGAGGCCAGTGTTGTAATCTCTTGTCCTGAGCTTGGTGACCCTGGACGATGGGCTTACCCTCTCTGGGCTCCAATTTTCTCATCTATAAAATGGGGGTAATGGTATGGAATACATGGCTCTCAGAGTTGTTTTGGGATTAAATGAGGTGTTGTATCCAGAGTGTGTAGGATACTGACTGGCATTTAGTAAATGTTCAACAAACAGTAGAAACAACAAAAGTAGAGAGAGGTCCTCCTTTGTGTGGGCTTGTGGCCAGTGTCCTGTGACACTTCTAGGCCAGTTTCCCAGCCTCTGCACAATTGACATCGTGGGCTGGATGAGTCTTTGCTTTGCGAGGCCTGCCCTGTACTTTGTGGCACGTTTGGCAGCACCTCACAGCCTCTACAATTAAATACCAGGAGCTCCCTTGCACCGTGACAATGTAAGATGTCTCCAGACATTGCCAAGTATCCCCAGAGACAAAATTGTCCCCAATTGAGAACCACTGGCATAAGGTTATATCCCTTTGCTTTGAATATTATTTTATTTTCTACATCAAATTCTTAGCACACATTAGGGTGGGGTCACCTGGTGTCACAGACTCAAATAGTCACAGGGGCACAAAAAGCCATTCCAGAAAAACAGAGCAAATGAACAGGAAAAACAGTATTTCTAGGATAATTGGAGGAATGTGAAGCAGAGTATTAGATGAATTATTGTTCGTATTGAAAAGTGTGATGATGGTATCTGAAATTCTATGGTGGCTTTGATTTATTTCAGAATGCTTTATCAAAAAAACAGAAAAATCCACAGATGACAGGAGTACCTTGGGGGGAAACAGAACAGGGCCCAGAGGGTGCTCGGTCTGCAGGGGAGAAGGAGAAATGGAGTTTTGGTCACGGTGATTGGATGCATGTGGAGACGCTGGTGGTTGAGTCCAAGAGGGAAGTGGGCGTTGGGAGGGAAGTCAGGGAGGGGTCTAGGGCGGGGTTCTCCCCACATGGGCTGTGCCTGTGCAGAACATCCAGGAAGACAAAATTCCAAAAAGAGCTCAGACATGGCATCTCACCCTCCCGGGTTCAAATCCTGGTCTTACCTCTTCCTGCTTGCGTGAGTTTAGGCAGGGCACCGGCTCTCTCCCAGCCTCTGTCTCCACTTGCATACCAGGGGCTGTTTCATGCCCTGCCCGCCACACTGCCTGAGGACCAAACAGGCGAGGCACAAACGCACGGGCGCACAGGCTCCGCCCACAGCCAGCACTCCGGGAAGGGCACTGTCAGCGCTGGAAGAAGCAGAAACCACATGCCTGGGTGAGGGCCCCAGGGAGGCAGGTTGAGTGGCAAGGGAAGGGGGTTGAAGACAAAGCCCTGAGAAATGCCACCGTCTATGGGACGGATAAAAAGGGGCAGAAGAAACAGACATGAGTGGGTCTGAGGTGAAGGAGCGTGTCCTGAGCCAGGGAGCTCAGCGCTTCACAAACCGGGTGGCCACGCTGAGCTGGGATTCTAAGCAAGCCACCAAACTTCACTACAAATGTATCCACGGAATACACTGGATTATTCTCAAATCATCTTTTTTATGTATCCACGGAATACACTGGGTTATTCTCAAATCATCTTTTTTATGTAGCCACGGAATACACTGGGTTATTCTCAAATCACCTTTTTTGTTTCTGATGTTGCAATTAAAGGACTTCATTTGGATTTGTTTTGTCCACTTCCTGTTTACCCCATTGGTGGGGGAAGGATTCCCACCCTAGGATGATGGAGACAAACACCCAACACCACACGCTGGACAGACAAGATCAGCACAGGTTATTACTCACCAAAGGTCAGTACCGGTTACTAGTCACCCACGGTCAGCACCGGTTACTGGTCACCCGCGGTCAGCACCGGTTACTGGTCACCCGCGGTCAGCACGGGTTACTGGTCACCAACACAGCCTCAGGGAGGAGGACCCACACCCCCATGCAGGCCACGCCAGGCTCCACGCAGGACAGACACAGCCTCAGGCACCACGGGTGGTAGGCTCCATAGGAACGAGAGGGTGGGGTCCCTGGTCCTTGCCGAAGGTGTGACGGGCTTGTTTGAGTCATTCTGGGGCTGACAGCATGGAGGCGGCTTCTCTGGGACCAGCAGGGCCTGTGCCTGTCCCTGGGGAGGAGGTGGCTGGCTGGCCCCTCATCCACAGTTGCAGGGTGGAGAGAGGAGCTTGCAGGTGAGCCCCTGGAGGCCTTCCCAGTCTCACCAGATGTCAAGGCAGCACATAAGACTGGGCCTTATTTTTAGGCAGTTACAACACAAAACAGCATTTATATTCCAAACAAGACACAGGTCATTGGCCCTACCTGCCATCTGGTGTGCCCTGGCCAGCTCAGCCGCCTGCCCGCATCCCTGGATGGGGCACTTGGCCCAACAGTGACATCAGGTTAGCCTAGAAAGGACGCATCCAGTACACATGCTGGAGAAAACACTCCCGTGCCAGCCTTTCCCTAGTTTGCTCTACCTGGGCTCACACCAGCTGCCCAGCAAGTTAATTATGCAAGTTACTACACAGGTGGTTCTGAGCCCATCCTGCCTCCTCCGAGGCCACCTACACGGAATGTGGCCTCCATTGTTGTTTTATATTTTGTTGACTTATTTTTAGGCAGGTAGCGTTTGCACCTGGCACACGTTTTTAGGGCACGGGGTACACAATGGTAAACCCCTTCCAGCCTGCCCTCAGCGGGCGCCTCTCCCAGGACAGCCAGTGTTTGTGCTATGCCATTCGCAAAAATACATGAAAGGTGATTTGCTGCAGTCAGGTGAGCTCCACGATGTCCTAACATCACAATTTTTTTTCAACGCCACCTGCTAACCCACGAGTCACTGAAGGGCACACAGAGTTTACTGAAACGCAGCCCACGTGTGACTGGGCTCACAGGTGAATGCGGCCCATGAAGGCCCGGCCAGTCCTCACCTGAGCAGCCCCCTGTCCACTCACTGACACAGAATCTATTTATCCTGCCTGCTACTTTCGAGGCTGACCTGTTACCCAGCCCCAAGCGAGCGGCCGTTTGCTGACCTGATAGAAGCTCATGTGCAGGGTCCTCGCACGTTTCCACTCATTCTCACTGGCCGTGCCCACTGCACTGGGGCTTCTCGTGTAACAAAAATGACAGCAAGCCCCCCTCAGCCCCCACAAGCCCCCAGGTGAACAATGCGCATGGCATCACGTGCATTTTTCTTTGCTTTTTTTTTTTTTTTTTTTAAAATTAAGGCTGTTCATTGCTTAGAGAATCATGGCTGCAAGCTGAGGATAATGTGGGAAGAGAAACCTCTCTGGCCTGAGCTCAGAGAAAACAACTAATGTTGGGCAGCAATTGTGACTTTTCAGGAGCCCAGCAGCATTCTCAGATGTCGGGTGTCCAGTGATGCCCAGAGAATCGAGAATTAAAGACCCCACAATCATCCCAGCATTTTTAAAAGCATTTCCCTGTTCTCTTCCGCTGTTTAAATTTGAACGTTCTTTCTCCTGATGGTGCCATCTGCTTCCCTCACAAGGGCCCCATCTCCAGTGACGACTGCAGCCTCTGTTTCTAACCCCACTCACTCCACATGAGGAGTTTTTTAAGTGGACTGATGTGAGGGAAAATGTAATAAAGTTGCTTGGATTCAAAGAGCAAAGCAGAGAGGACGTGAATGAGTCACATCCCAAGGCTCCCTCATTCGAGCTCCCATTCAGCAATTGCCAAACCCAGCATCCACCCTCCACGCGATCATTACTGGGTTTTGGTCAGTACCAGAAAGGAGGTGGTTGGGACGGTCTGTGATGCTCAGCTTTTCTGAGAGAGGATGAAAGAAGGGAGAGAATGAAAGCTGTCTTCCCACTGTTGAGCTTGTCAAAGCCAATGTGTAATTAATTCTCTCCCACGTGGTCTCAGAGGACCGTTCCCATGCACTGGGAACCCGCAGCTGCTCCTGCAAGGTGAGCACATGGAGCTTCTGTTTCCCTCCAGCCAACACACACTGGGGTCAGCTTGCGGCCGGATTTTGGAGCCATTTCCCACCCATCATTCTAAGCTTCTACCGGGGCCTCCCTAGAGGGGTTCTGTGGGCCAGCACTGCAGGGGCCACAACCACAGCCACACACAGCCTCCCCATGACACCTCCCACTGCCTCTCCATCCCCACGAACCTGCAAGCTCCAGGGATCTCAGCGTTTTGAGAGTACAGAATCTGGAGAAATTTAATATCAAAAATAAAAGTGCAGGCTGGGCGCGGTGGCTCACACCTGTAATCCCAGCATTTTGGGAAGCCAAGGTAGACAGATCATCTGAGGTCGGGAGTTCAAGACCAGCCTGGCCAACATGGTGAAGCCCCGTCTCTACTAAAAATACAAAAATTAGCTGAGCGTGGTGGCGCAAGCCTGTAATTCCAGCTACTCAGGAGGCTGAGGCAGGAGAATCGCTTGAACCTGGGAGGTGGAGGTTGCAGTGAGCCAAGATCACACCACCGCACTCCAGCCTGGGTGACAGAGTGAAACTCTGTCTCAATAAATAAATAAATAAATAAATGTACGATTATTGTATTTTGGAATAATATGAAGAACTGCAGCCTCTTGAAAGCATGTCACGGCAGCCTTCTGGGAAATGGATGCAGAGGCAGAAGCCTCTGCTGCAGGTGGAACTGTGTCCCCAGAAAGATGCTGAAACCCTAACCCCAGTGCCTGCAAATGTGACCCTAGGCAGAAACAGGTTCAAAGCAGATGATCAAGCTAAGAAGGGGTTCTTGGGGTTGGCCTTCATCCATTGTGATGTTAGCCTTGTAAACAGAGAAAATTTGGATACAGTTACACACACAAGGAACCGGCCCTTGGAGGGTGCAGGCAGAGACTGGGGCGATGCGTCTACAAGCTGAGGCATGCCGGCGATTGCCGGTGGCCAGCGGAAACTGGAGGGAGGCCAGGAACAGATCCTCCCACAGCCTCAGAAGGAACCAACTCCACAGACACCTGCATCTCAGGCTTCCAGTCTCCAAAGCTGAGACAATAAATACCTGTTATTAAACCACTCAGTTAGGAAGCCGCCATTCCTGCGCCACCCACCCCTGCAGTAGACCTAGAGCCTGCATCAGTCACACAAGGCTTTGGTCTAATTTTCATTATCTGTAGAAAAGAAGAGATGGGTAGAAAAGGGATTGCAAGAGAAAAAGCACTTTGAACCCAACATGAAAAACAGATCATAGTGGTGGGGGGCAGGGAAGCAATGTCCACCTGCCACAGCCTCTCCCCTGGCACCTGCCGCAGCGTGTCCCCTGGCACCTGCCACAGCCTCTCCCCTGGCGGCATCTTCAGAGAACCCAGGAGGAAAGCCCTTACTATCCACTCCACAGTCATGGAGACGCGCGATGCTCTAGATCATGGAATGACGAATTAATTCACTGTCAAAGTGCATCACAGCACAAAATACTGTAAGAGAGGTGTGTGTGTGTGTGAGAGAGAGAGAGAGAGAGATAACTGGCATCTAAAAGGTTTTCTTTACTGCAGGATGTTGTTTCGTGTTTGAGCATCTGCCAGCGTGTGTATATGTGTAAGAGGGATGATATTATCAGCATCTTTTTGGTTAACATTAGTTTGCAATCCCCCCAAGGCCTGGCAGGTGTGAATGTGTCTGTAGCCATGTTCGTCCATGTGTGCAATTTACAAACGTCCAGTCCCAAGTGAGGAGAGGAGCTGTGCCAGAGTGGGGAGCCCCGACCGACCCACAACCAGCAGCCTCAGCAAGAGCCGCTGACTGAAAACGCGTTCTCCCCGACACGTTTTACGGCTGTTTTCCGGGTCTTCGGTCTGTTTCCACTTCAGCCCCGCCTCCAGCATTCTTATTGGAAAAAGGTGAACAGGGGAAAGTTAACAGAACCATCGTGGAACTTCCACCACACAACCATTGCTTCTCAGCTTTTGACATGCGCAGCAATCCTGTGGCCTCCACTGACATGATCTGAAACACCTAAACAGGCTAAACACTACATCTAAAATCAAGTCCTAGCAATTATCATATCGCCTATAGTTTCTGAGGCACTGCATGGCCACGTGCTTCTGACGTACCGGTGGGTGGGGTACGGGGAGGCGCCATACCTGGATGTACATCGTCTACCCCTGTGATGAAAGATCCTTTCTGATGCTATGAAGGGGCACAGGCCCCCAAGGCAGAATCACTCCCGTTTTGCTGTGTGATAGTCATAATCCATTTTGCTGTGTGATAGTCATAATCCATTTTGCTGTGTGATAGTCATAATCATTGCATTTCACTGGAGAATATCACAGCCGTGTCCCGCCTGATCATTCCGTGTCTCCAGTGATGGGTAGACGTGTCTGCTTTAAACTAACTCGGCATTCGGAAATCCAAATTTGCAAAATGGTTAAATGGGGAAGGAGTCAAGTTACTGTTTTTCATATATAAATGTTTCTCACCACTTTTCCTTAAAAAGTAAGCTCCCCCTGTTAATTGAAAATAGGACTTCAAAAAAACTTGATAGAAACATATGTATATACATTTCCATGTGAATTGTCATATGCCTATATGTGCCTGCAATCAACTCTTCCCTGCGAGCTAAGGAAACTGTCCCATTGTGCAAAACTATCGTTCGTGCCTTGAGGGCCCAGTATGATGCAGAGTGTGATCCCTCGAGCAGTGGCCATGCCATGCCGCTGGGACCACGGGGGACAGCCATGATGAACGGCACAATGTGTGCCACAGTAGGGGTTTGGAAGATGTGCTGTGAGATCACAGAGGAAGGGTGGGAATCCTCCTGAAATTGGCACCAAGTTTTGCAGAGAAAGTACCATCCAAGCCTAACCTTACTGTGGTCAGTGGCTGACCAGGTGGGGAAGGGGAAAGGCAGAACAAAGGCTGCCAGTCATCAAAGAGCATGAGGAGGACACGGAATGAGGCTGGTCCTATGGGGCGGGAGGCTGATGGCATATTGGGGAGGGTCTCCAGTGCTGTGGTGAAGGGTGTGGTGCTCTAATGCCTGTCCAGTTCCTCCAACTTTCCTTACAACCAAAGGCTTCCTACTGCAAGGTCCTAAAACCCGGCCTGAGGGCTTCTCTGGCAGTAAGAGGGTGTCCACTGCATGGAGCACCCATTCACACCAGGGCAGTCCCCATGCCACCCTCCAGCCATGCTGCATGGGAGTGGACGATGGACCCCACAACAGACCCAGCCTTCAAGGGGACACCCAAGGCAGGGTCTGCCATCTCCCTGAGGTCCCTAGTGGACTGGAACCCCAGTGGTCACAGCAGCAACCACTCGTGAAGACACCCTGAATCTACTTCTTTCCATTCTCCGAATCTGCTTCCTTGTGCTTCCTGGGATCGCTTCCCAAAGAGGTCACCTGCACTCAAAACTGACTTTGATTGGCTCCTGGAAGAGTCCAACCTGAAACAGCATGGACTTGACTTTGGAGACGAGGGGGTCAAAGATGATAAGGCAAGCCAGTGACAGGCCAGGAACAAGGCTTTAGAAAGATGGTGCTTGCTGGCCATGGGGAAGAAGGATGAGCCAGGAGGTGGGAGGCCCAACAGCAACTGTGACCCAGCGAGAGCATGAGCAGCTGGAAAGACAAGGCTGGGGATGGCACCTGGGGAATACTGGAGTTTATGGAAGAAAGAAACGGAGAGAGAGCATGCAGGGAGGTGAAGGCAACCAGAAAGCTCTCCTACCAGTGTCCCCAAAACCAGCAGGAGGTATACACGCCCAGGAGTCCCACTGTGTTTGAGACAAGGCAGCCCTGGCCTTGAGGCCACTGTGGATCAGTGAGCAGTCAGCGAAGTCCCTGACAGGCAAGAGAGGATGATGTGGTGAGAACTCCCAGCTGCCCTACACTGCTGCATCAGAACTCCAGTTGCTATGCACAGGGGAGCTGGTGGAGAGGGCAGCACAGTCCTGGAAAGCAGCATAGAAAGCTGCCTGCAGAGCTTCCTGGCTTTTTAGGAATTCTGACAGGCAGGTCTGACACCTTGGTGGAGGCCCCAGGGAAGAGTGGTGTTTAGACAGAACACAACTCTTTGCATATAGTGTGCTTTAATCCATTTATATGAAATTTAATTAAATATCTGGTTAGGCTGAAGTTGGTGATCTCTAGTTATCTGTCTTCAACTTTGGGACAAAGCTTTGAACCAACATGCTTCTGAAAATACAAATTCAAATGTATAAAGTAGTCTTATCGAGATTGTGTTCTGGTAGCTAATCCCAACGTTTAAAGTATTTTCCAAAATAAAATTAGCCAGATTCTACATTTTCTGTTCTTTGTAACTATTGAAAGATAGTTACAACAAATAATCTCAAGTTCATTCAACAACCTTTTATTTTATACTTGAAATAAAATAGAGAAAATTGTCTTCCCCAAAATTCTGCTTGGGGATAACAGGGCATCCATTGGAAGACATGATTTGCTAAATCACTCAGCGTACAGGATGAGGCACCAAGGGAAAGCCCAAGGATTGAAGTCACATTGCTAAACTGCTCTGCTTAATAAAGGGGTGAGATGCTTCCAGTTCCTCAGGGTAGCAGAGAAGATACAACACATGGCAAAGTGCAAGGAGGGGTGGTGGAGCAGGAACGGTCGATGGTCAATTGGAGAAGGTTGGGAAAATGCACATTGTGTGCCTGGATGCCTCCTCAGGACCCCAGAGATCATCAGCAGAAACAGGAAACGTCATGAGAGGCTTCATGTGATTGATTTTTTATAGCTATGTTCAAATGTGTATGTGAGGCTGGGTGTGGTGCTTGGCTGGGCATGGTCACCTGGGCCAAGTGACAGTGAATGGAACCTCCCATTACAAGGCACAGAATGTTCCCTTGTTCCACTCCACATGGCTCCTGTTTCATTAGAACCTGTGAACCTCAGGACTGAACTAAGATAGCCAATCAGCACCTGGAGAGCCAAAGGCATGGGACAGAGTGGAAGACCCCAAAACAAATGCACCATGTTTCTGGCCAGCATGACCCTGGGCCATGAGGCCCTCGGGTGTGGTCTCTGAGCCATTCTGGGTGAGCTTCTACAGTGCTGTTTGCTGATGCCTGGGATCCCTGGTGTCTCCTGCTGAGCCAGCAGCTAGGGCAAATGAGGCCATAGAAATGTCTGGCCTGTCCTTGGAGCTAGAAGTTCCCTTCCAATTGTGCCAGTCCCAGTGCTGGCTCCAGAGCAGCCCTGTGCCCTCTCCCCATGGAGAAGCAGCAGGATTCAGCTAAGAGAGGCATCTGGCTCTCTTCCCACCTCTGAAGAGGAACCACTCCCTGAGACCATCTGAGATCCCAGAGCAACCAGAAACAAGATAAATCAGGCACTGTGTCTCTGCTGGGGGGCTTCACTTGCTTTTGAGTGTGCGGGGGACTTGGATTAGAAAGCAGGAAGCCAGGTGGGACCTGAAAGCTCTTTCTTTTGTAGGTATGTGTCGTGAAGAAGGATGAGAAGTCCACCTGTGGAAGGCTAGGTTAGGAAATGAGAAGAAGGCCCTTTTTTTTCTTATTTGGTCCAAGTCCATTTTTACACACATTTTGGTGAAAATACTCTGTGATTTTCCTCCTTTTCACTTAACAAGGGCAGGCATTGCTATTTTTTTTTTTTTTTTTTTGAGATGCACAGAACATTCTTGGTAGAGCACTTCCACATTCATAACTATTCCATTCCTCTTGTGGGCTCACGCGCATCCTCGTTCAATGCTGCGTTGTTAGGTTAGTACTTCCTTAGGAACAGGTAGGACAGGTCCACCCAGGAACCGTCGGGAGCCGAGGGGCCCAGGAGCAGCCCACACACCCATGAAGGATGAGGGTCAGGTGTGTGGCCAGCTGAGCTGCAGCAGGACGGTGGAGGGACCAGCAGGAAGGAAGCCAAGGAAGTCAGAGGCGCTGAGTTGGAGGAGCCTCCTGTGAGCAGCTGGTCAGTGTGATGCAGGCACGCAAATTAATTGGTTAGCAGATGCAATCGCCATCAGAAGGCTGAGCCAGCAACTCCGTTTTAGTCCCAGCCATGGAAACATCAGCCCTGAAAGCTCCTGTCCCTCTTTCCTGCATTAATTGTCAAAGATAGCTGAGCATCCCTGGTGGCTTAGGAGCCAGGTCCTTTCCTTCAAAGCCTTGCCTCAGCTTCTGCCTGCTGGGACAGGGCTGGATGAATGTGTGTCACCTACGGTGGACAGCAAGGCCCGGGAGAGGTGGGGGCTCACCTGCTCCCACTCAATGGCTGTGTCCCTGCCCCTCGCATGCTGCACCCCATAAATATATGCTGAGCCAATTAACCAATTAAATTGTTTCCGAGGCTCAGGCGCATTCCTCTGAACATTGGAAAATACAATGGACAAGAAAGGAGTAGGTTGGCTGGATTAATACGGCACTCAAGACATACTTAGGAGGGTCCTAGTTTTGATTTGTTTATTTTTCCAAGTTCCTGACATTACTGTGGGGAGTTATTCATCCCTTATTCATTTAATAGATATTGGTTGACAGTGCCTAGGAGCTGGAGAAAAAAAACAGAAAACAAACCAGACACCTCACCCTCCCCTAGGGAAAAGCCAGAGGCCAAGCACAGGCGGAAAGGGCGGGACAGGAGTAAGCCCCGTGAAGAAACCACAACGGGGTAAGAGGATGGGGCGTAAGGGGTGCGAGGGGCAGCGGGGGCAGTGAGGGCTTTGCCAGGACGGTGAGTTGAGCAGACTCAGGAGGGAGGAGAGATGGGCCTGGCCAACCTGGGAGCATCCAGCAACAGGGAGAGCAAGGACCACAAGAAGCTGCTGCAGCCACTCCTGGATGTTTTTAGTGCTTTATTTTGTTCTCTCAGTGTTTTGACTTTTTCTCCAAAAGTCAAGAGGAGGAGAAAATGTCTGCTTAATCACAGTCTCCAGGCATCGCACTCCCGTGTACAAGAGCCAACCGCGTGTGTCTGGCTTTCCGACTGGGGTGAGGTGGCTGGGGTCCTGGGCAGCCTGAAAGCAGCGCTGCAGCTGCGAATGAGGCTCTGTAGCCTTGGGGACACCCTGAGCCACCAATCACAGGACGTGGAGAGGGAGGACACATAGTGGGCACCCAGGCTCAGAACACACATGCAGCTCACCAGTCTCTCCTTCCAGGTCTTTCCAAATAATAACAATAAGAATGGATTACAGGAACCATTAGAAAGCATGCGTTCCTGGAAACACACAGGACTACAGTTCAGACAAGCCGGGGATGGTCCATCCATGCCTTGAGCATTGAGGCCTGTGCCGTGTCCGGCCTTGGCCGAGTAGGTTCCCTGACTTGCTGTTCCTCTTTCTCACTAAGGCACAGGTGACAGATGAGACACTCTGCACCCTCACATGGTTCTGCATAAGGATCGAAGCCTTACCCCAAGGAGATGCTCCAGGGACAGGGTCCTCATGGCCGTCAGTGGGAGGGGGTCAGAGGGCAGGCCTCGGGCTTCCGCACCATCCGGTGGCTGCACTGTGTCTGTGGCTCACTAACAAAGGGATGGGGCCTCCTGTGTTGCCATGGGAGGAGCAGAGGCACTGGGGTCGACCTGATTCCATCACTTCTCACCTGTGGCAGGCGTCTCACCCCAGGGTCTTTGCAGCTGCAGGAACTCCTCCCCCTGGTTTTGCAATGTGTTCCTTCTCACCACCACAAATTACACACCTCATCTGTTCATCGGCATGCGCCCCCTTCAGCAGGATGGACGCCCCGGGGGTGCTGGGCCTTGTCTGTGGCTCAAGAGTGCATCCCAGGGCCACATTAAAGATCCTTAGCGCTGGTATGGTAGGAGCAGAAGCTGCCAGGAATGGCAGTGTGCTCCAGCCCGGTCAGCCTGCCATGAATGCACTGTGAACACTGGCCTCAGCGCCCTTGGGTGCAGAATGAAGGGCAACACCTTCTCCAAGGCCTGCTACCAGCTTCAGATGAGCAGAGGTGTGTGTGGCATCTTCAGGCTGCTCCTGGGCCAATGCCCATGCACAGTTCCCAAGATGTCAAAACAAGCCCCCTATCCCGTAATTACCTAGAACAAAGAACATTTCAAATTCTGAAAGGTAGGATTTCAGATCCAAGCTGTTCGACAACTCTGGGGCCACAGGGTTTGGCCCGGGTCTGTGGAACACTGAAGGCTTTTGTGAGGAAAAGTTCCAGAGAGCGACCCTCAGCTCCCAAATACAAACACATCTGCCGAAAAGTTAAGAACCAGCTCCCTTTTTTTAATTGTGCAAAATACACATAACATAAAATGTATCATCTTTACCATTTTTAAGTGGACAGTTGAGTGGCGTTAAGTAGACTCACATCATCTGCAGCTGTCACAGCACAGTCGCCACCATGGATTTCCTCCAAGACTTCCCAGTTTGCAAAATGGAAACTGCCCCCTTTCAACAACTACTCCCCATCGCCCCTCCCCCTAGGCCTCCCAGCTGTCTCGCATTCGCCGTCTGCCTCTAGGAATGTGGCCACCCTGGGTCCCTCACATGAATGAGTCAGACAGTATTTGTCATTTTGTGGCTGGCCTATTTCACTTGGTACAGTAGTCCTCTATTTCACTTGGTACAGTAGTCCTCAAGGTTCCTCCCTGCTGGGGCACGTGGCGCGACTCCCTTCTTCTTAGGGCTGATAACGTTCCGTGGGATGGGTGGCCACATTTGGCTTCTCCACTCATCCATGGCTGCACGCTTGGGTGGCCTCTGTCTTTTGGTTACTGCGAACGATGCGGGTGTGAAGGTGGTGTGCATATATGAACCGATTTCCTTGTAAGACTCGTGGACTTCTGTAGCCAGGTGTGGATGACTCAACCTTGCATCATCTTGCAAAGGAGGGATGCTGACCTCTGCATCCACCCCTTCCCCAGTCCCCGAATGTTCCTCGTGGTGTTACAGCTTCAAGTCCTGTTATCTTTATCACAGATGTTGGCGTAGGGGTGTTGCAGGTGGTGGTAGGAAGGAGAATAAACTCCCTGGCTATGGTGGAGATGCTGCCTCCAAGAACCAGTGAGGTTCCTGGGGCTGCCAATGGCTTGGGCAATGCCCCTTAGTTGTTTGTGTCTTCATGAGCAGGTGTCAGGCCCAAGCCTCCACCAGGCACCAGCATGTGTTTGGAGGAGAAGGTGAGAACCCCCCTGCGGTGCCTGCTGGAGGGGAGGGAGCCCACGGTCGCTGGGCAGGTGCAGCTGGGGCAGGAGGGCCGGCTGGCTGTCCCGGGGCATCTTCCTCTTCATTGCTCCTTGCCTGAAGTCATCAGGGCCGGGCTGTCCCCTCCGCTCAGGTGGCCTGTTGTGTCTCTGTGGAAACCAGCCCTGTGCACCACCCTGGACACGCCGGCGGACATTGCTTCGTCTTTATCTTCATCGCCGGGCTGTTTCTTAGACTAGCAGCCTTGACGTTGGGCTTCCCGACGATGCTATCCATTACACTGTCAGCAAAGCGGGGGGCCGCGCATAGGCCAAGTGTCAACAGAAGGTGAGGAAGAAAATCAGCCGCAATCTCAAGCTAATTACCCTGCCTGGAAGTTAATTAAATACTTGCTGGAAGCAGCAGGGTAGATCCTAATTAAACTTGTCTAATAACAGTGCCCTGACACTCCCTGATGCTGGGAATTCCTGCAGGGCTTAAATAATTCCACAGAGGGCAATCATACCTGTCATGCGCGGTTCGCAGGCGGCATCGAGAGATGCACAGGCCTCCGTATTTTCTGTACTAATTTGCCACATATCGGGCACTTCATGTGTGTTCCATTTACACACATTTTAATTGGGGAGACCCTGGATGGCTCCTAATGATTCTGTCGATTTTCCCTTTTTCCAAGAGGAAAAGAAAAGGAACAAAAAATAACCGATGTGCCGCGGAAGCGGTCAGCAGCATCATTTTGCATGATTTGGTGTAATGATCATGATTAATGCTTGTTTATTGTGATATCTCTTGTGTTATGTAAATAAAGCTGTGGCCTTCTCCTTCCCGTTCCTGGGCGGTGGGGCTGCTTCCATTTGGAAGTGAGCGGAGGGAGGGCTGGGAGGGCCCTGCCAGCCGGCCGCGTGCGCTCGGGGACGCGGGTGCCTCTGAGCCCCGTTCGGCTGTGCCCACCCCGGAGTCACAGGCCAGGGGGCGGGCACCGTGGGGGAGCCAGGGAGCCCCCTCAGCTTCTCTCTTCTTCCTCCCTCTGCTCTCCGCTGTGCCTAATTCAGAAAAATAGGAATCACCCCCCAAAATGCAGCATTCCTGCTAAAGGCGGGCGGGAAGCTGTGAAAGGCGTGGAGGCCGCAGGCCCCGACCACTCGCGAAAGTAGCGTCTGTGCTGTTTAAGCCTGCGGGGGAAGAAGTGGAGGCCGTGGAGGGGTGCGGGGGCTGTGTGTGCGTTTGGGGCGGTTTGGGGGATGAGAACAGCAGGAACTCGTCGCGCCCGCATCTGGGGTCGGAAATGGTTGTCTTCAGAGACAATCGTGCTGTACCACGGGCGCACCAGGCAGGCTCACGGTCCTCCTCATGCCACAGAAGGTTGGGGCTTCTTCCAGTCTCTTTAGGAAACGTAATAATGCCTGCATAATCTTAACGCTTGTTCCAAAAACCGTGGCTCCTGACCAAGCTCTACCGTTCAACCCATGGGCCGTGGCGCAGGTCTGTGTGAGCGGGGACACCCCCTGTCCTGGTCGTGCCCGTCGCGGTTATGCATTGCTGGTAGACCTCGTCCTCAGCACCCAGGCAGCCCTGGTCAGGCTTTGTCCAACGTGAACCGTTTGCTGCCGCAGAGGTGCCGAACGTCAGGCTTAGCAAGACTCGAAATGAAGTCAGTTGTTTTCATCGCGGCATGAACACCTACCTGAGTCCTCCCGTAACTCAGCCTGGGCCTGTGAAGACGTGTGCTAATTCGTTTTGCTTCTGCCCATGAGGCTGTGGTTTCATCGGGCAGGGCAAGCCGCAGACCTGTTTCTCCATCTTCCTTGGAGGCTGGGCAATGAAAGGGTTAAATCAAACAACCCCTTCGTATTTTTCACCTTCTCACCAAACAGCATGAATTAATGAAAAGATGTGAGCACTCAGATCTTTTCTGGCAAGAATGCTTGTTGAAATAATCAATTAACCTTGGAAGATCAAATTGACAGGGCTTAAGTGCAAAGTTATTTAAGATTAGCCAGATGATTGCATTTGTGGCAATGCAAGAAAGCAGCAAGAATGCTTTTGAGAAATTTCAAGGCTTCAGAAAGACTTAATGTTATTTCCCCACAGAATTAATCTGCCCATTAGAACATACTTTAACCTCTTACAAGTAATATCCTGAGATAACTTTAATTCACCTCTTTCCTTTAGTCATACAGTGAAAATGACCCAAAGAAAGCAAACATATCAATGAATTTCGAGCCTTTGCTTGCATTTATTTTAAATGGGTTTTTAAAAAATTAAATCGACTCTCAATTGGCATCACCTTTTTATCTGAATGCAGGTGTTCTAAATGCAGCAGACTGCCCAATTGGCATCCCCTTTTTATTTGAATGCAGGTACTCTAAATGCAGCAGACTGCCCAATTGGCATCCCCTTTTTATTTGAATGCAGGTGTTCTAAATGCAGCAGCCTGCCACTTGGATGTCTTTATTTTGCAGTAGGTGCTCCTGGTTGTTGTATAATCAAGATGAGGCAGCCTCTAGGATCAAAGCCATCATTTTCATAACTCCCTGGCTGGTCTGATCATTTTTGGAGAAAATAATTGTACACTTCCCACGAAAAAAAAATCCCTGAGAAATGGCATCACCGGGTACAACCTCGGTCAAGTCGTGTGAGGCTGACTCAGGAAACGCCGGGGCCAGGGGCGTTCGCGCTCAGCCAGACACGAGGGAAACAGTGTCTTCTTCTAGATTCACGCTTGTAAAATAACACTAGAAGCAGTCAGTCTTTACGTGGTGTTTAACTTACTCTGCTTTAAGATGTCATTCACAAGATGTGAGTATTGCTATAATTTGGAACAGTGACTCTGGAGAAGAGAGTATAATTCACACTGCACATACTCCGACCCTGGCTAGCTCCATGACAGTTTATGTTTCTTGTGAAAGGAGCCTGCTTATTGGTAATTCCTTTAAATAAAGGAATTATTTTCCTAAGCAATTTGTTTTGATTGTGTTACTTTCTAGCTCGTCCTCCTCTGCTGTGATGGAAGAAAAGCTAATCTGCTGGTTTACTATCTTGCCGCACATAAAAGACAAGTGGAAAATGAAATTTTCGAAAAGCTAAACTCCTAATTTCTGTGACAAAATGTGAATGAAAATGATGAACTTATTCATAAGAGATGAGAATTTTGAAATGAATGATTTATGGGTATAAGCATTAAAATATATTACTTTAGCATGAAGGCAGAAGATTTAAATGTAACTTGGTTGCTGAACAAAAAGCATGCACAATGGCATAGAGGTATAAACAATGCCCTCAACCAGTGGTGCTGGCTGAGTGAGGGTCACGCTAAGAGTTTGAGGGGCTCCATGCGCCAGTGGGTGGTGGGCACCCACGGAACCCAGCCCACGTTTCACACACACCTAGATGAGTCTGAGTTTGCAAATGCAGCTCGTAAACTATATTTTGAGCACTCCAGCTGGAATCAATTGATCCGTGGCTGGGTGTTGTGTGAGAACACATCTCTAGCTATAACTCCGGGCTTCTCAGCCTCAGTACTATTGACACTTTGGGCTGGGAAGGTCTTTGTTCTTGGGGCCTGTCCAGAGCATTATCAGATGTTTAGCAGCATCCTTGGCCTCTACCCACTAGATGCCAGTAGCATTCCCTGTGTCCCATGGTCAGGACAGTCAAAAGTGTCTTCAGACATTTCCAAATGTCCCCTGGGGGAAGAACAGCCTCCAGCTGAGAGCTGCCGCCGTAACCTGCAACAGCCCATGAGCACAGAAGCATTGTGCTAGGACCTTGGCAGGGGACGAGAGAACGACCATGAAGCCAACAAAACATCTGGGCCTGGGCCACTTCCAAGGCTCTGTACTTAATTTTGTATTTATATTTCATATTTGCAACTTTTATGTCTTCATTAAAGAAGGCACCCAAAATTCTAGAAGTTCAGGCCCCATAAAATCTGGACCTGCACCTGGGTCTCAACACGATTGTTATTCATTAACTTACTTTTCTGAACCAAACTCTATCCAAAATGGCCTCCTACCCCTCCTCATTTTGGTTAGTTTGCTTAAACCTTCAGTTAATCTGCACTAACTGGCTGCCCTTACACTGGGCAAAACATGTCTGCCTTCACGGAACCCAAGAAGTTTTGAGCAAAAGAGTCAAGGCCACCTCCTAACATCAACCCTTGTGTTCAGAGGATTCCAGGGTGGGCTCAAACTTTTGCAGCAAAGGGAGTGACAGGTTCCTGTCTTCATGCTCGTAAGGATTTCACAAAAATACAGGTTGCCAACAGAAAATTCTTATGTTTATTTATGAAGCTACCTTCAGATTAAAAATTATTTGAGAAATAATCCCAGTGCCTGCCAACATCTTCTTATTTCTTAATATATGTATGTATTCTGCTGGATGGATAGATGGATGAATGGATGATGGGTGGAGGGGAAGATAAATGGACAGATGGGTGGATGATGGATGAATGGATGAATAAGTAGAGAGACAGATGGATAGATGAATAGCTACAGAAATTGATAGATGGATGAATGGATGGATAGAGATGGATGGGTGGATGGATGGATGGATGGATGGACGGATGGAGAGATGGATGGATGTGTGGATAAATAGATGAATGGATGGATGGATAGATGAATAGATAAAGAGACGGATGGATGGAGAGATGAATGGATGGGTGGATAGATGAATAGATAAAGAGACGGATGGATGGAGAGATGAATGGATGGGTGGATGAAAGGATGGGTGAATAGAGGGATGGATGGAGAGATGGATGGATAGATGAATGAATAGATGGATGGATGAATAGATGAATGGATAGGTAAATAGATGAATGGATGAATGAATGGGTAGATAGAGAGATGGATGGATATAGAGATAGATGGATAGATAGAGGAATAGATGGATAAATAGAGAGATGGATGGATGAATGAATGGGTGGATAGAGAGATGGAAGGATGGATGGATGGATGAATAAATATAGAGATAGATGGATAGAGAGATAGATGGATAAATAGATAGGTGGATGGATGAGTGGATAGAGAGATGGATGGACAGATGAATGAATAGATGGATGGAGGGATAGATAGAGAGATGAATGAATGAATGGGTGGATAGAGGGATAGATGGATGAATACAGAGATGGATGGATAGATGAATGAATAGATGGATGGATGAATAGATAGAGATGAATGGATAGATAGAGATGAATTGATAGATAGAGAGGATGGATGGATAAATAGAGATGGGGATGGATAGATAGATAAATAGATTGATAAATTGGCAGATGGATAGAGGGATAGATGGATGGATGGATGGAGAAATGGATGGATGGTTGGATGGATGAGTAGATGGATGAATGAATAGATGGATGGGTGGACCGATGGATGGATGGATGGATGGATGGATGGATAAAACACAATGTAAAGATTCTACTTTTTCTCTGTTATTTTCTCCTAAAAAAGAACACAGAAAACTGTCATCAGTGGTTAGCTATTAGCAAAGGAGCTGAGAATTTGTGGAGTATTAGCATGGCTTTAAAAGATTTTCACTTTTCATTCTGTACTTTCCTATAATGTTTGCATTTCCTTGCTATGTATATAACTTATTTTTATATAATTGGGGTTATCTGGTTGTGAGATAATGGGCTGGTTGTTTTCCTCTTTGTACTTTCTATATTTTTTAATGACTGCACTTTAAGATATGGGTCCCTCTGGGAGCTCCCTGCTGTGTACTATGATTTGTCCTCTCGCCTCATTTTGGGTGAACTCAGTGGATACACGTCCTCCTCATCTGAGGCCTATCCCTACCTCCCATCCTGCACCCCACTGGTCTCTCTGAAACAGTGTTTTTCTCCTGCACCTCTGGCCGCGCTCTGTCATTGCTCTTTGTGCTTGTCACCCTGTGTCCGGTCCTGGCCTTTCCTACTTTCTCTCTGCCAGTGGCCAGTGTGCTTCTGCCAGCCCTGATCTTCCTCCTGAGCTGGGCGTCCATGGACGCAGAACATAGGAAGCTTTCGTGAGATACGCAAAGGGTGCCACTGTCCGGTTGCCCTCCCACCTCCGTGTGAGTCCCTGCATTCACCTCAATCTTTCTGGGCCCCAAAGGGAAATTGTACACATTACCCTGCACATTGCTGCTCCCTTATGCTGGGACAGACTCCACCCCAGTCCAATCATGCAAGCCAGAAAATACCGACACTCACAGGGAGATAGCAAAATAACATACCTTAGGCCCCACTGTCCTCTACGGGTGTCCAGCGAGTAAGTAGGGGAGCACCACATTTCTGTGCAGAGGAGTGAATTGTTTGACTTATGTGTTGATAACAGAAAGTGTTTCTGTGCCTTAACAAAAAGGCTGTCAGGAGCACCTGCCTGCTGGTGGGTGACTGGCTGCCAGCTACCAGGCACTAAATCTGCCTTTCAAAATCTCAGTTCTTCATTGGCAACACACCACACACTCTGCTTTTGGTAATTATATCAAAGACAACATGTTTATGCCTTACATCAGTCCTGAGCATGACGCCACCAAAGCGGGTGGACAGAGAAGCCCAGGAAATCAGGGCTGTGGAGTCAGACACGAAACAAGGACTCCTGATTCTGAACTCAGGAAAATAACCTAAAGCCTCACGAATCTCAACCACGCCGCTCAAAACCGTCTGCAGGGTAAATCACCATTTCTCAGCTCCTCGTTGCTTTGGCCGTAACTGTATGGCCTTAAAATACTGCCTGAAATGGAAACACTCAGTATTCACAGGCTTCAGCGTGTAATGCCAGACAAGCCTTCTCAACTTAGGAGGTGTGCTTCGTTGCTGTTGTTTTGCAGCCGTCATTCTCATCCCTGCAAGGGAGCTAAAGGAAATGTCTTTCATACCCTGTTAGGTAATCATGGGAAATAGGAGACACACAGAAAATGATAGGAGAAAAACGCTCCCAAAGGTTGCCCTGTGCAGAGTGGGCTCTACACACGGCACAGGCCTTGTTTGCTGCTCTGTGAAAACCCCACTCAGTGGCTCTACCCACATGGATTCCTGGGTCTCAGCCACAGTGCACCCTCCGCCCCAAGTCGATTGGACCTCAGGAAGTCAGCAGCAATGGCGCGTTTCCCTAGCACCTGCTGCGAGCCCAGCACCGCCCCCGCATCTTCACAGACATTGGCTCCCATGGGCCTAACAGCAGCCCTATGCGGGACGGTGTGCCTCTCGTGATAGAGGAGGAAACTGAGGCAAGAGGCGGTAAGTGACTTAGGTCCCACAGCTGTGAAGGAGCAGAGTGATGACTTGAAGGAGGAGGAGGCTGGCTCCAGAGTTCACACTGGTGACCACGACAGGCGATGTCGAAACCCAGCGGAGCAGTTACTCAACAGTTTACTCACCATCTACACACACACAGTGCACAGACGGGGTGCGCACTAGGAAGCTGATGAGGCCTGGGCCAGCCTGGCTAAAGACCACAAAGTGCTTCTTCCATCCGGGAACCCCCTGGACTCTCCCTTTGCCGGCTGCAGCAAGTCCCTCTCTTCTAAGCTGCTTTCACTCTGATTAGGTGTCGGTCATGCAGTGTGGTCTATTGGAAATGGCAGCCGAAATACGAACTGAAATCCTGTTGTTGGACAAGTTTCAGAATTTGGAGCATGGCAGCATCCCCAGCCGTCGTGCTAGGGATCTAGGTCTTTGTCCCGGGCACTCTTGTGCTGCGCCCTCCATGGGTTCCTGGTCCAGCATCTCCTCTGGGGTAACACAGTGAGAGCTCACGATGGTCCTGCCTGCGTGCCTGCGAGAAGGAGGCTTCCCCAGGAGGCTGCACCACGAGAGATGTTCAGGGGGTCGCAGGGGCTGCAGCCGGCTCTGCTAACCAGCCCGTGAGGACGGCAGGGTTCTTTGTCTACATTGAGCTAACACATCAAGGGGGACAGTGCTGTGGGTCCTTTGCTACTATAAACATGTCCCATCACAGAGAAGCAGGGCAGGACAGCAGCCAGAGTGAGCGGGGAAAGAAACACTTGGGCCTGGTGTGTCCAGGCCTGGGCGTATTTTGGTAGCAATCGTCATCAACAAGCTCACCTGGGCAGGGTTTAGCAATCTTTGATCTCATCTAATTCATCTTTATTTTAAGACCCCAACCTCGCTTCCTACTGGGGACAACTTAAACCGAAGTCTTATTGTGATTCTCCTCAGTCTGCTGAATATGGGCCATTCTAGAATCGCCTGTAAAGCTTTATTCTCTTTTGGGGCAGGGGCAGGGTTTGTTGGGGGTAGGAGGCTGTAGGTCTGTCTGCCTGGCTCGGGTGCTAGGATTCTGTCACTAGTCTCTTCCTTTTTTTTTTTTTTTTTTTTTTTTGAGACAGAGTCTCACTTTGTCATCCAGGTTGCAGTGGCACAATCTCAGCTCAATGCAACCTCCACCTCCTGGGTTCAAGCGATTCTCCTGCCTCAGCCTCCCAAGCAGCTGGGACTACAGGCATGTACCACCATGCCCTGCTAAATTTTTTGTATTTTTAGTAGAGATGGGGTTTTGCCACGTTGGCCAGGCTGGTCTGGAACTCCCAACCTCAGGTGATCCACCTGCCTCAGCCTCCCAAAGTGCTGGAATTACAGGCGTGAGCCACCACAATTGACTGTCACCAATCTCTTTCTACGGGGTTGCCTGGGGTTGCCAGCCCAGTACTGTCAGGTAGAAATATAATGCAAGCCAATGTGAGTTTAAATTTTCTAGTAGCTATATTTTTAGAAGAGGATAAGAAGAAATAAGTAAGTAAAAGTAAGTTTAATAATATATTTTAACACAATATATTAAAAATATATTCGTTTCAGTCCACCAAAGTTAGTTCTTTGTTTTAGTTTTAGTTTTGTTTTGTATTGTTTTGTTTTGAGACAGAGTCTCGCCCAGTCACCTAGGCTGGAGTGCAGTGGCGCAATCTTGGCTCACTGCAACCTCCACCTCCTAGGTCCAAGTGATTCTCCTGCTTCAGCCTCCCAGTAGCTGGGATTACAGGCGCCCGCCACCACACCTGGCTAATTTTCTTGAATTTTTTTTAGAGACAGGGTTTTACCATGTTGGCCAGGCTGGTCTTGAACTCCTGACCTCAAATGATTCGCCCGCCTCGGCCTCCCGAAGTGCAAAGTTAGTTTTATTCGGAAGTCTTACCGCGGACCATAGCCCAGGGCCTGCGGCCTGAGAGCAGCACCGTGGAGAGGCTCTGCCTGAGCGCTCTGGTCCAGCGTTTCCACCCACAGCCGGACCGCTCTGGCACAGCGTTGCAGCACCGCGGAGAGGCTCTGCCTGAGCGCTCTGGTCCAGCGTTTCCACCCACAGCTCATACACGTGTGGCAGAGCTTCCGTACGGGCAGAACCACATCCAGCCGGCTCAGAAGCTGCAGTGATCAGAACCACATCAGGGTTTGGGTGGAAGAGTGCATCTGGTTACAGATCACAGAGACCGAACCACTAACCCTGTCGGGCGTTACCTCATGCAGGAAAAGGAAAGGACCCGGGTCCTGTATCTTCATTTTTTTATTGGTATTTTTTATGTTACTTTAAGTTCTGGGATACATGTGCAGAATGTGCAGGTTTGTTACATAGGTATACATGTGCCATGGTGGTTTGCTGCACCTACCTTTTTTTTTTTTTTTTTTTTTTTGAGATGGAGTTTCACTCTTATCACCCAGACTAGAGTACAATGGCACGACCTTGGCTCACCACAACCTCTGCCTCCCAGGTTCAAGCAATTCTCCTGCCTCAGCCTCCCGAGTAGCTGGGATTACAGGCACCAGCCACCACGCCCGGCTAATTTTTTATATTTTTAGTAGAGATGGGGTTTCGCCATGTTGGGCAGGCTAGTCTCGAACTCCTGACCTCAGGTGATCCACCCACCTTGGCCTCCCAAAGTACTGGGATTACAGGCGTGAGCCACCACACCTGGCCGCTCCACTTATCAGCCCGTCATCTAGGCTTTAAGCCCTGCATGCATTAGGTGTTTGTCCTAATGCTCTCCCTCCCCTTGTTCCCCACCTCTCGACAGGCCTCTGTGTGTGATGTTCCCCTCCCTGTATCCATGTGTTCTCGTTGTTCAACTCCCACTTATGAATGAGAACATGCTGTGTTTGGTTTTCTGTTCCTGTGTCAGTTTGCTGAGAATGATGGCCATATCTCTTAAGGAGACAGTGACTCGAGCAGGAGCCCCGGGAGTGGCGTGCACCCTCTCACTTTGTCCTCAGAGCGTCTTCAGAGGGCGGCCCATCAGCACAGAGCCGGGCTGGTGAAGTCACACCACAAGCAGAAACCCACAGACGTGGCTTCTTACCCTGCCTCGTGGTCTCACGGCACCTTCCCCATAATTTTGCTGTGAGCCTTAAACTACTATAAAAATATAAAGTCTATTAATTAAAGTTTAAAAAGCCACATTCTTTTTTCCATAATAAAACTTCAAAATCCGGTGTGTACTTTACAGTCTCCGCACACCTCCATTCAGGGTTTCAAGGGCGTAGGAGCCTCTGGGGCCCGGGCTCTGCCCCACGGGGTTCCGGCTCTGCACCCAGCCCCGCCCTGCTCTGTGGCCCACACGGCGGCGATTACCTGCTGGAAAGGGGACCAAGGGAAGGAAAGAGCGTGAAGGCCTGAAGTAGTGTGTCTCCATCCTCAGCACCACCTCCTGTGCGGCAGCGAGCTCACCCAGTCATTTTGATATTTCAGCTGCGCATGGTGGCTCAGGCTTGTAATCCTAACACTGGGGGAGGCTGAGGTGAGAGGCTCTGTTGAGCCCAGAAGTTTGAGATTAGCCTGGGCAACACAGTGAGACCCCATCTCTACAAAAAATACAGAGAAATACAGAAAAACGGTGGTGTGCACCTGTGCTCCCATCTACTCAGGAGGCTGAGGTGGGAGGATTGATTGAGCCCACGAGATCAAGGCTGCAGTGAGCCGTGGTCACACCACTGCACTCCACCCTGGGCGACACAGTGAGACCCTGTCTCAAAATAAATAAATAAAAATGTGTTCATAATGTCTGTAAAATAACAGCATTCAATGGATGAGCTATAAAACACCCCAACTCCCTGTTAAGGCAGAAATAAGTCAATAAAGCCAAGTGTCTTTTCTCGATTTCACCTTTTCTTTCTTAAACACACCAGCAGGCAAACCATTGATGTTTGGGTGTTCAAATCTCATGGTCTATGATACTTAGAGTATGTTCCTCAGCTTTGTTTCATCATAGAGTCTGTGCCGGAGTGCTGGCGGCTGGCATATGTTTTGTACATATTCGCTGAACGGAGAGGATAACTATTTTTTTTTTTTTTTAAAAAAAGGCCTGTGTTTTAGGCAATTACATAAATTGGCATCAGAAATTTTCTTACTTTACTATATAATAAGGTGGGAAGTTAGTTTTAAAATAGAGTTTTAGAAAAAATACAAATCATAAAACATCAATTATTTTATGTTAGAATAGACTGCTTTACATCTAAAAGCCTTTTATGAAGCATTTTAACCATTTTAACCATCAACTGCTCTGCTGAAAATTAAGCTTGTTCCTAATGAATAAATCTGACATAGCTCCAATGTAGTCACTCTGTGATGAGCAATATTCACGCTAACCCCAAAGCTCACACTCCACAAGCCTCTGGTGGTATAAATCCTGTCCTCACCCTGCAGCTCCCCAGCCCTCAGGGCAACCCATGTGACAAGTGTGGGGGTGGCAGGGGTTTGCACGTCACAGGCCATCTGGTCGACCCTGAGTGGTGGGCTGGGTAGCACTGGGGTCCAGGGATGAAGGTCCCAAGGGAACTCTCTCCACCATCCTGGGAAGGCCATGGTGAAATTGCGGACTCGGATCAGCAAGGTGGGAGCCATGCTGGGGGGCAGCACGGGGCAGTGGTCACTAGAGCCTCCCTCCGGCCACCTTGGGAGTAGACTCCCAGTTCAGTGGGTTACTAGAGAGGCTAAAGTCAAGTTTTTCCTCCTGCATAGCATGGAGCTAGTAACAACATTTCTGCATCGTGTTCTTGAGGCTTCTGAGAGAAAGTTCACAGAGATGCATGCAGCATCACACACGGCCAGTCCTCAGGACGCGTTCTCACTGCACCTTTGGTGCTGGGAGCTCACCCTAGCTGTGGGCACCAGCACGGAGCTGGTGCCAGCAACAGGGTGAGGAAGAGAAAGAATGGGTTTATTTTTAGGGAGTTGAGAGAAAATAATGAAAATGAAATGCAGAAATGTTTTTTAATGAAGAAAGAACATGAGAAGGCCCAAGGATGAGGAGGAGTAGACGGCAAAGGAGAAAAGAAGCCCAGCTTCGTGGAAGCAAGGGGAAATGCCAGCGGGCGCGGGAGAGGGCAAGACGCCAAGTTCTGTAATAAAGAAGTGATTAATTGAGGATCAGAACAGAGAGGATCAGAACAGAGAGCTTTTGATATGGTGCAGTTAGGAAGGAAGGCTGCAAAGAATGTTAAAGCTTATGAAAAAAAAGAAGGAGAAAGAAAAGCTGAAAAAATTAAAGACTGGAGAACTGATTATTTAAAACGGATTTGCTGTTTAATTCAGTGAAGCAGGCAGTACTCTGCTAATAATGTGAATTTCTCTTCCTTTGGAAACAAATCCTGGTTTGAAAATCGAAACATATCAGGACCCAATCATGTGAAATAAAATTCAAGAAATACAGCATGAAACAATCATGCTCCTTAAGCTCTTGAAGGACTTTCAAAGTCAGAGTGATGATAGCTCAATTCCACTTCCTGTGCCTTTGTTGTGAAAATTCAGATTCTTGGACATATGTGGAAAAACCCAGGGTGAAATAGACCCCTGACGTGCAATGCCCAGTTGGGACTCTAGTGTAAAGTTGTTCAGTCAGAGACTCTAAATGTTGAAGATCACATGTGGTAACTGGATGGTCATTCACACTTAATGACAGCATTTCAACCCTGGGCAACTCCCCTTTCAACGTAGACTAGGATTACCTAGAATGTACACGGAACCTTTCTTCCTGAGAGCCTGCAATGAGTGCGAATTTCTCGTCTTTAAGGTTTCTGCAGGTTAAATAGATTTCAGGGACATTCCCATCTCCAGGAAATATGTGGGCATGTTGAGGTTGTATTAAGTCCAGGTCCCTAAGCCGCCACGGCCATTTCAAAGCTGCCAAATCAGGAGATCAAGAGATAACATAACTCCCCTCAGGGGCCCAGAACCTGGAGTGAAATCTAGACTCACTTCCTAGTCCCCAGCCAAGATTCACTCCGCAGAATTTTGTACTGACCCACTTATGATTTACTGAGTAATGAAAAAGTAGAAACTGTGCGTTCTGTGGGCCACTCCAGTGGCTTAGGGAATACACCTCTATGGAAGGGTGAGAAGGTAACACAACAGCCGACCTCGTCTTGCTCGCCTGCCCATTAGCCCAGGTGCCTCCTCCGCCATCAGCAGCCTGAGGAAAGCTAGATGGGAGGGCTTGGTGAGAGGAAGCTGAGATGCCCTGAGCATGTGACCAGCAGTGTACACCACTTAGCAAATGGTATGTGCTACTTCACTGTGAAACAGAACACAGAAATGGAAGATTCATCAAACTGGGGAGTCCCTGAGTCCTCAATAACTGGACAATAGTCAGCCGCGTCATTCACTCTCTGAGAACCTGTGTACCAGGGGAAAACTCATGTATGTAATCACAGATGTTGACTGGAAAGTCTTTACAGCAAAAGTAATTATATTAATATCTTTTACAATTGCTTTTACAGACCACTGTGTTTAACATTTTCCAAAATTAATTATATCCATATCTTTTACTACCACTCTTCATGGACCACTGTGTTTAAAATTTTTTAAAGTACCTGTGTGGCCAGGAGATCTGAGACCTGGCCCCAGATTACCTGCTAGCTAATCTTGAGCAACCAGATTTCTTTGGGTCTCAGCTTCTCCCTCTGTGAGATGGGCATGTTAGACCAACAGGCTTCTGATACTCCTGCTGGATTCCGCTGTTGCCTGTGCCCCCATAGCCCTCACTCTCCTGAGGCTCAGTCTCTCCATCTGTGGAGTGAAGTGGTTGAACCCGATGGCCCCTGAGGCCCCAGGGCTCCCAGAGAAAGCCAATGGTGTGGGTTTAATCAACTCCTTTCTTTAGTCATAGGGACCCCATCGCAGCAATTTTTACAAAAACTGGAAATGTCCAAGCTTCAGTCAAGTACTCGAAATATGGGCTCTCTTCACGCGGTAGATGGGGCCTCATCAGCCTTTGCACTGCCAGTGACCAGAGGGGTGACCCCAGCGCAGGAGGCCTGGATGAAGGCTGCAGAAGAGTGGAAGTGAGCCACCACTGCACCTGCTGCCTCAGTGCCAGCCTGGCGGGGCTCACGCTCTCCTTTCCAAGTGCAGAGTCCTGGGGTTGCTCACGCAGGTACAATGTGGTACACCCCGATCCAGCTCTACCACACGGCCCTCATTCTTTTGAGTGGCAACACTCTGGTCCCCATTTCTAAAGAGGAAGCTGAGGCTCTCTCAGGCTGGCCACAGGTTCCTGGCACAGCCAGGCCTGGAGTGCAGGGCTCAGCACACCTGACCTGTGGTTGTATTGTATTGTTTACTTTCACTGTGTCAACACATTGTATCACTTGTTCATTTTTTCCTGAGTAGATGTTTAGAGTATTTCACTGCAATGTCAGTCTTGTAAACTTTACACTCACAGAACTCTCCAGAAGGTGTCAAAATGTTGCCTTTAGAGCTGTTTGAAGAATCCCAACTTTAAAATCTATACACTGGTATTGATTTCTCTTTCCGTCATGGGAAATAAATAATTTTAAAAGGGATTTTTACAAATGTCCCGTGACAAAATCTAAGTCACAAAAATTCAGCAGCAAGGTGACTGTGTCCGTATTTTATGGAATTGGTGTGGTTTCCTGGAGCTGCACAGGAAGGTCCTGTGAGACGTGCACGTGATGGAAGGTGCGTCCCGAGCTGCAGAAACTCCGGTGGCCTCATTCTCCACTCAGTCGCACCGAGACTCACTGGCAGCAGGCGGGGAGCACACTAGTGGGCGAAGGGTACACAGACCCCTAAAACATTAGAGCCCCGTGTGCTGCCATGGCAGAAACACCGCAAGAGGTATGGGCTGTTGGGTTTTTCAGCTTAAGGTAAGAAATATTAATTTGCTAAGTTGGAATGGAAAATGAAAACGTGGTGCCAGGTGTCTAGATAAAGTAAACACAGGCTGTTACAGTGCTGGGGCCAGGTGCTCCACAATCCCTGCTAAGCTGGGCCATGTGGCCTCGGGAAGCCTCTGCTCATCGGTCAAACGTGGGCTACTGTGGGACCTTCTGCACCACGGGGCCTGGGCGAGCCTCCACTTGGGACACAGCGAGGCCTTGGTGCATCCTTGCAAGCCACCAGGAGCACTGGAGTCATATCCTGCGCCACAGACACAGCCCCATGCTGGCCGCTTCCCTCCCGTAACCAAAACGCTCCGTGCAGTCAAACAGCAACTTGCATTGCAAAAAACCCCACACCCTTCTTCGGTATATTTCCTGACTAAGCAGGCAAACAGTTCCATTTTAGGTGTGGTCCATCCCCACCGTGGGAGTGCTGTTACGGGGGTGGGGATGGTTTGAGGTCTCCCCCCAGGAATGTGAGCAGACACGTGGGTGAGAGACAGCAGTCTCTGTGTGTACCCACAACAGGACAAGAATCAGAGTTGCAGAACTAAACTGTTTCTGCCCGTTGGCAAGAGTGTCTAAAAATGTTTTACCAGAAGAAAACCAATATTCAAAATGTGCTTTTACATCAAATGGACAAGGGAAGTTGAAGTTTACAGTTTATAAACAGCAGGGCCCTTTTTTGACAAATGCAGTGAAGTTGTTTCACTAAAGAAATACTTAGCCAGGCGTGGTGGTATGCACCTGTAATCCCAGCTACTCGGGAGATTGAGGCAGGAGAATGGCTTGAACCCAGGAGGCAGAGGTTGTGGTAAGCCGAGATTGCGCCATCGTACCCCAGCCTAGGCAACAAGAGCGAAACTGTCTAAAAAAAAAAAAAAAAAAAAAAAAAACTTAGGCTCTGAGCTGAAAGATTAAACCAGAAAGCATTGCCCACCTGCAGGGGAATGCAGAATCCAGCTGCCCCAGGTGGATCCACTGCAGGACCTTCAGAATGAGAGATTCTAGGGCCAGAGAGAAAGCCTCATGCCTGCCTCGGTAACAACAGAACTTCCTCCAGCTGTCAGGGGCTGGCCTGGGAGGCTGCAGGAACCCACCCCCAGCTCCTGCGCACAGTGCACAGAGGCCGTCATGAAGTTTGCTGAAACTCGTGGAAGCTGCTGTTATCGGGGGAGACTAGTGTCCTCTCACTGAAAGATTCTGGAAATCGTCAGGTTCAGGACGCACCGTCCACCTGGAGCGTGAGTGGCAGGGATGTTCCAGGCAGTGCTTCCCAGGAGAACCTTCTAGAAGCCTTTCCAGCCCCTGACTAGGGTTGATGGACAAAGAGGAGAAAGTGGGGGATGAGCCTTCAACAAACTGACTCTGCTGGGGCTTCCGCTGACTTCAGTTTTCCCTCTCCAGAACCGGGGATGGCTGGCTGCAGCGTGGCCTCACTGCCTACACACCATTCAGCCCCTGTCTGCCTTTTTGTTTACACTGAGAACACAATAGGAGCTATGGTCCTTCCAATACATCATTTATAAGTGTGTCCTACCTCTGAATGCGCAGGCAGAACTGGCTGTGGGTGAATAAGCTCTGTGAATCTTGCCAAGACACTGCTTTGTTCAGCATTATTCTTCACAATAGATACCACACTTTGGAAGTAATTTTAAAAAGGGAATCAAAATAGTGGTACTTTTAGCCTTTGTTTCTTTTATACCACACTGCATTCTCTGTCTCTCATTCAGCCGCTCCCATTATTCTGACAAATTAAATAAACCACTCCATTGCAGAAAAGCGTGGGCAGGCAGGACTTCACTCCACTGCAGCCCCGGGAAGTCGAAATAAACATTGAGGTGGGTTCTGCTATAGCCATTTCGTCTAACTTAAGGAGGGGAAAAAATGGAGGGGGGAGACTTCGGAACTTGAGTGGGTCAGTAGCCCCCGAGAGCCGGCCTCTGCAGCAGGTCGCGACCACGGCGTGGAGGGCAGCGGTTTCCAGGAGCGCTAGGAAGTCCTTCCTGCGGTGTGGCCCTGGGAGCCCGGACGGTAAGTCACAGGAGGTTGGGGCACCGCAGAGGTGGGCAGCAGACTGCGCTGACGCCTGGGGCTCTGTTCCTGCAAGCAGCTTGGCTCTTCTCTCCTTTTTAAAAAGGCCTTCTTACAGGTGTTGAACCGCTGCCTAAAGAGGGAGTGACTCCAGGAGGAGGAGGACTTCTCTCTCCCTCTCTCTCTCTGTCTCTGACTCTCTGTCTCTTTTAAGCTCGACTTTGAGAAGTTTTTGACTTGTGCAATCACAATCTATTTATGAAATTCAGGCAAGGAGAGGACTGAAGAGGAGGAAGAAGAGACGGACAGGATTTTAGAGTGGGGTATTGCCTTCGGTTTTCTTAAGGTCCAGGATGTGTTACAAAACTGATGGGTGACACCCTTCTAACTTTTGGCCTTAAAGCATTTTTCTTTGTACAGGAGAAAAAACAAAAAGTGTGTGTTTGCAAAGGAATCTCTGTTAGATTAATGACTGATTTGAACTAGAATATACATGGAAGTCATTTTAGTTACAACTGCCTCTGTCCTCGTTTGTCGGGTGTGAAACGTGGGGTAGCCGTTTCTCTGAGAGTAGCTCCGTCTGGATTTGGAGAAATCCTCCTGACTGTTGTGAAAATCGTCTCCCATCGGCTGTGCCGGGACCCTCCCCTCCTTCCGTTCCTTTTCCCGCACCCTCTCTTAGCAGAACAGGTGGAGCGGGTGGAAAGGACAGCGGCGAGAGCGCGTGTGGTCAGGGGTCTCGGAGGCAGCCTGATTTCCTTATGAAAACAGAGCTCTGGTAAATGCCAGTTATGGGGAGGGCTTTGAAGGCTGCAGCCACCAGCTAAGATGGCCTCATCTAAAATGCAGGCGTCTGCGGCATGGAGGGGGCTCTGTGTTCCAACAGAGGCGTCCCCTGGCTTCGGAGTCAGAGGGCACTACAGGCACAGGGAAATATTGAGCCACAGTAGTTTGAACAGAACCATCAGGGTTCATCTTTTATTACCAAAGAAAGACTTGAAAAAGCCCAGGTGAAATTTTCTTCCATTGTCTAGGAAAATTCTCTGTAATTTGCCCCCTGGGAAATCCAAGTGCCTTGTGGCCGGGGCCCCCGCCCCACTCCCCTCTGTCCATCTCTCTCCTCCTCTCTCTGCGTAAATGTCTCCGGGGTCCCTGGAGAACCCAGGGGGCTGAGCAGGGGACGCTGAAGGTCAGGGTTGCCCACTGTGGCCTGACTTTTAAGCTAAAGAGGTTTTTCTTTCTCTTGTTGCCCTGTCAGGTCTAATTTGGCGGCATTATGCTGAGAGGGCGGGCCTGCTCCTGACAGGAGGGGGTTAAATGAGATTGCAAGCTTTGGAGGCTGTCAGCAGCCACTGCTGCCCGGGGATGTTAAATTGCGATTTAATGGTCAGCTTTATCTGGATGGTATCAGTGCAAATCTGCTGTTTTCAGCAACTTAATTGGCACAGTGTTTGCAGGAGTTTTTCGGGGAGGTAGGAGAGCTGACCAGATTTTAATGCTGAATTATTTAGAGATCAAACTGGCAGAATGTCAGTGGGAATCTGTCGCGTGTTTGGTTTTCTGAAGCACAGAAAGCTTATGAATGGGCAAGATGCTGAATTCCGCTGTGATGCCCGAAACTTTCTAAAAATATTCACAGGGTCTGATGCAGCTCCGAGTTTATTTATAGAGGGAATAAACAAAGAGTAACAGTTGCTATCACAACATATGTGCAGTGTCTGATTTGTGAGGGGGCAGCAAGAACGTAGAGGCAGCCGCTCTCAACAGAGCCAGTGTGGGCTGTCTTTTCAAAATTTTAACAGATGGGCGCCGCCTGTGGAGCTGCGTGTTCCCGGGGTGACTCACAGGTGACCCCACACTACACAGGACTGACGGTGCCTGCTTGTGTGTGCGTAAGGCATACACGGGTGCACGCCTGTTTGTGCGCTAGGTGTGTGCACAAGTGTTCATGGATGTGTGCATATGTGTACACGTGCGTGGGTATCCATGTGAGTGTGTGTACACAGATGTGGGTGTCGTGTACACATGTGCAGAGTATAAGTGTGTGTGCACATGCGTATACGTGTGTGGGTATGCATGTGTGTGTACACAGATGTGTCGTGTACATGTGTGGGAGTATGTATGAAAGTGTGTGTACACAGATGCGGGTGTCGTGTACACATGTGTAAAGTATGAGTGTATATGCACATGTGTACACGTGTGTGGTATGCGTGTGTGTACACAGATGTGGGTGTCATGTACATGTGTGTATGTAAGTGTGCATACACAGATGTGGGTGTCAGGTACATGTGTGCAGGTATGTATGTGTAGACAGATGTGGGTGTTGTGTACACATGTGTAAAGTATGACTGTGTGCACATATGTACATGTGTGTGGGCATGTATGTACACAGATATGGGTGTCTTGTACATGTGTGCAGGTATGCATGCAAGAGTATGTACACAGATGTGGATGTCATGTACACACGTGTAGTGTGTGCACATGTGTACATATGTGCAGATATGTGTGCGTACATAGATGTGGGTGTTGTGTACATGTGTGCAGTTATATGTGAGTGTGTACACAGATGTGTACATGTGTGCAGGCGTGTGTACATGTGTGTAGAGTATGACTGCACATGTGTATGTGTGTGGGTATGTGTGCCTATGTGTACACAGATGTGGGTGTCATGTACATGTGTGTGGGTGTGTGTACACAGATGTGTGTAGAGTATGAGTGTGTGTGCACATGTGTACATGTGTGGGTATGCCTGTGTATGCAGATGTGGGTGTTGTGTACACGTGTGTAGTGTGTGCGCATGTATACATGTGTGCGAGTATGCAAGTGTGTGTACACAGATGTGGGTGTCGTGTACATGTGTGCTGGTATGTGTGTGAATGTACATAGATGTGGGTGTCATGTACATGTGTGTGGGTATGCATGTGAGTGTACACAGATGTTGGTGTCGTGTACGTGTGTGGGTATGTGTGCCAGTGTGTACGCAACATGTGGGTGTCATGTACATGTGTGTAGAGTATGGGTGTGTGTGCACATGTGTACTGTGTGGGTATGCATGCACGTGTATGTACACAGATGTGGGTGTCCTGTACATGTATGTGGGTATGCATGTGTGTGTACACAGATGTGGTTGTTGTGTACACGTGTGGAGAGTGTGTGCACCACACGTGTGGAGGGAGTGTGCCTGTGTGAGGTGCATGTGGGCATGCATGTGTGCAGGATGGGGTGTGATCTTTGACAAGTGTGCTGGCGTCTCTCCGTGACAGCCTGTGTGCATGGAGGTAGGCCCCCTGGAACTGCCGCATTTCAGCCCGTTTGCCCCCCAAGCCCATCAGTGACCGCAGCTCCTCTGGGCCGTGCCTGGCCGGATCTCTGGGTCCTTGGAGTGGGTATGTGGCCGCCCTTCCGTGGGCGCCTGCCGGGAGGAGGGGTCTGGGCAGCGCCTGTGCTCCAGGGAGACTGGAGGCCTGGGCCGGGGAGGCTTGTTCCCATGAGGGACACCGGGCAGGAGGGAACCGGGTGAGGTCGTTGAAGGAAGAAAGGAAACGGAGAAAGTGCTTCCCCAGCAGACAGCAGCATTGTCTGTTCCCCGTGAGGGTCAGTCCGGAAAGTTCAGGATTAGTAAATTTAATATCCTGTCAAAATTCCCGTGATAATGAGCCCTGGCTGGCCGGGCCGGCCCCGCGGCTTCAGCTCTGCAGCCGGCGAGATAGCGCGGCTGATTGATGAGCAGGGATCGCGCTGCGCTGGCACCAAAGCGGGTGGGTGGGTGGGCGGGCGGGGGGGCGGCGGCGGCCCGCGGTGCCAGGGAGCTCGCTGGGGGCTCGCTGGGGTCTTACAGCCACCTCCGGAGCGGCCTGGCCGCAGCCCAGAGGACCACTGCGTGGCTGGATCCCGCGGGCCCTGGGTTTTGCTTTTTTAAGGAAAATCAGGAAAAGGCCTTGTAGAAAATAATCCTACAGGGATCTTTTCCTGGCCTGTTGGGGTGCCTCAATACCCATCTTTTCAGAATGGACAGGAGCGTTTCGGAGCCGGCGAGGCGGAGGTGGGGGAAGGATGGAGCTCGCTGGGGAGGAGCTCACCTCGGAGGGGACAGTGGCCAACCAGGGCGCGGCCTGGGTGGGTGGGTTTTAGGCTGTAAGGGCGATGCAAAATATGATGTTCCTCACCGAGGAGCACAGAAACCAGAAAGTTCCTGGGCAATTTGTCCGAGGCTCTGCACCTCTCTAAGCAGCTGTCAGATCTGTACATTATGGTACATTGAATCTGAATGAGGCTCTCAACATCAAAACCCTGCATCCATTATGATATCATCTCCCGCTCTAGGCTGTAATGCTTATTAATTCTGCACCCATACTCTCCCGGCTTCAGCAAATGTATTCCATCAGCCTAGCATTTAATTTAATTAGTACAGCTGGGCTCTCATTCTCCTTTCTGTGTCAGAGGTATTGTCAGCACGTTCTGCTGTAACACAATTACTGATTGCTTTTAGATAGGCAGAAATATGATTAGGGTATTGGGTGACTGTATCATAAGCCTTATTAGATTCATTTGAAATCTGGAGATAAATAGGAAACTTTTATTTGCAGTGTAATGAGATTATGCTTATTAGGCCAAGGCCTCGCAACCTTTTGCAAAGAACACAGTGTATCCGCCGGATTATGCTCTGGAAACACACTTTCTGCTCCCAGCCTCCGAGCCATTGCTCCGCGCCTCGAGACTGAACTGTTGTTGCCCTGCGTGCGTTTAGGATTATGGCCGCCGTGGTGTCTTCCGCATGATAAGGACCTGGGAATCCCTTTCCTTCTCCAAGTCTGCTGGAATACATACGTCTTGAAATGAGATTTCTTTTTTTTTTTTTAAGAAATGTTTTTGTAAAATCAGTGTGCAGGCTGAAAGAAATTATTCTTTTAAAAGTATTTATTTGCTTTTAAAGATGTTTGCATTTCTTAGACGTCGCTTACTGAGACTGGCATATAATGAAGGTCTTAAAAGTTCCTAGTGCTCAATCTCTAAAACGTTTATCACTGCTGTTACTGTTTTGATAACTGCTAGCACAAATCCAGAAACATGTATTTTTTTATTGGCATTTATTTGATATGCTCAAATTTCTAATATTTGTCGAGGACAAGATCTTTCTCCAACCCAAAATACGTCAGTTCTGAACAGTGTGGGGCCAGCACAAAGGGCAGGTATGATCTGAGGAAGCCTCTTGACATAGAATTTAGGGTGACAGTATATTTCACTGAGCTAAAATTGGCCAAATGTATTTATTGGTTATAAAACATAGTATTTTTATACATAAGGAAAATGATCATGATTTTTCCTGGATACAAAGGTTTTGGAATGATACATAAATCTCGCTTTAGGAAAAATCCAAGGTGTAAAATATAAATTTGCAGAACACATGCAATTTCTCAAACTATGAATTATTTTTTATGTCACCCTCACTCCATTTTTACCAGATCATTTATAACCTTATTGGATTTCAAAGAATCTAAGTAGATTACTTTCATGAACTCATCTATTGCATAATGCAAGTCCCACATGTAAAGTGATTGTGTTTTGGTGTTCACTTACCCAAAACCAGGAGTATGTATTTCTTAGTTAAATATGTGATCAGATCGAGATATGTAAAAAGGCATACCTATGCTGGCTCACCAAAACCCAAAGCTAAGAAGGAGCTGGCAGGGTCTGGAGGCTACTTGTTTAATGGCCACAGAGTTTTCCTTTGGGGTAATGGAAAAGTCTTGGCAACAGATAATGGTGATGTTTGTACCACATTGTGAGTGTGATGAATGCTGCTGAACTGTACACTGAAAATGGCTAAAACGGAAAATTTTGTGCTCTACATATTTTATCCCAGTAAAATAGAAAGGAAAAAGGGAGTCTGCGCCTGTGTGAGAGCCGTCAGCATGAGCTCCAGATTACGGGATGCATGGCAGTCAGTGGCTGCCACCTGTGGGTTTATGGACCATGGGGAGAGCTTCTTAGACTTCATTTCAGTCTTGATTTGGGGACCTGTTCACTCATTCCTGCCAGCTCCATTATAGCAATTCCCACCTATTCAAATATATGGAACTCTGGTGAAGACATGGGTTCTTTCCCCAAAATGGTACATAGCAAAGAACTTGCTTGGCCTTGGAGGGAATTCTTGGCAGCATAATTTGCAGCCGGAATTAAAATCAGCTGACTCTGGCCAAGCATTAATATTCAGCGAGCGACTGGATGAATAAGAGATGAATGAAGCCAAGAAACACCCAAACTGTTCCAGTGACGTTTTACTTTTTCAATGGCCCTGAGGAGAAGGTAGCCAGCAGTCCTGCCAGCTGCCACCTTAGAATGGGAGGCATGGCAGGGGATTCCAGGCCCCAAGGCACAGTGTAGACACCAAGGAAAGGAGAGACGCGGTGGCCGAGGACGGCAGCAGCCAGGGCAGGCCTTCCACAGCCACCCCATCTCCACCCACCCTCCATAAATGGCCTCTGAACCCCAACAGCAAGGCTCACAAACACACTTCTCTCCTACCAGGTGGATTGCTATTTGCCCCAATGCTTTTTTTTAAATACCCTTTGCAATCACTGTTGTAATTTGTAATTTAAATGTTACATAAGCCACTGAAATATGAATGCAACAACAACAAAAAAAAAGAATGAATTGTTTTTTTCTGTGAAAATTAAATTGGGTATTTTGGAATGACCAGACAAAATCAAATTGCTTTTAAAAATACACGAGCGTAAATTATTGAGGAAAATCATTGAAGCCTAAGACGACATTCAGATTGTTTGACACATGGTTTTAGTTCATTGTTTCACTTTGAGGAACCTTAAAAGACGCATCTTAGATAGGTGGTGTTTATACAAGAAAGAAGACCCCATAAGCCAGTCAGCAGCCCGAAACTCAAAGAAAAGACTTTGGCATTGAGAGGCTGAGGCAAGAGGATCATTTCAGGCCAGGAGTTCAATTCCAGCCTGGTCAACATAATGAGGCCTCATCTCTACAAATCATTTTTTTAATTAGCCAGACATGGTAGTGTGCTTGTAGTCCCAGCTACTAGGGAGGCTGACGTGGGAAAATCACTTGAGTCCAGGAGTTCGAAGCTGCAGTGAGCTATGATCACACTACTGTACTCCAACATGGGAGATAGAGAAAGAACCCATCAAAAGACATTGGACTTACAGCAAAATATGTATGTGTTTTACGTTAAAATGTTTCTGGTGTAGATGTGTATTTTTTTGATACTCTAACACACGGACCAGGATCCCAATCCCAGGATCACAAACCAGAGGCCATCTGTGACAGCAGGGGGACATGAGGGGAGGGGAGGGAAGGGGAGGGGAGGGGAGAGGAAGGGAGGAGAGTGGAGCCGTCCAGGGCCCTCCTGACCCTCGGTTTTGACTATAAATAACTTGCTGACTCCAAGGTGTTCCATGGAGGTTAATGGAGGTTGCTATCAAGGTAGAATAGTCAGGGGCACGTGGACAAATGCCCCATAGAAGCATTAGAGGACAAGGGGCCAGATCCAGCTGCTGTGATGCTGAGAACAGGGACAGAGAAGGGACTGGGATGGACAGGAGTGTAACGGGAGAGAAGCATGAACGGGCAGCTTTCTGAGCAATGCCTAGCCACTCATCTACAGAATCCTCACTTAGCTATCTCCTGGATGGGTGTGTGTTCTCTGTTTTTCCATCCAGCCTCAAAAATGAGGCTTCTCCAGGTGCACAGAGGCACCCAGAGCAGCAGAGATGTCCCCAATCACTCCACAAGAGCCTAGGGAAGAGGGTGGCCTGAGTCTGGCCCGGAGCCAGCTGTTAGGTCAGGTCCCTGAGCTCTGGGCAGTAATGCCCAGGGGATGGAGCTTATGTCGAGCCCCAGAGCCCTCCCTGCCTCCCCAAGCTCATGACAAGAGAAGAAATGACTGAGCCTCTTCCTTACTCAGATTTCTTCTACCACAGAATACTGCTTGTGGTACCTGGGCTAAGGCACTCAGTGTCTCTGCTGTGTTTTGCTCACTGGTAAAATGAGGTCGCAGTAACACCTTGTTCCTGGGCATGGCTAGGGTTTCATGGTGGTGCTGGGGGACAGACTTGCACATGCCAAGTTGCACAGTCACAGATATAGAGCACGTGAGGCACATGCGTGCACACGTGGACACAGGTCCCCAGCATGTCTGTGTCGCACCCCTGCACGCCGTCCCACCCTGCTGGGCTTTCTTCCGCTGGCTCTGCTGTGGTCCTCTCGCTACTCCTGCACGGACTCAGAATCAACAACTCCATCTTCAGACTCATTTTTTCTCTTCATATTTATACCAAAAAAAAAATCTCATAGGCCACGTTACTTTTAACCTAATCCAGTCAAGCTCATCCGTGTGTGGATCTACGGCATCCATCTCTCTACTCTTTTGTTTTGGCCAAAGAGGAAAGATTTGGACAAAAAAAAGAGAGAAGGACAGGCCATCGGTAGGAGCCAGTATTTGTGTCCTGGGGCTGCCGTAACAAAGTGCCACAGCCCAGGAGGCTTGAACAGCAGAAATGTGTCCCCTCTCAGCTCTGGAGGCCGCAGACTGAGGTCCAGGTGTGGGCAGAGCCAGCTCCTCCTGAGGCTGTGGGGGACTCGGTTCCAACCTCTCTCCTGCTTCTGTGGTTCGCTGCAACCGGAGATGTTCTCCTTGCCTGGCCCATGCATGATCGCAGCTTCAGCCTTGGTCTTCTCCTGGCGTTCTCCCTGCGTGGTGCGTGGGTCCCGATTTTTACCCTCCATAAGGACATGGTTTTATGGGATTGGGCCACCTACTCCACTGTGACCTCATCTTAACGAATTACATCTGTGAAGACTGATTCGCACTAAGGAATGTGGTTACATTCACTAATTTTGGGGGGACACACAATTCAGCCTGTAAAAACGCAGAAAACACTTTGTACATAAATGATGAATTTCACAAACAAAGGTACCGGAAAGAATCGCCACATCCTAGGCTCTCCAGCACCTTTGAGCAGCGCTGAGCAAAGTGGGTGGAGCCCAGGACTTGTCCCTGACGCTTGCTGGCAGCGAGTAGGGCTCCGACTTTCTGCTTTATCATGAAATATCTGGTGGTTTGTCACCACGTTTCCTCTGAAATGAACTGGTACACTTGCTCTATTTCTGACTAAGGGAATCAGCTTTGTGTGTGGTCTCAGTAGAAAAGGACAATTGGACAAAAGTAGGAATGAGGCAGCAGTAGCCACACAGACCCCAGGTCACCCAGAGAACAGGGCAGAGCTTGAAAACTTGGTCAGTGACTTCGAAGTCTGCATCTAGTGTAGATGCTCGAGCTGGGATCCCCCACCCCAGGGAATCCTCAAGGCAGCTTTCCCGCAGTCTCAGATGCAGGGCTGGCCTCACCCAGGAAGCCAGAGCCCTTCCCAAGGGCTTCTAACCCACATCCAAGGTGAGAATCACCGCTGTGGGGGTAGAGGGCAGGTGCCCATACATGCCTGGCTCCAAATGACAAAATTCAGGAGGTGAGTGAGGCTTCTCAGGGAAGAGTCTGCCTGCCCTCTGGCAGCAACTAAAGATCAGGACCCACCTGACACTTCAGGGCTTCCACATCCCCATCTTGTTTTACCTTCCTTCCTTCACTGGCAGCCCCATTATCTGAAATTTCCTAGCACTTTTCCTTCTTCAAAACTTCACCTAGCCACAACATCACAAACTCATGGGATGCAGCAAAAGCATTTCTAAGAGGGCAGTTTATAGCAATAAAAGTTCACAGAAAAAAGGAAGACCCCAAATAAACAACCTAACATTACATCCCAAGGAACCAGAAAAAGAAGAATAAACAAAGCCCAAAGTCAGAAGGAAGAAAATAATAAAGATTAGAGCAGAAATAAATGACATAGAGATAGAAAACCAATAGAAAAATCAACTAAGAATTTCAATTTTACAATGTATATGTATATCAAAACCTCACCTTGTACATTTTAAATATATACAATTTTTATTTCTTAAAAATGCAATGAGATATCATGTCACACCTGTTAGAACAGCTAATATCAAAAAGTCAAAAGGTGGCCAGGCACAGTGGCTCACACCTGTAATCCCAGCACTTTGGAAGGCCAAGATGGGTGGATCACCTGAGGTCAGGAGTTCAAGACCAGCCTGGCCACTATGGTGAAACCCTATCTCTACAAAAATACAAAAATTAGCCAGACAGGATGGTGGATGCCTATAATCCCAGTTACTCAGGAGGCTGAGGCAGGATAATTGCTTGAACCCAGGAGGAGGAGGTTGCAGTGAGCCGAGATCGCACCACTACACTCCAGCCTGGGCAACACAGCAAGACTCCATCTCAAAAAAAGAAAAAAAAGTCAAAAGGTAGCAAGTGTTGGTGAGGATGTGGGGGAAAGGGAGCCTTGTACACTGCTAGTGGGATGTAAATTAGTACAGCCCTTATAGAAAACAGTATGGAGGCTCTTCAAAAATTTAAAAATAGAAATACCATATGATCCAGCAATCACACTTCTGGGTATAAATTCAAAGGAATTGAAATAAGCATCTCAAAGAGATATCTGCACCCCCATCCTCACAGCAGCTTTATTCACAATGGCAAAGCCATGGAAACACCTAAATGCCCATCAATGGATAAATTAATGAGAAAGATGTAGTATACACAAGGGACTACCAGTTAGCCTTACAAAGAAGGAAATCCTGTCATTTGCAACATGATACCACTTTATGATAAATCTGAAATAGTCAAATTCATCAAAGCAGAGAGTGGCATGGTGGTGGCCAGGGGCTTGGTGTGAGAGAAGTGGGGAAGAATTCGCTAAAGGGTACAAAATTTTAGTTATACCAGTAATACAAATTCTAAAGACCTACTGTACAGTATAGTTCCTATAATTAACAATACTGTATTGTATACTTAAACATTTGCTAAGAGAATAGATCTTATGTTAAGTGTTTTTATCAAAATAATAATAATGATGATAAAAATAAAAGATCAGAGGAAACTTTGGGATGTGCTGGATGGTTTATGGCATGGATTGTGGTCATGGTTTCCCAGGTCTATACCTATATCTAATCTCACCAATTTTTATACATCAATTACGTACAGCTCTTTGTATGACAAAAAAATCAAATGAAAAAGAATGTTGAAGCATTTTCCTTCCCCTGTATTTTCTCTTGTAGTTTCATAGTTTTCAGAGGAAACTTTGGGATGTGCTGGATGGTTTATGGCATGGATTGTGGTCATGGTTTCCCAGGTCTATACCTATCTCTAATCTCACCAATTTTTATACATTAATTACGTACAGCTCTTTGTATGACAAAAAAATCAAATGAAAAAGAATGTTGAAGCATTTTCCTTCCCCTGTATTTTCTCTTGTAGTTTCATAGTTTTAGATCTTACATTTAAGTCTTTAATCCTTTTTGAGCTCATTTTTGTATATAGTGAAAGTTAGGGATCTAAGGAAAAAAATAATGTTGAAAAAAATTTAGCCTAGCTTGAGTTTATTCCCTCAGGAATATATTCCCTACAAGCAGATGAACAGATGAATGGCTGGGTTATCTAGCTCTCACTGGGACTAGTGGGCCAAGTGTATGTCATTTTAGGAGACTCCTAACTCTATCTATTGAGAACTTACTGAGGGGAGCACTTTACTTCTCTCTTATGTCCTAGAATTGTTATGTATTGCTTGTTAAACATACAGATTCTCACCCTTTCTGCACTCTCTAAGACTCTCCGAGTTGAAATCCTTATGGAAGAGCTGGAAAATATATTTTTTTCAAAAGCATCTTTGTTATTTACAGCAATTTAGCAAGTTTAAGAAGTGCCATATTCTGTCTTTTAATTCCCACCACAACACTCTGAAGGAGGTATTACTATTACTCTTGGTTACTGATGAAGAAACTTGGCTTGGAAGAGTAACTTGTCATAGAGCTAGTAAGCTATGGAGGCCATTTTAGACACCATGGCAGCCATTTTAGACATAGTGGCAGGGCAAATGGAAGAGATGATTGTGGGGCAGGGGAGGTTCAGCGTCTCTAATCTTTTGGTTTGTATTCATACATACATATGTCCCTCATTTTGCAGCCCTAGTTAAGAGCAACCTTATTTTTCTGGAAAAATATCTGAAAGTGTGCCAGATCACAAGGCAGCTGTCATAACTTCATGCATAAGACAAAAGAAGTGCTGAATTATGGGAAATTTCTCATCACCGTTACCTGTGGGATTCATGGGTTGTATTATAAACTTCAAGGCAGACAGCATTGCTGTGGCTTCCAGAATAGTCAGTGCACTAAAATTCTGCATAGAAGAAAATTGCATTATTAGGTACTAAATACATGTTTATCACTAAATATAAAAATTTTTATCTCTAGCCTTGTTTGACAAATGAAAGCATATAAGAAGGAAATAAGAGTTAGTTTTTCTAGAATGAGTAGATTAAATGCAAGTGTAATACTTTCTATATGTTTGTTTGATGTAGACTCAAAGGTAGAATCACAACAGAAGCAATTAGAGTAATTATTAAGTCTGCATTTACTCCAAAAGCCCTAAGGAATATTACGTGTTCATTTGTCTGAGCCTGATATGCTTCCCGTTAAAATACATGCTGCCTCCAGAATCTTCTACCACTCTGTTCTTTGGTGGTCGCCAGTTTGGGATAATATCTGTGCCTCAGGATTGTGTCTCACTGTGATGCTCTCTATAAAGCTACTTAAGGATACAATTCCAGGAAGCTAAAGATAATACTCGAAAGTATCAATGCTCCTAGGATTATCTTCCTTAGCATTAATGATAACCGTGTATTCCCTTGAATTTTGTCCCAAGGTTAGAAGGCTGGAGGCAAAGCATTCTCAGTGAACAACTCAACTCTTCACTGTTTCTCCTCTCAGATCTCACAGAGCCAAATGCCTTCAGGATAGAGTAATTAAGTTGAGCCCATTGCAATGGACCTTTATTATTATCTTCTAGAGCCCAAGCTCACTTCTGGGTTATCCTGTCTTAAAAATAAATGTAGATGAAAATACCCAATGCCACAGTGGGCTTTGATTTATTCTTAGCTTGTTGAGTTTTAATCATTTTATAGATATCTACAGGCTTCCATAATAATGGTAACTGTTTCCTCCATCTCGAATTGAGAAGGATGATGAATGATGTTCACTCTCAGTGGTCGGCAGATACTAAGTGTGCTAAGGCAAAGTCACACACTCTCACATTCCTACTCGTGTTCACACTACTACTCTGTGATGAAACCGAAACTAGATTTATAATCTTTAATTTTATTTTTATTTACATAGGAAAGAAACCGATTCAGTAGCAGGTCAAATAGGGTCATTTGGGGATTCAACCAACTTATTCATTAATTAAAACACCTATCTATATGATATGTATGTGAAGACTACATGTATAGGACTTATGATCAAATTAAAGAGAAAAATAAGTAAGTATAGAAGCATCTTTGCAAAACAGTTTGTGCCACAGAAGAGTCAATGTTATCTTCCATGATGCAGCCTGGATTTCCAGTTCTTGCGCTTCCCAGTCTTGTGGCCTCAGGCAAGTTACTTAACCACCCTACATCCTGTTTTTCTCATGATAAGAGGGGATAAAACTGTACCTGTGTCACAGGGCTTTGAGAGGAACCAATGAGATGCACCTGATGAACTTAGCACAGGGCCTTCACATAGCAAATACTCAAGAAATGGGAGCTGTGGGCACTATTGAAGCAGCTTATATCAATGGCCAACTAGTACCCAAGCTAAGTAAAAGTTAAGCATAAGAATAGTCAGAAGAAAAACACCTTCTTTTTCTATTAAAAGAAGGAGAGCCTCCACAGGTTGAATTAAAAAAAAGTTTAAAGGAATCCAATCATTTTTTTCCAGCTGTGGACTGCATAGTGTCACTGCTCTGCAAGGCAGCAATTCAGCCCCAGTGTCCTGACCCAGTCTCCATAACAGTTATTTGCAGACCAGCTGGCCAAATGCACCTGGAGAGAAACTCAGGTGCCCTGGCACATACCCTGGGGCTTCCCTATGCTGGTCTCACTATGACCAGGAGACATGACTAGAAAGAGTAAAAAGAGGATGACAACAGCCTGACCAACATGGTGAAACCCTGTTTCTACTAAAAGTACAAATTAGCCAGATGTGGTGGTGCGTGCCTGTAATCTCAGCTACTCAGGAGGCTGAGTCCGGAGGATCACTTGAACCCGGGAGGTGGAGGTTGCAGTGAGCCCAGGTTGTGCCACTGCACTCCAGCCTGGGCGACAGAGCGAGACACCATCTCAAAAAAAAAGAGGTTGATGGATGGTCACTGAGACTTATTGTCAAATAGATTTTTTCAAAAACTAGTCATTGTAATCAAAGCAAGTTTCTAAGAATAAGACTTAGGTTTCCCTGCTGTTCTCCATACAAATATTCAAGAATGACGACAGCATATACACTTATTCTAGGTATTCTCAATGTAAATTTTTCATGGAAAAGGGAGGCTCAGACTGTGTGACCTAATAAGCACTACACTTGTCTCACAGGCAAACAAGCTTGACAATTCAGGTTCACATAGCAGCTACCAGTACAGCCAATATTTTATTTTCTTCATATCCAAACTACAAGAAAATTAAATGCCTGTCTTTATCCAGTACCCTGAATTGACTGAACCTACAAAAGCATTTGAAATCATTAACAAACCTAGATTCTAGCAGGTACTAGAAGCAAAGTTGGCTGCCCCACATCAATAAACTCCAGGATTGAACAGTTGGTTGTTTTTGAGTTAATGAGTCCCTAGATGGCCCATTCCTGCATTAGGTGCCAAGCAGAGGGTTCACAAGCAGGCATCTCAGAAGCAGAGGTGTGCCCCCAGCTCTCAACGCACTTTTTACCTTCACCTCTAAAAACCTCTGGACACTACTAAATGACAATAGAAAAAAATCACCACCCAAAAGATCCTGGAAAGTCACAGCAGCTTCGAGGTCACATTCATCACCTTCACCAACACACACAGGGAGCGATGGAGATGGAAGTGCAGTGGGTGATTATAATTGTGCTCTGTCACGTGTTTAATGTGGCAAAACTGGAGAGTCCTGAGAAACTGAAGTAGAGTGTTGCAGCCTGGAGTGCAGTGATTGGGGGAATGGAGATAGGAATCTTTGGAGGAGAAATGTTGGGTCAGTTGTGAGTCTGAATGGCAGACTGGCTGTCCAGATGTGGCTTCTGGCCTATCCATCTGAAGGCTTGTGTGGCCTAAAGGATCTCTGTCATGTCCATAGGCCTTGCTTCCACTTTGTCTTTCAATACAAATGGATGAGCCAAGCAGCAAGGATTGATAGAGCACCTTTGACTTGGAGAGATCAAGAAAATGAAAAAGCATGAGAACAGTGCTGCCCTAAAGACAATAAGAAAGTGGGGAGTTTGGGCTTACACATATTAAGCATAACACAGACATTCAGTTGCAGGGGCCTGTGTCTGTAGTCCCAGCTACTTGAGAGGCTGAGGCAGGAGGATCGCTTGATTGCAGGAGTTACAGGCCAACTGGACAATATAGCAAGACCTCCATCTCAAAAAAAATTTTTTAAGTATGACACAAAGGCACATGAGGACCTGATGGCTATAAACCAAAGCCCCAAAGGATGTCACAGACAGCCTGGTCACTCAGGTGGAGACTCATGGCAGGGGAATAGTCACCGCAGAGTTCCCACTAGGACAATGCCTCATGGAACTGTTGGAGTAGAGCAGCCCCCAAAACCCTATAACTGTAGAGCTACCAGTATGCAACTCCAGCCTGGGAGAGCTGCAGGCACAAGACTCTAGCTCATGAAAGCTTCTGGAGGCCTTGGGAACCCAATCCCTGCCCCAGTGTGCTTAGGATATGGGACATGAAGTCCAGGACGTTATTCTGGAACATTAAGACTTAATGTTGCCTTATTGGGTTTTGGACTTATTTGGGACCAGTTACTCCTTTCTTCTTGCCTATTCCTCCATTTTGGAATGGAAATATCTATCCCATGCCTGTCTAACTATTGTATTTTGGGGTTTGGGGGGATTTTTTGTTTTTTGTTTGTTAGTCAGGGTCTAACAGGCTCTTACTCTGTCATCCAGGCTGGAGTGCATTGGCACAATCATGGCTCACTGCAGCCTCAAACTCTCAGGCTCAAGCAATCCTCCTACCTCAGCCTCCCAAGTAGCTGGAACTACAGGTGTATGCCATCACACTCAACTTTTTTTTTTTTTTCGTAGAGACAGGATCTCACTATGTTGCCCAGGCTGGTTTCGAACTCCTGGGCTCAAGCAATCCTCCCACTTCAGCCTTCCAAAGTGTTAGGATTACAAGTGTAAGCAATGGTGCCCAGCCTCCACCATTGTATTTTAGAGACACATAATTTGTTAACTTGACAGGCTCACAGCCAGAGAGAAATTTGCCTCAGGATGAATTGTGCCTTGAGTCTCACCCATATCTGCTTTAGGTGAGACTTACTTCAGACTTTTGAGTTGATGCTGAAATGAGTTAAGACTTTTTTGGGAATACTGGGGTGGAATAAATGGCTTTAGCATTGTGAGAAAGACATTGAATGTTGGGGGCCAGGGGAAGAATGCTATAGTTTGAATGTGTCTCCCAAAAAGCATGTGTCAGAAACTTCATCCCCAATGCAACAGTGTTGAGAGGTGGAGCCTGATAAGTCATTAGGTCATAAAGCCTCTGCCCTCATGAGTGGGTTAATGCTGTTTTCTCAGGAGTGGGTGACTTATCATGAGTGGGTTTGTCATAAAGTAGGTTCAGCCACCTCTTGTTCTCCTGCTGTTGTGCACTCTTGCCCTTCTGCCTTCTGCCTGAGATCATGCAGGAAGAAGTTCCTCACCAGATTCCAGCACCATGTTCCTGGACTTCCCAGCCTCCAGAACTGTAAGAAATAACTTACTTTTTTATATAAATTACTCAATCTCAGGTATTCTATTATAGTAAACCAAAATGGAGAGACTTTGGGTTTGAAACATGGACAAACTTCTGAAAGTGCGGCAAAAACTCTTTAAGATCCTATAGACTTTCATTATTAGAAATTCAGAATTTGGTGGTGGTATGGTTTGGCTCTGTGTCCCCACCCAAATCTCATCTTGAATTGTAATCCCCACGTGGGAAGGAGGTGATTGGATCATGGGGGAAGTTCCCCCCATGCTGTGATAGTAAGTAAATTCTCACAAGATCTGATGGTTTTATAAGTGTCTAGAAGTTCCTACATTGTCCTTCTCTCTCCTGCCACCTTGTGAAGAAGGTGCTTGCTTCCCCTTCGCCTTCTGCCATGATCATAAGTTTCCTGAGGCCTCCCCAGCCATGTAAAACTGTAAGTCAATCAAACCTCTTTCCTTTATAAATTACCCAGTCTCAGTTATTTCTTTATAGCAGTGTGAAAATGGAAAAATAAACTGGTACCGGTAGGTTGGTACTGGTATAAAGATACCCAAAAATGTGGAAGTGACTTTGGAACTGGTTGGAACAGTTTGGACAGCTCAGAAGAAGACAGGGGGTTGTGAGAAAGTTTGGAACTTCTTAGAGATTTGTTGAATGTTTTTGACCAAATTGTTATTAGTGATATGGACAATGAAGTCCAGGCTAAGGTGGTCTCAGATGGAGATGAGAAACTTATTGGGAACTGGATCAAAGGTCACTCTTGCTTTAGCAAAGAGACAGGCAACCTTTTGCCCCTGCCCTAGAGATCTGTTGAACTTTGAACTTGAGAGAGATCGTCTGAAACTGGGACTTTTGTTTAAAAAGGAAGCAGGGCATGAAAGTTTGAAAAATTTGCAGCTTGATGATGTGGTAGAAAAGAAAAAATCATTTTCTGGGGAGAAATTCAAGCCAGCTGCAGAAATTTGCATAAGTTACAAGGACCTGAATGTTAATTACCAAGACAATGAGGAAAATGTCTCCAGGGCATGTCAGAGATCTTGATAGCAGCCCCTCCCATCCCATCACAGGCCCAGAGGACTAGGAGGACAAAATGGTTTTGTGGGCTGGGCCCAGGGCCCCCCTGCAGTATGCAGCGTTGGGACTTGGTGCCCTATGTTCCAGTTGCTCCAACCCCAGCCATGACTAAAAAGGGCCAAGGTACAGCTTGGGTGCTGCTTCAGAGGGTGCAAGTCCCAAGTCTTGGTGTCTTCCATGTGGTGTTGGACCTGTAGGTGCACAGAAGTCAAGAATTGAGGTTTGGGAACCTCCACCTAGATTTCAGAGGATATACAGAAATACCTGGATGTCTAGGCAGAATCCTGCTGCAATGGCAGAGCCCTCATGGAGAACCTCTGCTAGGGCAGTGAGGAAGGGAAATGTGGGGTTAGAGCACCCACACAGAATTCCCACTGGGGCACTGCCTAGTGGAGCTCTGAGAAGAGGGCCATCATCCTCCAGAACCCAGAGTGGTAGATCCACTGACAGCTTGCACCATGTGCTTGGAAAAGCCACAGATGCTCAACACCAGCCCATGAAAGCAGCCAGGAGGGGGGCTGCAAAGCCACAGAGGTGGAGCTGTCCATGGCTGTGGGAGCCCACTTCTTGCATCAGTGTGACCTGGATGTGAGACATGGAGTTAAAGGAAATTATTTCAGAGCTTTAAGATTTGATGACTTCCCCACTGGATTTTGGATTTGCATGGGGTCTGTAGCCCCTTTGTTTTAGCCAATTTCTCCCATTTAGAATGGGAGCATTTATCCAATGCCTGTACTCCCACTGTATCTTGGAAGTAACTAACTTGCTTTGGATTTTACAGGCTCATAGGTGGAAGGGACTTGCCTTGTCTCAGATGAGACTTTGGACTTGGACTTTTGAGTTAAGCCAGAATGAGATAAGACTTTGGGGGACTGTTGGGAAGTCATGACTGGTTTTGAAATTTATAAAGGACATGAGATTTAGGAGAGGCCAGGGACAGAATGATATGGTTTGGCTCTTTGTCCCCATCCAAATCCCATCTCCAATTATAATCCCCATATGTAGAAGGAGGGAAGTGATTTGATCATGGGGGAAGTTTCCCCCATGCTGTTCTCATGATAGTGAGCGAGTTCTCAGAGGAGCTGATGGTTTTAAAGTGTGGCACTTCCTCATTCATGTACTCACTCTCTCCTGCTGTCATGTGAGAAGGTCCAAGCTTGTGTCTCCTTAGCCTTCCACCAAGATTGTAAATTTCCTGAGGCCTCCCCAGCCATGCAGAACAGTGAGTCAATTAAACTTCTATTGTTTATAAATTACCCAGTCTCAGGTAGTATCTTTATAGCAGTGTAAGAACAGACTAATATAGGTAGGATTTTTTTTTTGCCCATGGAAAATATATTTCTAATTTTTTGTCTGTCAATAAAAACCACACTCTCTAGAAAGTCACTTTACATTTGAAAATGCCATTCCATACTACAGAGTTCTCTTTTCTTTCCTTATAGTCAATATTTCCATCCTTCCATGTGTTTTATTATTTACTTACACACTGAAGCACCCCCATGTTAAGTGGGTTAGAAGAAACACACCCCACATAAGGGCATGACTGTTAACTGATTCCACTGTCTGTGTCATGATATTCTTACTCAAAGGATCTGGGTTCACTGGTCTCTGCCAAGCAGTCCTGTTCTCCATCCAGGCTGTCAACTGCATCACCTCAGCTTCATCTGTTCCCGTCCAGCCTGCCCCTAGTGATGTCTGCTCTGGTCCATCCTCCACACCCCTGGCACACTCATCTTCCTAAATCACTACTTTTGTTGTGTTAGCTCCTTCTTCACACAACTTCCAGGGCTCCACATTGCTTACAGAATAAAGCTCAAGTTTTTTTTTCACACCCGGGCACAACCTGGGCCACTTTTTCGAAAAGTTATCTCCTTGGCCTCTCTGAACACCGAGGCTGCCAATGTCTTCCCTCTCTCTGCTTTCTCTTGGGTGGGCTTTGTGAGGCCATGAGCGCCTTCCTCTTGTAAATGGCTGCTCTCTGTTACTAACCCTCCTTTCACCTCCTCCTTTAAATGTGAAGAGGAGGGGCTCCTAAACACTTGGTGTTGGGCCCACTTCCCACCCATAGGAGTTTGCCAGAGTTGCTGTAATGGAATACCGCAGACCTGACCGCTTAGATGGCAGAAAGTTACTGTATTACAAGTTTATAAGCTAAAAGTGCAGGACCAGGATGTCTGCAGGGTTGGTTCCCCCGAAGGCTGTGAGGAAAGAACCTGTTCCAGGCATCTGCACTTGGCTTGTGCATGGCTGTCATTTCCTGTCTCTCTTCACATTGTCTTTTCTCTATGTTGTCTGCTTTTGCATCCCAATCTTCTCTTTTGAGAAGGACACCAGTCATGGTGGACCAGGGGCCCCCCCCTACTCCAGTATGACTTCATCTTAACTAATTACATCTGCATTGGCCCTATTTCCAAATAAAGCCACATTCTGAAGTGCTGAAGGTTAGGACTTCAACATGGGAATTTAAGGGGAGGGCACAAAATTGAACCCATAACACTCCCTACAACCCAAACTCAGGAACTACATTCCCAATAATTTTCAGAGCATTTCCCCACAAATGTTCTTCTGTCACCATAGATTTAACATGTCTCAACAAAAGGCACTCTGTCCTGAAATCATCTCAGCCATTCCAACTGCTATTAATGGTACTTTGTTCTCTCTTTCAAGCTTTTCTCTGCTCAAGATCAATTGCTAATCTACTAAATATTCTTGCTTTTCACTTTTCCTCATATTTCAAACTCATCCTTTTCCTATCCCCTGAAATTAGGTCTTTCCATTCTCTGGCTTTCGAAATCAATTTCTGCTTCCTCCAGGAAGCCTTCAGGGCCTGTCCCACAGAAGACTGTCTCCCTCCGTGGAATCCTGAAACATTCTGCACCTGCATCACATAGCTAGCTCTTGTCCTATTGCTTTGATTTCGTTACCTTTTCCTAGAGCTGTGTCTTCTCTCCCAGCTCTGTTGTAAGGTCTTGAGAGGAAGGACATGTCTAACATACCTTTATACGTCCCATAGCACTCAGCACCATGACCTGTACTCAGGAGGTACACAGTCATTATTTGCTAATGGGGATGATGGAGACAATGATGACACAGGATGGAGTGTTGGTGGAAGGGGAGATATTTGACCCACTGAATCCCACCAGAGGCAGAGGGTGGCTCTTCTGGGCTCTCTCTTCTCCTTCACTAACTTTCGTTATATTTCAACTCTTTAAATGCAGGTCTCTTAAGATGCCCACCTTTCTAATGATCAGCTGGTCATTTCCACGTTAATGTTTCACCATCTGTAAATATGGCATGTCTAAAGCCAACTCTCCATCTTGGGTTTAATTCTGGGAGCTCATCCAAGTCTTTCTTCCCTCCTTCCTGTTGCAGGGCAAACACTCTCCAGCCCTGCTCCCTGAGACTCAGAAAGGGAATAAGGAGCCCACTGCTACAGCAGTGTAATGGTTTTCTTCTCCAAACTTGCCAGGGGACGAATGGCTTTTTTTCTACATATTTCCTTAAGCCTTTCATACCTGTGAGCAATAGCAGAAAACCAAGGGAATGAACAAAAAACACATATAGACCCAGTGGAAAGCCCAGGTTTCTGCTGAATAAGCTGAGTGCACCAGCTTGTCTTCTTTCTTTCTTTCTTTTTTTCTTGTTTCATGGGCCTCTGTTCTCTAAGCTTTCATCTTACATTGGCTACAAATACTCAGATCGTATTTGCTGAAGACTCCATAACCTTGAAGCTGGAGCCACGGGTTCTAGTGCTGACTCTGCCACTTGCCAGATGGGGAATCTGAGACAAGTCTGTGAATGCTTCTGATCCTAAATGTCCTTGTTCTGTGGTGAGGGTTTACGCTCTGCCTCCCGGAGTTATCGTGAGGATCCAAGGAGATGTTCACACAGGCAGGATGAAGCACTGCTCAGACACAACAGGCAGGGGGGCCAGCAGAAGAGTGAGTGAAGTGGGTGTTCCTGTAATGCTGGTTTTGAACCCAGGAACTTGTTCCAGGGCAATTGATAGATTAAGCAGAAGGTAAATGTGGTGTTTGCTTCTGTGTGATTTCCTCTGCAGGAAACATTAGATGGATGTGAAAAACCGTATCCAGCTGAAAGAGCCACATAGGAGCATACAGAGCACACACACACACCCCCAAGGAAAACCACATCCAGCTAAAAGAGCCACATAGGAGCACACAGACCACACACACACCCCAGGCCCACCGGCCTCTCCCTCATCACATGTTGCTGTGAGCTCACCCCCACCCCGCTTGACGTCACAGCTTTCTGATCGATTTCAATCCCTTCCACAAGTCAGGATGATGCGGGAGCTGCAACGTTCCACTGCCCCCTTTCATAGACAAGCATCAGGGCTTTCTTAAGGTGAAGAAGTCCCGTGTTAATTGTAGCATTTATGTATTTGTTAACCACGTAACATGGGAAGAACCGTGTTAACGTTTCATTAAGCTTCCACCTTTTTTAATGTGCCAGCGTTGAAGTTTCTGAGTATTGTTTTCTGAACCTCCTTCTCCATAAAGTACTGTGGTTTTCATCGCATGGCTTTGCACAGCACCATGGGTTTTAGACACACATGTGCTACATTACAGCATTCAGGGTAAACCAGATCTGGTTCAACCATCATTTTGCGTGGCTGGAATATGGCAATGGTATGGCTGTCTTGTAGGATACTGTGAGATGAAATCCAAAGGCACAGCAGTGTCTAACCCAGGATCTGACATACTGTGCTGCAGGCATTTGTTGGTCTTCCACACTCAGAGAGACTCTGTCCTCTGCTGGAAGGAGTCTCCTGCCTAGCCAGGGCACTATGTCTTGAACAATGTTTGCAGAAATCTGGGCTGGAGGCTGTCTTCAGTTGGGAAGATGTAGGAAGACTAAGCTGTAATCATTATGAGGGTGACTGTTGCAAAAGCAAACTTGTTTTTTCTGTTGTATGTATTTTTAGAGTTTGACTATATACATTTGAGGTCAGCTCAAAAGTCCAGTTATACAACAAATGAGTTGTTCTATAATGAATTAACTTAATTTCTACTAGTCAGCTTTTAAATATCAGGAAATATCCTAATAAAGTATGTGAATAAATCCAAAATCCATTGCTTCAGAGGAAAAATTGGTGTTACATTTACATCCAGCTTATCACAGATTTTCCTTTTTGTTAAATTATCCAACTATTCATTCATGTGTTAATTCAACATATACTTATGTTGTATCTATTTCTGTGAAAAGTACAAGCTCAACACTATGGAAACACAGATGACTAATTTATGCAACTTATTTTCCAGGAACTTAAAATCAGAAGAGAACATATCAAAATAAAAATGACAGTAATATGAGATGACAAAGTTAAAGAGACCAGAAAGTGGCTCTGGGGAAGGAGAGGCCACGTTGGTTCCTAGGGTTAAGAGGGGTCGGCAGGCACATACTCCTTGTTGAGCTGTCACTCCAGATGCTGTCCGGAAGTGGCCGATTTCATCGTAGGACTGTGACTAAACCCACTGGGGTTTAATCACGATTATAACTACAAGTATTATCCCTAAAATGTTTCTTCTGCATGTTTTTTCTGTTATATACAAAGAGATTTATTTAAATTTACTAGGCAGATCACTCCAAAAATTCCCCATATTCCTACAGGACTCTCCCCCATTCCCAAATTTCCACATGACATTCCTCGATTCCCCAACTCCCACGTGACTCCCCCCACTCCCCCGGCTCCCACAGGACCCTCCCCCATTCCCAAATTTCCACATGACATTCCTCGATTCCCCAACTCCCACTTGACTCTCCCCACTTTCCATAATCCCACAGGACTCTCTCCATTCCCCATACTCCCACAGGACCCTCCTCATTCCCCACATTCCCACATGACTCTCCCTGTTTTCCAGACTCCCACCTGGCTTTGCCCCATGCTCCCCCATAGCTTTTCTTCTTCCACTCCTCATTCTTTCTCATGACTCTATTTCCCCATTCTGCAGACTCCCATATAACTCTCCACAGAGCAGCAATTTTTCTCCTCTCCTCCCATTTCCTTCCAAATCTCTCACCTCATCAATTAGTAGCAGATCCTAGCTGTACATGCAGGAAATTTTGGTGCCTTTCCATTTAAATTCCAGTTGATTTGACGCCTGGGTTTGTACTGTTATTTTGTAGTACAAGCAACAGAGACAATTTAATTTCAGAGAATTTCATCCATAAGTGCCCCACATGCACTTCCTGCGCAGTCCCCAGTGAATAGTGTACATCCTCCCTCTTGAGTGAACACAGCAGCCACCAAGGCAGCCCCGGAGGTGTCGGTGAGGATGCCCCAGCCACCGCATAGCAACTGCTAGGTTTCCAAGGGCAAATAGCTCCTTTCGATCCTAAGCAACTCGATGAGAACATCAAAACATGCCTTGTCCAAGATCTCTAATACCCATTAGTGTTAGGGCCTGTTACCTCAATCATGAGTGACAGAGCCCTAATTATTAAGGTAATTAGAAGTTATAACACTGGCAATATTAAAGAGAGAACTTCTAGAGCCCATTAACAATGTTACTTTAAGTGATCTGGCTGTGAACTGTTCAAATCTCTAATTACATTATACGTCTATCTTAAAGGGTGATGTAATTAACTGATGGGCAAGAGGATGAATGTATAGTAACTACTGTGTAACCGCTGTAAGTACTATTTTCACAGGGATGACTCCAGTATTGCCATTTAGCTTTCTTCCACTTTACTGCATACAGTATGTAGCTGAAAAGAAAATCCTGACCTTGACATAGTTATGTGCATTCTATGCACAAACATTTTTGTTCTTTCTTTTCCTGATTTGTTTCTTCATATTTCTAGTATATTCACCCAAACCTGGTTAAAGTGAAACTGAGAGACCTTTCATTTGTACATCCATTTAGATTCCTCTTCCTCTGGCACATATAAACATTTAAACATTGGACCTTTCTATCTTTTGTAGGACCAATTTATTCTGATCATATAAATTATAAAGAAGTCCTCAAATAATTAATATATCATTAATTTTTTGTGACCCAAGTAATAAATTTTATATTGTACATATCATTCATTATATCTTGATTTTCTAGAATAATTTATCATGAAATCCAAATCAATTTTTATTCAAGGTCTGGTAAAATGTACTTATTTATTATAAGCCATATTTGATTATGATGTTAAATGAGGTAGTTTTTTAAGAATTAGCCTTCCAGAAAGGACAGTATTTCCAGTTGCCTTTATTGAGAGCTTTGCTTTTTCTTTTATGAATCATCTTTCATTTGAAAATCATCTACTTTTTCATTATACTATATATAATTTGTGAATATTGAAAATGACATTTCGTTCCTCTAATATCAGCTTTCTCCCTTTGCCATTGCCGCTGCGTTAAGGTCATTGTTATGATTTCTCTTTCTTCTTAAAATCAGTGATGCCCTTCATCCTCCTCTCCCATCTCACGCTAGCTTTCCGTTGATCCCCGCTTGCACCAGATATTGAGAACCAAAGGGAACTTCCTGAGAGGAGGCCTCCCCTCCTTTATCTCCCCTCGCCACAGCCCGGGCCTCTCCCCAGTCCTCTTTCAAGGTGCTCTTTCACCTCTACGTCCGCAGTCACAGACTCTCCATCCCTGCAGGGGCGCTGGGCTGGATCCTGAAGTCAGTCCTTCAAAGTGTTCGGGTTGGCCACACCAGCCCTGGGGGGATCTATAAAGAGGTAGAAGGAGCGTGGAACCTGCCTTCGGCCTCGTGTTTTAATTCATGCTGGAGGAAAGACGATGCGGAATGCTGTGCCTGCGAAGTCCCTTCCTTTACTAATAACTGATGCCGTGATACCCGTGGAAGCCCCGAGAAGTAATTATGAAGGAGAACAGAGACCTGTTGCGGAGATTGGGATGCACTGGTGTTCCAGGGTCTAAAGATTCACATAAGACGACCACGTCTGTAGCCCACGTTCCCAGCAGGGGAGCCTCCCCAAAGGTCTCTGGATCCCCTTCGGAAACTGGAAAAAGTAGGAACGCTGATAGAGGTTGTTCTCTCTCCCTGTAGCAGACACAGCGAGTTCCTGACCAAGTGGCACACCTCTTTCCCTTTCTAATGAAATGCAGTCTTCCTAAGGTGTTCACGCTCCTCCCTGTGACCTTAAGCTTCAAGGTTAGCAGCCCATCCCAACTCCAAAGAAGTCCAAATTGCCACGGACTCCGTTCCTGGCAGGCACAGATGTAGACATAAGCGTGAGCGTTAACTCCATCAGGCGGGAACTGAGGAGAGGTTTTTGATTCTGATTTCTTTGCTGATAAGGTGGGACATGGAGAAAGATCTTTCCACCTTTTCCATGGATTTTGTCAAGGGAGAGCCTGGCTGTGCTTGAATGAGGTGCCTGGGGTGGGTGCAGGCCTGAGAAGTGCCAGCCTGAGGCCAAGGCAGTGCCCGGGGGATGCAGGAGGAGAGAGGAAAAAAGCTGGGCTCTGTGCCCACTGACTTCAAAGCCTGGGAAACAGACCTCTTTGGGATTTTTTCTTACTTCAGATTAAAACAAATAATTTCACATATTGTCGAAGATGGTTAGGTGGGCATTTTCTGTGACTGGCAGCCAAGCACAGTCCACTGCAGGTGCTGACTTGACTGATCAAACACAGGTTTGCAGAGAGAGGAACAGAGAGGCCATACCAGGCCATCTGTTCAGGGATGTAGAGCAGTGTGGATGTGACAGCATGCAGAGAAGTAACATGACTACATTTCTCAACTCCAGGCACCTAATAATCTACAAGAGAAAGCATTAAATATAAAACACCACAAACACAGAAAACACAAACACCACACATCAGATTCAGTGAAGATCATAGGGATTTCCGAAAATGAACAAAGGCTAAAGAAACTTGCCCGATTCCCCAACACATAAAACCAACCTACAATAAGGCTAACCCTACCTCTAACCTTACCCTACCCTAAATCTAACCCTACTCTAGCCCTACCCCAGCCCTAACCCTACCCTAACCTTAATCCTAATCCTAACCCTAACCTAACCTAACCCCAACCCTAACCTAACCCTACCCTAACCCTAACCTAATCCTAACCCTAACCTGAATGCTAACCCTACCCTAACCTGAACCCTAACTATGTGAGATGCAGAAATCATCTCCTTGCTTTGCATTCTTTGCCTGCAGGACACGGCAACATTTCACCCCCTTGTGAGCCTTCGGGATGATTTTACACGTGAGGGAGGGATCTGTAACCATTAGCAATTCTTTATTATCAAAGACACAACTTTACATATACATTCACATAGGCCTAGCAGGGCCCCCTGGCCTGCAGGTGGCACAGGACAGGGCATGTGCTGACTCCACACTGAATCCCCACATCTCCTGCATGGCATGGCTTAGCACACCTGTGTTTGAAAACTCAGGTTCGTTTCCTCAATGTTTTTCACGTCATCAAGGGCATAGCTCCTTAGACCCAAAAGCTGTGCCTTTGCCTGACCCGGCGTAAGAAGCCTATGCACTTCCTGATATGTTTTCTCCTCTGTTTGCTTCTAATGTCTCCGGATGAAATCATTGAGTCATTTTTAATCACTGTAAAACATCAGAGAATTAACTTGGAAAACATGGGAAGACCTTGGTGAAAAAGGAAATCCTATGAAGTGTAAAGAATTTTTGAGCAAAAATGAGTGAGACTATTAATGTTTGAAAATGATGAACTTGGCAGAAACACTACAACATTTTCATTTTTAACAGCATTATCAGAAACACACTCTGAAAACATGCACAGAACTCAGGACCTTACTGTGAATAAAGCTGAAATTGAGCAAAGGCATTTATACCCTCAGGAGGGATTTCTTCAGCGTTTTAAATTGTTTTTTCTTTCTTCCTAGTAAGTCGTGAGTTCAAGATTTACTACAACAAAACTAACTCATGCAGAACTGTACACCCCTGTCATAATTTCAAACTGCCCGTGAGATACCAGGTGTGTCTGCGGTACATATGAGCGTGCTTGTATGCACAACCGAATTATAATTTAGTTCAAGAAGACATGACTTCAATCCCCAGCAAAGAGTTTTCAGCTGCTGTAGGTTGTCTGTCTTGCTCTGTTTGGGTTTTTAAGGTTGGAGCGTCTCCAGGATCATTGTTTAAATAAGACTGTGCTCAGACTCAACTTTCAGCTTTTTCTGTAAAGGGAGTCGAGATGAGGCTGTGGGCACCGAATGTCATGAATCAGGAGACGGTCGGTGACCTCGGGCCGGTTCTAGAAGCCCAATGCCAGTGCAAAGAGGAAAGAGCAGGAAAGAGATGGCCTTTTCCATGCAGCCATTTCTTTCTCACTTCCCAACGGTTCACATGAACGACGCCGGAAGCCCACGGAGACTCCACTCTCCCAACAGTCGACTTCTGAATCTGATTTTTAAAATGCCAACAGCTTCCACTCTCCCAGCTGATTTAAAAAAAAAAATTATTATAATCAATGTGCTTGAATCCTGCACACACTCCTATCCAGTGAGGGACGCTCAATGGTGCTGCTGGGGCCAATCTGAGACCACAGCAAAACAGCCATTGTCCTGAGAATGTTTTATGACGTAACGATATGGTGTCTTTTACATACTTTTTTCTGTTCTGGAAATAAGGGAAATTGAAATTGGTTTCTAATTAACTTAAGTTCTTCACCAACCTCAGTATCAAAAAAAAAAAAAAAAAAAGAAAGAAATGTTTTTGTCTTTAGGCCACAATATACTTTTAAAATATGTTGAAGACCCTATGAGCTTTTGTCTGTATGGGTTATACCTATAAATATTTACTGTATTAAAGTTAAAGCCGATACAATCTTAGAATATGTGTTAATCCACTTAAGAATAACAATGATAAATTATTACTTTTTAAGCTCTCCATGAGAAATCACTATATTTTTAAAAAACATTTCAGTGAGAAGAGACGTGTTCCTTTGGACCTTGCTTCTGGGGAGACAGCTGGGTCCTCACAGTCCTGCAGTATAAAGTCTCATGCTGTCTGTTGTTCCAATTGAAATATATGAAGAAAACAAGGACTTACACAGCCACGTGGTTGGAAAAAAGAGAAGCATATCAATTGCCTTTTCAGATAGTTGTGAATATCCCCCTTTGATACTACACGAAAACATGACAAGTGTTTGCATCTTAAAGGTTACTTACACACAGTGTGAAATCCAAAACCATGTCAACAAACATTCTGTGGTCTCTTGGTTTCTCTTGCACTTGGAATAAGCCTTTCACCCATCAGTGATGATTTTGTAATGTCATGCATGGGTCATCTGGAAAATACTGGTTCTGAGCCCTGCAGCGGACACATCTCATTGTACCATATTCCATCGTTGCATTCATCAGTATCACCACCAGTTCTGTCTGAAAGGCCTTTAAGAACCGGAAAGGTCTTAAGCCGATTGTGGTAGATAGAAATTTCAAAAATTCACATTTTTACTGGAAAAATCAAATGTCATTGGCAACAAATCGTCCAGTTTTTCCTTGAAGCAAGAAGCCACGTCTTTCATTTTCTTGTTTGTTTGTTTTTGAGAAAAAGTCTCACTCTGTCTCCCAGGCTGGAGTGCAGTGGCACGATTTCAGCTCACTGCAACCTCCACCTCCCAGGCTCAAGTGATTCTCCTGCCTCAGCCTCCCAAGTAGCTGGGATTACAGGTGCCCGCCACCACACTCAGCTAATTTTTGTATTTTTTAGTAGGGACAGGGTTTCACCATGTTGGCCAGGCTGGTCTTGAACTCCTGACCTCAGTTAACCCACCCGCTTTGGCCTCCCAAAGTGCTGGGATTACAGGCGTGAGCCACTGCTCCCAGCTCTCTTTCACTTTCAAGGAAACCTTTGCCACGTACCCTCATCTCGACAGCCATGGTTTGTCAGGTGCCCTTTCCAGGGAAAATGGCATTCCATGGAAAAGGAACTGGCTAGTTTGGTTTCTAACTCAGAAGGCCTTACAAGTGTTCTTGTGGAGACACCCCTGCCCTCTGTGTAGATGCCCCGTGCCACCACAAAGAATCTTAGAAGGTGTGTGCTCAAGGGGGAGAGGTCACAAAATTAACCATTTTTCCTGCATCACCAAGTCCATTCTCAAGTGAAACTGCCTTTTGGATTCTTTTCACTGTGAACAGACTGTGATTACCGGCCCGGATGAGGGCTGCTGCCTTGATTTGGGCTCAGGTGCATTGCACTCACCACCGACTTTGCACCACTGGTGCAGACATCAACACTATTAGAAGGGCAATGGGCATCCTGGCATTATTATGAAACGGTTTTGATCTTGGGACCCTTTGTAAATGTGCTGGGGCCTCCCAGTCGAAGAATTGCTGGTCATGAGTGAGGGGGAAAATAAGCAGTTGCATTACTAAAACTCTTTCAGAACTTCAAGAAAAATAAAAATAACTCAGGCACAAGCCCAGTGATGTTGGGGAGATCTTTTAGCTACTGAAGCGGCTAAAATGTGTGATGTACTTTGCGAGCTTGGCCTAGAAATAACTGGTATATTAACTTACTTATAAAGGGTTTAGCAGCATCTGCAGTTTGAGGGAGTGTATCTGCCAAATTGCAAGTCAAATCAGAATAAGAGCCTGGTGTCTAATCTGACACTGGTGTCCTTCTGGTGGGAGTGAAGCAATGTGTTTGCTTGACTTACTTAAAGGGCTGGACCTGTACCTTCTACATTCAATGTCTTTGGCCCCACTGGTAGTGAGTGGGAAAGAGTGCATGCATCTCAGTACATTTGGAATTGTAGGTAATTTTAATAAAAACCATTACTCAATTCAAAACATGAGGAATATAGCTTGCATCCTACAGAAAACAAAATAGTTTAATTAAAATTTTAGAGAGTAAGATAAATGTCATGCGGCTAAAAATGAGTAAAATTTCTAAAATGTTAGTATGCAGGCAATACACATTTCAGACCACAAATCCATTTTTTTAAGCAAACAAAGACAATAAAAGGTAACAATGGCTAGAGCTGCAGTTAATCTTTAGAATTCAATTTATGCCTTGGCAGTTTGCGCTGTTTTTGGTGAACGCAGGTTTTTGAAAGCTTTTTGGCTTCAATTCAGGCAAAAGCAAAACAAGGCTGGAAATGTACAGTGTTATGAGACCCTCAGATTCGTGCCAGCTACAGCGACTCTCAGCTCATTTGTTTTAAAGGTTGTGCATCTGATTATAAGTATCTTTATAAGCTTTTTTTGGAACAGAATAGAGTAGGTTTGAAAACAGAAAGTAAATGCAACACTAATGTGTATTGATATTTTAAGAATATTGACATTTCATAACTAGTTTATTCAGAAATGCCTTACAAATTATTTGCAAGGTATTTTCAAGTCCTGTTTAGACTGGTTGTTGATTGCTTTATTTCTGTTTAATAAGCCATTAAGGGGACTACAGAACTGCGATATAATTATTTATTAAACCTTTCACAATGAAATGAGCACTTAGAAAGAGAGAACTGTCTTGGCTTTATCTTAACCAATAATTATAATGTATTTACCATGTGTTTTTTTATGTCACTGATGCATGGCAAATTGTACGTATGGTGGTTTCACATTTTATCCATAAGGGTGGTTATTTTAGAAATGTGCTAAATCTAATTAGAATGTATTCTATGTGTACATTGCCAAGAAAACCAACCACCAGCACAAAGCCCCACCCACCAGCCATTTGTTGCCCGATTTTATTCCAAAGGAGACAGGATCAATGTTAGGGCAGAAGATTGGGTGCCAGACTCAGGACCAAAACCAGACTATTTTCCCTGGGAAGCAGCTGGTGAGAAGAATCCGTGTACCCCTGCCCTGGGCACTGACCCCATGAGTTGGTGCCCTGCTGTGCTCTGTGCTCTCCTGTGCCAGCCGTGCCCATGCGTGGGCCGCCAGGCTCACCATGATAATTTTTGCGAAGCTCAGGGGCCCACTGGGCTTCCTAAAGAGACCCTTCCTAGTGTTGTACATCTGGGAAGGCCGGTCTCACCATTCATGTCTGCATCTCACGGTGGGTGTGGTGTGAATCAACACCGAAGAAAATGAATATTATAGGTGGGAAAATGAGGAGAACCCCCAAAACCTATACTACTGTTATAGCTAAAGATTTAAGGGTCTCTTCAAAACTAGACAAATGCAAGATAATGATTCACCACATACATCCGTAGTCAGGAAGAGACAGGGCAACCTGTGCGTGCATCTCAGCTCTGCCACGTAGCAGCTATGTGATCCTGGGGAAATTATATAACCTCTCTGAGCCCTTGCTTCCTCGTCTGTAAAATGAGGACCATGATGCTCATAGGCTTTTATAAGGATGAATGGAATGGTGTGCCTGGGAAGAGAGCTTAGCTCTACTGATCACCAATTGACTGTGCCTGGTCAATAATCGATGATCAATAAATGGCAGCAATAGGTCTCCTTGCCGCCTTTGGAGACCATAACATGTGAATCCCAACTTTCCCCTTGTCCTCACTTTGCGGCGAAGTACTACTGAGGCAAGCAGGGCCAGCTGACGTCCCGGCGCTTAGGGCAGGGCAGGGAGCCCTGCTGCCTCTCAGACCCTGCTGGTCCGGCAGGCCATGGCTGCCCCACTCCCTCCACTCACTGCACAGCCTGGAGACAAACACCTTCTGACAGGGGGCTTCCAAAATTCCTACATCACAGTGGCAGGACCGGCGCAGAGGAAAAAAAGTCTGATAGCGCAGCACTTCCCAGAGATCACCATGTTGTCCTCTCTCCTTTGGGTCTCTAAACACAGTATTTTATCAGAAAACCATCAATATGGGCTGCTGAGGAAGGGGCCACTGGCCCCTGTGCTCTGTAGCATGTTCTGGAGGGCTGGCAGCAGGCACCCAAGGAGAGAGCCTGAGCTCCATCACCGTGGGCGCCAGTGTGAGGCATGTGTTCACCTGTGGGCAGAAATCTGTCTCAGCCCTGGAAAGAAGAATGTATGCTTCCAATTTTTCTTTTAAGTTTCTTTACTGTGAAACATTTCAAACATATGCTAAAGGAGAAAGACTCACATGATGACCTCCCCTGAGCCCATCAGCCAACACAATTGTTAACAATTGGCCAGTCTCACTTCAACATGGCCCCTTTCACGTTTTACCCCTGCCAGGTTGTGAAGCTGATCCCTGGCCTCATCGTTCATCAGCAGTAACATTTCAGTGTTTCTCCCTAAAAGATCAGGGCTTTCAGAAAACATAAGCGGTATGACTATTGCACCTAAAAATTAACAGAATTCATTAGTGATTTCTTGGATATGATACCAAAAACATAAACAAAAGAAAAAATTGATAAACTGGACTACACCAAATTTAGAAACTTTTATGCATCAAAGGATATTATCAGCAGAGTGAAAGGGCAACATATGGAATAGGAGAAAGTATTTATAACTCATATAACTAATAAGGGATTAGTAACCAGAATATATAAAGAACTCCTACAGTTCAACAACAAAAACAACAAAAAACCACAACTGATTAAAACATGGTCAAAGGATGTGAATAGACATTTCTCCAAAGAAGATGTACAAATTTCCAATAAGCACATGAAAAGACGCTCAACACCATTAGTCATTAGGGAAGTGCAAATCAAAACCACGATGAGACACAGCCTCACATCCACTAGGATGACTATTATCAAGAAAAAAAAAAGAAGACAAGAAGTGTTGATGAGGAGGTGGAGAAACTGGAGGACTCGTACACTGTTGGTGGTGATGTAAAATGGTGGCACTGCTACAGAAAATAGTTCAGCATTCCTCAAAAACTTGAAAATAGAATTACCATATGATCCAGCAATTTTACTTTTAGGTGCACACTCAAAAGAACTGTAAGTAGGATCTTGAAGCAACAGCTGTACCCATGTTCACCACATCATTATTCCCAGTAGCCTAAAGACAGACATTACCCAGTGGCCCTCAGTGGGTGAACGATGTGGTGTATCCATACAATATTATTCAGCCCCCAAAAGGAAGAAAATTCTGACACGTGCCATAACACTGATGACTCATGAGGACATTGTGCTAAGTGAAACAGGCCAGCCACAAATGACAAACACTAAACGAGTGTTTGAGTCCACTCACATGGCGTCCCTCAAATAGTCACATTCTGAGAGACAGAAAGTAGAACAAGGCTGGGTGCAGTGGCTCACGCCCGTGATCCATGCATTTTGGGAGGCCGAGGCAGGAGGATCACCTCAGATCAGGAGTTTGAGACCAGCCTGGCCAACACGGTGAAACCCCATCTCTACTAAAAATACAAAAAACTAGGCAAGCGTGGTGGCAGGTGCCTGTAATCCCAGCTACTCAGGAGGCTAAGGCAGGAGAATTGCTTGAAGCAGGAGACGGAGGTTGCAGTGAGCAGAGATTGTGCCATTTCACTCCAGCCTGGGCAACAAGAGGGAAACTCTGAGAAAGAAAGAAAGAGAGAGAGAGAGAAGGAGGGAGGGAGAGGGAGCTGCCAGGGGCTGGCAGGGAGGGGGAGGGGGAGGGGGAGTCAGTGCTTGGTTGGGACACAGTTCCAGTTTGGTGAGCTTCAAAGTTCTGGAGATGGGTGGTGACAAAACACAATGGGACTGCACTTAATGCCACTGAACCGTACACTGAAAATGGTTAAATGCTAAATTTATGTTACATATTGCCACAATTTTTGAAATAAAAAATTTATAAAATGCAATAATAGTATCAAATATCCAGCCAATGTTTACAATTTCCCAATTGTCTTATAAATGCCTTTTTGTCCCCACTGGTTTGTTCAAATCGAGATGCAGCAAGGCACACAGGTCTCACGCGGCTGGTGTGTCCCTGACGATTCTCCTTGCCCCTGTTGCTCGTTTGTAGAAGAAATGAAGTCATTTGCCTGCACAGGTTTCCATCCTCTGCATTTTGCTAATCACATCCCCACCCACCATCCTGGGTGCTCTCTGCACACCCATCCCTGTTTCTTGAGCAAGGCTTCCCCGTAGGATTTCTGCAGGGGTGCGAACATCCCACATCTCTGTCCATGCAGTAGCCAACAGCCACGTGTGGCCATTGAGCCCTCGAAATGTGGCTGCTGCAGCTGAGGCACTGAGTTTTAATGTAATCTAATTATAAGGGATTTGATTTTAAATACCTTTGAAAAGCCAGTTCCAGGGCAGCGCAGGCCTAGAGGCATGACGGGACTCTAGCTCTGCCTTTTTCCATCCAAGAAGCATTGTGATGGGTCATTTCCTCTGTTGACATCAGATCTGCCTCCCGATGACGCTAGGCTACGAGCTGATGCTGGAGTCCCTCCTGGGTGGGAGGTACGGTCGCTGGCCATTTGTGTGTCCTGTTCATGCTCACAGCCCATCTCTGGGCATCTGGTTGTGAAGTCTCCATTGCACAGTTGAAAAGCAGAGGTACAAGACATTAAAACGCACATGCCAATCAGTGCTGGCGACAGCATCAACCCAGGCTGTCTCACTCCAGCCCCATGCTCTCAGCCGCTGCTCTCCTGCCTGGTTTAATCTGGTTTCCTCCCAAAGTGCTTATCTTCAGTGGCCCACCAGCAAAACCAGGGTCTTCTTGCTTTATCATCATTTATGTCACTCTCATAATTTCCTGAAGTTTGGAAGTAAACAAAAGTCTTAAAAATGCCTCTTCCCTCTTTCTCTCCACATCTACCCATTTCCCCAGCCTGCTGTTGGACTAAAATTCTGATATATGTTAACATTGACTTTATTGTTACCAGCCATCTGTTCTGTTAAAAAGAAAATCAACTCCTCAAGATTTTCTTATAGGCATAAGTGGATTGATTGATTTTCTTTTCTAGTCATTTTGCTTTGTTTTAAATGAGGGAACTGACAATCATGAAAATTTTAGCTAGCGCTCGTGCAAATGAGGTAAGCTGCTAGACCGCTGCCACCAGTCCACTGTTCTTGGGCAATGTGCTGCTTTGGAAACCCCAGCTGAGCATGTGCACAGCATCAGCAAACAGACAGGGGTTGCATGTGAGGGCTCACAACTGTCTCCTTGGAGACTTGACATTTGGTGCAAAAAGCAAAATGGCTTCACACGAGCTTTAGCTCTCACCTGTACATGTTCAGAAAGCAAAAAGCAGGCCCTTCTTTTCATGAGCAGTGGCCATGTGGCACCATGTCCCTCAGAAGTACATTCAAGCCCTGGCACGGTGCTGTCCTAACACTGTGACCTCAGGCAAGTCATGTCTGCTTCCTGAACCTCGGCTTCCTCACCTGACAAGTGGGTATCATGTGCTACACTGCAGTGTTTATAATGCTGCATCCCAGGAAGGACAGAGACTGTCTGTAGGTGAGGGGAGATGACAGGCTTGATTCTGCAGAAGAAGAATGTTACTGAAGCAAACAGAAAGGCCTGTCCAGCAATAACTAGCTCAAGTGGCTTCATCAAAGGAAATGTTCCCCTGTGCAGAGGGTCAGGTAGGGCTGACGGCACAGCAAGGAGGCAACTCAGGGTGGTCCCCACCTCCACGTCAGGAGCAGGGGGCTGTCAGCACGGAGGAATCTAGGCTGCCATGCAGCAGGTATCTTTGCAGTGGGAGAACCTCATGGTGTCACGGGCTGACTCTGCCTCTAAAATTCCTATGCAGAATTTTTAACCCCCAGTATCTCCGAGTGTGGACTTGTTTGGAGATAGGATCTCTACAGAGGTAGTCCAGGTAAAATGAGATCATTTCAAAGCATTCCTCAAAAGAAGACATACAAATGGCCGAAAGCATGGAAAATGTGCTCAACATGAGTGATCAGAAAAGTGTAAATCAAAATCACAATGAGATCCCACCTCACACCTGTTATCATGACCATTATCAAAAGGACAAGACATAGCAGGCGCTGGTGAGAATGTGGGGAAGGGGAAGCTCATACACTGTGGCTGGGAAGGTGAATCAGGACATGCAGCATTTATGGAAACAGTGTGGAGGTTCCTGAAAATGTCAAAAATAGAACTGATATGATCCCCTGTCCCACTAATGGGTGGCAGCCAAAGAAAATGAAATCAGTAGCTCAGGGAGATATCTGCACCCTCGAGTTTGTTGCGGCATGGCTCACAATAGCCAAGGCGTGTGCTGTGGTCTGAACGCCTGTGTCCCTCCAAAAGCCACGCACTGGAACCTAACACCAGGGTGACTGTGTGAAGAGGTGGGGCCTTCTGGGAAGTGATTAAGTCATGAAGGCTCTGAGCTCAGGAATGGGATCTGTGCCTCATAAAAGAGGCAGAAGGCAGCTGCCTTGCCCTCCAGCCACGCGAGGATACAGCCACGGGACTCCAGTCACAGAGCAGAGAGCAGCCCTCGGCAGACTCCACATCTGCAGGTGCCTTGGTCTTGACCTTCCCAGCATCCAGAACTATGTGAAATAAATTTCTACTGTTTATATTAATAAATGACCCCGTCTCAGGTATTTTGTCATAGCAGCCTAAATAGACCCAGATAACATGGAAGCAAACTAAGTATCCGTGAACAGATACATGGATAAAGAAAACGTGGCATCACATGCAACAGGATATTATTCAGCCTTAAATATGGATAGAAGGCCATGTTGTCACTCGCAACAATGTGGATGAAGCCGGAAGACATCATGCTATGTGAATAAGCCAGGCACACAGGGACGGGTCCTGCATGACGCTGCCTCTATGACCCGTTTAAAACAGTCCAACCCACAGGAGCAGACAGCAGCACAGTGGCCACCGGATCCAGGATGAGGGAGATGGGGAGACGCTGGGCGAGTGAGCTCATCACGGTGCCTAAACAGTTCACAGTGCCATGTCACACACTGGAAATTGGCCCAAGAGAACTTCTTCAGTGTTCTCACCACCAAAAAAAGAAAGAAAATGTTAACTGTGTAAGGAAATGGATGTGTAAATTAGCTTGATTTTGGTGATGATTTCACAATGTATATTAAGATATCAAATTATACACTGTGAATATATACAATTTTTCTCTGTCAGTTATACCTTAAGAAAGATGGAGGAAATTAAATAAATAAAATGAGATTGTTAGGGTGGGCCTAAGTTAATAAGACTAACGTCCTTCTCAGAAGAGGAAGTGTGGGCAAGTGCACGCGGGGAGAAGGTCTCTTGAACCTGGGGACAGCTACTTGCAGCCAAGGAGAGGTCTCCGCAGCAACACCCTGCAGACACCTTGGTCCTGGACTTCCAGCCCCCAGCACTGAGCGACAATCAAGTCTGCTGTTGAAGCCATGTAGTCTGTAGCACTTTGTTACAGTGGCCCCAGGGAGCTTACGGTGGCCAAACCAGAGAGGACGCCTGGCTTAGAACACAAGTCAGACCTGAGAGAGCAGTTTGCATAAAAAACTTTCGGAGATCGGGTTGCTGCTCCTGCCCCCGACCCCCTGCCTGGCCTCAGGCGCAGCCTCTGCCACCCCTGCTCCGCCGATACCCCTGGGTCCCAAGACCTGTGGCTCAGCCTGTCCACTTCCTCCCCACCCTGTGCAGCTGGCAGCCAGCACTAGTCCTTCTGCCAGAGCCCCAAGATTGGCACAGCCTGGGTGGTTCCTGGGGCCCAGCTGCACTGCAGTCCCTGGGGCCCAGTGCACATGGCAGCCCCTTGCTGGCCCTGGACTCACGGCCCTGAGGACTGCTGAGCCTTGGACAGCCCCTCTGCCCAGGCCTGGCCCCAGCCCCAGCAGCGAGCAAAGCCCTCAGCGAGTGAATGCACCCGCTAGAAACATGGCCCACCAGCGTCTGCTGGAGGAGGCCTCACGGACAAATCCATGGGAGTGGGCCCAGCCTGCTCAAGTCTGGGGCCTCCAGGCACAAGCCCCACAGCCCAGGTCACCCCTGGATGGAGTCCCCAGCCTAACTTTCTCTTTGCCCACCATGTCACTCAAATCACCCTTATACATTTTTCTCTCCTTCCATCTTTGTTTCCTTCCTTTTTTTCTGGGCTGGAGTGCAGTATGCATGATCTCAGCTCACTGTGACCTCTGCCTCCCGGGTTCAAGAGATTCTCCTTCCTCAGCCTCCCAAGTAGCTGGGATTACAGGTGCCCACCACCACGCCCAACTAATTTTTGGTATTTTTAGTAGAGACAGGGTTTCACCATGTTGGCCAGGCTGGTCTCAAACTCCTAACCTCGTGATTCACCCGCCTCGGCCTCCCAAAGTGCTGGTGTGAACCCCCGCGCCCGGCCTCTTCTCCTTCTTTTTGCCTTAAAGAATATTAGAGACTCGCCGGCTTGGCATGGTAGCTTACGCCTGTAATCCCAGCACTTTGGGAGGCCGAGGGGGGGTGGATCACAAGGTCAGGAGTTCAAGACCAGCCTGGCCAATATGGTAAAACCCCATCTCTACTAAAAATTCAAAAATCAGCCGGGCGTGGTGGCAGGCGCCTGTAGTCGCATGTACTCGGGAGGCTGAGGAAGGAGAATTGCTTGAACCTGGGAGGTGGAGGTTGCAGTGAGCCAAGATCACGCCACTGCACTCCAGCCTGGGTGACAGAGTGAGATGCTATCTCAAAAAAAAAAAAAAGAATATTAGAGACTCCCAGGTAACAAGACTGTGTCTTATTTTCCTTCGGTGCCCTATAAAGCAGGGTCCTCAGAAACACTTACATTGATGTTTACCTTGCTGGTCAGATGTTTACCTTGCAAAGCCCTGGCACTCCAGGCAGAACTGGCCGTGCCTAGTGGCCAGCGAGGTATGGCTGGAATGCGGCTGGTCCCGGCGCTTTGCCTCCCTGCAGAGGTCCTGTGTGGAATACGTCCCCCTGCGAAGCAGCCAGGCCCCAGCTTCCCCCACCCGTCACCCTCCTCCTCAGCCCGAGGTTTGCCCACTGCCTCCCTGCGTTCCCCGGAGTGTTCACGGATCAGAGCTCGTGGCTCTCGGTCAGATCTAGAGTCTGAGGTTGAGGGAGCTCGGTGCTGGTGCCGAGTGGAGCGAGACTGTAACAGAAGCCCCTCAGGCAGGGAAGCATCTCCCATTTGTGCAGAAGCATGATTTTCTTCAGCCTGTGGCATGTGATCTTGACGTCCGTGCCACTCTGGGGGCTCAGAACGGTCTGTGCCATGTCTTCATGCAGCGGTGGAAAATGCCCCATCTGAGTCCCTAATGACGTGCGCCTATGGACAGTTGTTCCTTGACCACCCAAAGTGGGACACTGTCAGAGCCAAGACACAGGTGAAGACTGAAACGCGAGCCTCCATGCGGGGAGAATTTCAGCACCTTTAGTTCTCCTGAGGAGGGTGAATTAGCCTGGATCAGCGTTGGTTTTAGTGATTTTTGTGTGGGGTGCATTCGTGATTTCGGAAGCACAGCCCCTTTAAACACCATGCCTCCCACGTTTGGTTTCCTTGGGTTTGGGCCCAGATAACTCCTGTGCTGAGTGCGGGGCCTGTCCCAGAGGTGATGCCTGCCCTCCTCCCGCAGCGAGGACCCACAGGCCTCACCTAATTTGCAAGAGGGCACCTCGTTCCCCAGGGTCCAGGGCTGTACGGCACTCAGAAGGTGGCTCACCAGAGTCTTCCTCCTCCTGCCCCCCTCCAGTTCCAACGATGAACCTCAGAGGGATTCCCCTGTCAGAGGGTATGTGATCCTACAGAGACGCTGTGCCTCAAAAGGCTCACTACAGTACATCGGAATGTCCTCTAGAAGGTTGTAGAAGATTCCACTTGTGCGGACAGGCAAGAGCTTGGAGAACACATCCAAGATATTTCCTCAGAGTGGCAGTTACCTAACGAAGAGGTTCTTAAAAGAAAGGGGTCCTAATGCTTTATGTAGGATCTATGTTATCGAGCAAAGGGGTTTTCCAGAACAAATCGACCCAGCCTCCCATGAAGTGAGTGTGAAACTGTCTCTCTTCTAAAGATTCACAAGAAAAGATTGTGGCTTTCCTGGGAGACGGCGTACGGACAGGACAGGAGTCAGGGAACGCATGGTCACCACAGCAAGTGCAGCCATCCCCCTTATCCTGGGGGTGACGTTCCAAGACCCCCAGGGGACACCTGAAATGGTGGATAGTACCAAGCCCTACAGACACGATGTTTTCCCTATGCAAACACCCCCCGATACAGTTTAATTTATAAATTAGGCACAGTAAGAGATTAGCAATAACTAATAATAAAATAGAATAATTATACCAATATGCTGTTCCCAATTTCAGAGATAGAAGATTCCATCTGACTGGACATCTTGGCATCCTGAGCTTACCTTTTTTTTTTTTTTTATTAAGTCGAGAACTTCACTTTTCACTTAAAGGGGCACCTTCTGGCTTCTCTTTGGTGTACCCACATTGCCAGCCTCACTGCTCTTGTGCTTTGGGGCCATGATGAAGTCAAATGAGGGTTCCTTGTACTCAAGCACTGCGACCCCTGGACCGTGGATCTGATAACCAAGAGGCCATAAGAGGGGCGGGGAGCGTCCGCAGCCTGGAGACGCTGGACGAAGGGAGGGTTCAGTCCCGGGAGGGACCAAGCGGGCGGTGCCAGATTTCACCACGCTCCCCAGAAGGGTGCACAAGTTAAAACTTGGGAATTGTTTATTTCTGGAATTTTTTTTAATTTAATATTTTCTGACTGAGGTTGTGACCGCAGGTAATTGAGAGCTTGGAAAGCAAAACTAAGGCTAAGTGGAAATGACTATTCTTCCTTTCCCCGGAAGTGGGGTTGTTGCGAGTTCCTAAACCACCACCTGATTCTTCTGCTTCCACTTCATCTCACGCACTCGCCAGGAGCCCCGGCTTCAATCCAGCGCCCCACATCATCATTCCACTGAGGAAACCTCAGATCCATAGCCTTTCGCGTCTTGTGCTTGCTTTAAAGAAAAAAGTAAAAGGCCTTTCAAATATTTTTAAGGAAGAATGAAGTTTTAAAATTACATCAAATGCATCAACTTATGTGCAAACCAAATGTCTGCATTTATACATTCTAATCAGAAGTTGATTATCGTGGTCATTGACCTACCCTGGAAGAGGCGGTTATTTTCCACCTATTTAAGGCCACACATGCTTCCTGAGCATCAAACACTTTGCCGCTTTGTTTGTTGCAATAGAATATGACTTTATTGACTATAGCCCTCATGCAGACGTTAGGTCTCTAGACTTACTCTTCCTGTCAATCTTCCACTTTGAATTCATTGACTCACTTCTCCCCGTCCGCCCTGGCATTGGAAACCACTGTTGTATTCTCTATCTCTGAATATTTGAACTGTAATTTTTTAAGGGTTCCACATATAAGTGAGATCACGCATTACTTTTCTGTCTCTGGCTTACTTTGCTGAGCATCATGTCCCCCAGGTCTATTCAGGTTGTGGCAAATGGCACAACCTCCTTTTCTAAAGCTAAATACTGTTCCATTGTGTATATAGACCAGGGTTTCTTATCCCTGGCACCCTCAGTGTTGACAGACACTTACGCTATTTCGGTATCCTGCCTACTGTGAGTAACGCTGCGGTGGTCACAGAAGTGCCCACTGGGAGCAATGCTGCGGTGGTCACGGAAGCGCCTACTGGGAGTAACGCTGCGGTGGTCACGGAAGCGCCCACTGGGAGTAATGCTGCGGTGGTCACGGAAGTGCCCACTGGGAGTAATGCTGCAAGGGTCACGGAAGTGCCCACTGGGAGTAATGCTGCGGTGGTCAAGGAAGCGCCCACTGGGAGTAACGCTGCGGTGGTCATGGAAGTACCTACTGGGAGTAACGCTGCAAGGGTCACGGAAGTACCTACTGGGAGTAACGCTGTGGTGGTCACGGAAGCGCCCACTGGGAGTAACGCTGCGGCGGTCACGGAAGCGCCCACGGGGAGTAACGCTGCGGCGGTCACGGAAGCGCCCACGGGGAGTAACGCTGCGGCGGTCACGGAAGCGCCCACGGGGAGTAACGCTGCGGCGGTCACGGAAGCGCCCACGGGGAGTAACGCTGCGGCGGTCACGGAAGCGCCCACGGGGAGTAACGCTGCGGCGGTCACGGAAGCGCCCACTGGGAGTAACGCTGCGGCGGTCACGGAAGCGCCCACTGGGAGTAACGCTGCGGCGGTCACGGAAGCGCCCACTGGGAGTAACGCTGCGGCGGTCACGGAAGCGCCCACTGGGAGTAACGCTGCGGCGGTCACGGAAGCGCCCACTGGGAGTAACGCTGCGGCGGTCACGGAAGCGCCCACTGGGAGTAACGCTGCGGCGGTCACGGAAGCGCCCACTGGGAGTAACGCTGCGGCGGTCACGGAAGCGCCCACGGGGAGTAACGCTGCGGCGGTCACGGAAGCGCCCACTGGGAGTAACGCTGCGGCGGTCACGGAAGCGCCCACTGGGAGTAACGCTGCGGCGGTCACGGAAGCGCCCACTGGGAGTAACGCTGCGGCGGTCACGGAAGCGCCCACTGGGAGTAACGCTGCGGCGGTCACGGAAGCGCCCACTGGGAGTAACGCTGCGGCGGTCACGGAAGCGCCCACTGGGAGTAACGCTGCGGCGGTCACGGAAGCGCCCACTGGGAGTAACGCTGCGGCGGTCACGGAAGCGCCCACTGGGAGTAACGCTGCAAGGGTCAGGGAAGTGCCCACTGGGAGTAACGCTGCAAGGGTCAGGGAAGTGCAGGCTGTAAGAGGTGGTGATTTCATCTTCTTTGGGTCTATCGCCCACTTGCAGAAAAGCATGTTTCTTCAGCCTGTGGCACATGATCCTGATTTCCGGGCCAATTTAGGGGCTCAGGAGGGTGAGCAGAGCACACAGAACATGGACTGCTGGGTCATATGCTAGTGCAATTTTGTAATTCATTTAGGAACCTCCATACCGCTTCCCATAAGGGCTATACCAATCCACATTCCCACCCAGTGTGTACCAGGGTTCCCTTTACACTCTCGCCAACATTTGTTACCTCCTGTCTTTTTCAAAATAACCATCCTGATGGATGCCAGGTGGTATCTCATAGTGATTTTAAGTTGCTTGCTTCTGATGATTAGTGAGATTGAGCACCTTTTCATATACCTGTTGGGCATTTTTCTGTCCTTTTTAGAGAAATGTCTGTTCAGGTTCTTTGCCTGTTTTTTAAATTGGGTACTTGTTTTTCAACTGTTGAATTGTATGAGTATTTATAAGTTTTGTATAAATTAACCCTTGTTTAGGTATGTGATTACCAAATGTTTTTTCCTTGTCAGTAGGCTGCCTTTTCATTTTGTTGATTGATCCCTTTGCTGTGCTGAGGTTTTTTAGTTTTAGGTAGTCCTATTTATTTCTTTTTGCTTTTGTAGCCTGAGCTTTTGGTGCAATGCCCAAAAAAATAATGGCAATGCCAATATCCAGAAGGTTTTTCTCTATGCTCTCTTTTGGGAACTTTATGGTTTCTGGTCTTACGTTTAAGTCTTTCATGCATTATAAGTTGATTTTTGTTAACTATGTAAGATAAGGATGCAATTTCTTTTTTTTCTTTGTGTGTGTGTGTGTGTGTGTGTGTATGTGTGGTAAAAAAAAAAACCCCCACTGGAAAGCCAGTGTTTCCAGCATCATTGATTGACAAGACTTTCCTTTCCCCTTTGCATCCTCTTGGTGCTCTTGTCGAAAATTCACTAACCATATTATATTTGGATTTATTTTGGGGCCCTTCATTCTGTTCCATTGGTCTATGTTTCTGTTTTTATTCCAGTATGATTCCTATAGCTTTGTAATATAATTTAAAATCAGAAAAATTAGCCAGGCCTGGTGGTGGGCACCTATAGTCCCAGCTACTCTGGAGGCTGAGGCAAGAGAATGGCATGAACCTGGGAGGTGGAGCTTGCAGTGAGCCGAGATCGTGCCACTGCACCCCAGCCTGGGTGGCAGAGAGAGACTCCATCTCAAAAAAATAAATAAATAAAAATAAAATCAGAAAGCATGACACCTCCAAATTTGTTTTTATTTCTCAGTATTGCTTTGGTGGTTCAGGTTTTTTTTGTGGTTCCACACAAACTGCAGGATTGTTTTTTGTTTCTGTGACGAATGCCATTGGAATTTTGATAGGGATTGTGCTAAATCTGTATATTGCTTAGTAGCATGGACATCTTAACAATATTAATTCTTCCGATCCACAAACAGGAGATATCTTTCCATTTATTTGTATCTTCTTCAATTTTTTTCATCAGTATTTTATAGTTTTCAGTGTAAATCTTTGACCTCCTTGACTAAGTTTATTCCTAAGTATTTTACTTTTTGATGCTGTCATAAATTGAATTGTTTTCTTGATTTCTTTTTGAGCTAGGTTGTTATCTGTGTACATAAATACAACTGATTTTTGTATGCTGATTTTGTATCAGATGCTGACTGCAGGAGCAATCAGACAAGAAAAAGAAATGAAAGGCATCCACATTGGAAATGAAGAAGTCAAGTTATCTTTATTTGCGGATGGCATGACCCTATATATAGGAAACCCTAAAACTTTTTTCTTTTTTCTTGTCTGATTACTCCTGCAGTCAGCGTGTCTGATTGCTCTTCCAGTACTATGTTGAATAGACGTGGCAAGAGTGGGCATCTATGCCTTGTACCAGATCTTAGTGGAAGTGCTTTCAGTTGTTCCCTGTTGATTATGATGTTAACTACAGGTTTAAGGACCTTTCCTTCTGTACTTAAACCATTGAGAGTTTTTATCAAGAAAAGATGCTAAACTTCGTCAAATGCTTTTTTTGTGTCACTTGAAATGATCCTGTGGTTTTTTATCTTTCATTCTGTTAATGTGACATATCACGACGTATCACATTGATTGATTTGTATGTGTTAAACCAGCCGTGCATGCCAGAGATAAATCCCACTTGGTCATGATATGTAACCTTTGTGGTGTCACATTGGATTTGGTTTACTAATATTATATTGAGGATTTTTGCATCAATGTCCATCAGAGATACTGACCTGCGGCTCCCTTTTGTTATACTGTCCTTGACTTAGGTATTAAGGTGGTGCTGGCCTCATAAAAGATATTGGGAATTATACCTTTCAGATCTGTGTTTTGGAAGACTTTGAGATGTGTTAGTAATACTCCTTCCTTGGATGTTTGAGGGACGTCAGCCATGAAGCCATGTGGTCCTGAGTTTTTGTATGTTGGAAGGTTTGTAATTACTTTTTCAATCTCTTTGTTATTGGCCAAGCTTTCTATTTCTTCATGATTCAATTTTGGTAGGTAATTTTCTTCTAGAAATTTATCCATTTTCTTTAGGTTACCTAATTTTTGGCATATAATTGTTCATAATAGTCCCTTATGGTTTTTTTTTTATTTTTGCGGTGACTCCATTTTATTTTCTGATATTATTTGAGTTCTCTCTCTCGCTCTTTCTCTCTCTCTCTCTCATCTAGCTTATGGTTTGCTAATTTTGTTTATTGTTTCACAGAACCAACTATTGATTACATGAACTTTTTCTATGGGTTTTCTGTTTTCTATGTGATTTATTTTTGTTCTGATCTTTATATGTCCTGCCTTCTGCTAACTTTGGGTTCAGTTTTTCATCTTTTTCTAGTTTTTTGAGGCATAATATTAGCCTATTTATTTGGGATCTTTCTTCTTTTTAATGTAGGCATTGTTGCTATAAACTTCCCTCTTGCTTTTGCTGCGCCCCAGAGGATTTGATATGTTAAGTTTCTACTGTCAGTTGTCTCAAGGTATTTTTTAATTTCACTTTCAATTTCTTCTTGGACCCACTGGTTGTTCAGGAGCATGTTGTTTAGTCTTTACATATTTATGAATTTTCTGAGATTCCTCCTGTTATTGATTTCTAGTTTTACACCACTGTGGTCAGAAACAACACTAGATACAACTCCAATCTTCTTAAATTGGTTCTGTCAGGCTTTAGAATCACCTAGATCAATGCATGAAGATATTCTCTCTCTAGCTCACACAGCTCGCCATCCTACATAAGGAGCCCCACTCTAGCCACAGGAGGAGAATGCCATGAATGCCAGCTCCTTGTTAATCCCATGAACTTCCCAAGTTCCCATGGATTGCCACTCTGTACAAATTAGAAATAATAGTTCATAGTGCTTATACCCAATAAATAGACTCAGATATGCATAAAGCCTCAAACACAATAGAAAGGGACTTCCATTTACATAAGATGATTGAAATGACAAAATCACAGAGATGGAGAACAGATTCGCAGTTGCCAGGGGTTAGAGAAAGGAGGAGGAATCTGTGTGGGATAAGGGAGAAGCCCGAGAAACCAAGTTCTCTATCTGGATTGTGGTTGTGGTGACACAAAGATACACACAAAATAAAATTGCATAGAGCTATGTAGACATGCACATGTGTGCAAACACACACATACATCCATGAGAGCCTATATAACTGGCAAAAACTGAAAAAGCCCTGTGGATTTATCACGTTCAACTTCCTGGTATTGATAATATACTGTAGTTACGCAGGGGACCTCCCTTTGCATTTCTTTGCAACTTTCTGTGAATCGGTAATGATTCCAAAATAAAATATCAAAAAAGAGTGATGAAGACAGAGGGCTCTTCCAGGACATAAAGTATGAGAGGGTTTCATCTCAGGAAGACTATCATATTCTTTTATGTTTTCATTGAGGCCAAACATACTATACATCCTGTAGAGTCTCAAAGTGCATGAATTGTAGATGATTGCTGGAAATGTCTGCACGGGATGAGACCCCAGTAGCCACCGGCACTTTACAAAGCTTCCCTCCTGCCCCTCCCCCTCATTGTCACTCCCCTCAAAAAAAACCCACTGTGCTCACTCCATGGCTAATGATTCGTTTTCCCTGATCTTGAACTTCATACATGCAGAATCAGAGTGTGCAGAATCAGGCTCACCCATGCCTGGCTTCTTCAACTCAGCATGTTGGAGATTCATCCGTTGGTTTAATGTAATAATCATTTGTTCTTTTTTATTCCTCACTTGTGTTCCATTCTAAGAACATACCACAATTTACTTAGCCATTCTCTTGTCAACACGTTATTTGTGTTATTTTCAGTTGTTTGTGCTCATTTCTCTTACATAAATCCCCGGGTTTAGGAGGGATTATCTTAGCTTTGTAGTAAATACAGGGATATCTCATTTTATTGCATTTTGCAAATATTACATGTTTTAAAAATTGAAGTTTTGTGGCAGCCCTGCATCGAATAGGTCTTTTGGCTCCATTTTTCCAACAGTATGTGCTCACTTTGTGTCTCCATGTCACATTTTGATATTTCTTGCAATATTTCAAGCTTTATTATTATTATTATATCTGTTACAATGATCTGTGATCAATGATCTTTGACGTTACCACTGTTAACTATTTTGGGGCACCATAAACCATGCCCATACAGGAGCAAACTTAATAAGTGTGTGTATTCTGACTCCTCTACGACAGGCTGTTCCCAGTCTCTCTCCCTCTACTCAGGCCTCCAAATTCCCTAGAGCAAAACAATATTTAAAAGTGAAGTCACTTAATAGCCCAACAATGGCCTCTAAGTGTTCAAGTGAAAGGAAGGGTTGTACATCTTTCACTTTAAACTAAAAGCTAAAAATCATTGAGCTTAGTGAGGTTTGACATAAGCTTAAATAATTCAGCTAACGTCAAAAGCCGAGATAGGCCAAAAACTAGGTCTGTGGCACCAAACTGCTAACCAAGTGGTAAGTGCAAAGGAAAGGTTCTCGAAGGAAATGAAAAGTGCGAGTCAGCGAACACAGGAACGCTTATCATTCAAAACACACTTACTGCTGATATGGAGAAAGTCTGAGTGGTCTAGAGAGAAGACCCACAGCCACAGCATTCCCTGAAGCCAAAGCCTAATCCAGAGCAAGGCCCAAGTCTCTTCAGTTCTATGAAGGTTGAGAGAGGTGAGGAAGCTGCAGAAAAAAAGTTGGAAGCTAGCAGGGGTTTAGTTCATGAGGCTGAAGGAAAGAAGCCATCTCCATAACATAAAAGTGCAAGGTGAATCAGCATGTGCTGATGGAGAAGCTGCAGCAAGCCATTCAGAAGATCCAGCTAAGATCATTGATGAAGGTGGTTAGACTAACAACAGATTTTCAATGTAGATGAAGCAACCTTATATTGGAAGAAGATGCCATCTAGGACTTTCATAGCTAGAGAGGAGAAATCAATGCCTGTCTTCAAGCTTCAAAGGCCAGGCTGACTCTCTTCTCTGAGGCTAATGCAGCTGGTGACTTCAAGTTGAGGCCAATTCTGATTTACCGTTCCAAAAATCCTAGGGCCCTTACGAATTATGCTAAGTCTACTCTGTGGTGTATATGTTGAACAACAAAGAATAGATGATAGCATGTCTGTTTACAGCATGGTTTACTGAATATTTTAAGTCCATTGTTAAGACCTACTGCTCAGAAAAAAGATTTTTTTCAAAATATTAGTGCTCATTGACAATGCATCTAAGTTACTCAAGAGCTCTGATGGAGATGTACAAGGAGATTCATGTTGTATTCATGCCTGCTAACATAACGTCCATTCTGAAGCCCATGAATCAAAGGGTCATTTTAATTTTTCGGTCTTAGTATTTAAGAAATACATTTTATAAGACTATAGCTGCCATAGATAATGATTCTTCAGGTGGATCTGAGCAAAGTACATTGAAAACCTTCTAGAAAGTATTCATCATTCTAGATTCCATTAAGAACATTTGTGATTCATGGAAGGAAGTCAAAATGTCAGCATTAACAGGAGTTTGGAAGAAGGTGATTCCCACTTTTATGGATGATTTTGAGGGTTCAGGACTTCAGTAGACAAAGGAACTACAGATGGGGTGGAAATAGCAAGAGAAGTAGAATTAGAAGAGGAGCTTGAAGATGTGACTGAACTGCTGCACTCTCATGATAAAACTTGAATGGTGAAGAGTTGCTCCTTATGGATGAGCAAGGAAAGTGGCCTACTGAGATGGAATCTACTCCTGATGAAGATGCTATGAACATTGCTGAAATTACACAAAGGATTTAGAATATTCTACAAATTTAGTTGATAAAGCAGCAGCAGGGTTGGAGAAGACTGACTCCAATTGTGAAAGAAGTTCTATGTTGGTAAAATGCTATCAAACAACATCACATGCTACAGAGAAATCTTTCATAAAAAGAAGAGTCAATTAATGCAGCAAACTTCATTTTCTTGTATTAGGAATATTTGTGAGGCCACAACCACCTCAACCTTCAGCAATTACCACCCTGATCAGTCAGCAGCCATCAACATTCAGGCAAGACCAGAAAAGAAGATTACAATTTGTTACAAGCTAAGATGATCATTACCATTTTTTAGCAATAAAAGTATTTTTAACTGAGGTATGTACATTGTTTTTTAGACACAATGCAATTACACACTTAATAAACTACAGCATAGTGTAAACATAGCTTTAATATGCAATGGGAAACCAAAACATTCAAGTGACTCCTTTTACTGTGATATTTGCTTTATCGTGGTGGTCTAGAACTAAACCTGGAATCTGTAGGGTCTGCCTGACCTGCATCTCTAGGGTCTGCCTGACCTGCCAAACAGGCTGTCAAGACGATTGTCCCAGCTTACACTGTGGTCTGTACGCGTGAGTGTGTGTGTTTCAGAATAGGTTATGTTTTCACATGGTTCAATATCAAAACAATGTCAATAGGTATAGGTGAAAAATGTTGTAATTTTCCCCATGCTCACATCCACCCCTGCCCCTGCCCTCAGGTTACCACTCAGTTTCTTATGTATCCTTCCTGAGTTTCTTGGTGTAAACAGGAGGAAATATAAGTATTTATGCTTATTCTTATTTTCCCCACTTCCTTCCACACCTTTCTGTACCATCCTATTCCACTAAATATTATATTCTGGAGATTCATCCTTATTTCCAGCAGAGAGCTTTCTCATTCATTTTTACAGCTTCATATTTTGTTTATAATAAAATATACTATTCAATCATCTTTTATCTTTTATTAATGACACTAGGTGTATTAGTCTGTTTTCATGCTGCTGATAAAGATATACCTGAGACTGGGTATAAAGAAAAGAGGTTTACGGCATTTTTCTTTTTTTTTCTTTTCTTTCTTTTTTTTTTTTTTGAGACGGAATCTCGCTCTGTTGCCAAGGCTGGAGTGCAATGGCGCGATCTTGGCTCACTGCAATCTCTGCCTTCTGGGTTCACGCCATTCTCCTGCCTCAGCCTCCCAAGTAGCTGGGACTACAGGTGCCCACCACCATGCCTGGCTAATTTTTTGTATTTTTAGTAGAAACGGGGTTTCACCATGTTAGCCAGGGTAGTCTTGATCTCCTGACCTTGTGATCTGCCTGCCTCAGCCTCCCAGGTAGCTGGGATTACAGGAGCCGACCACCACACCCGGCTACTTTTAGAAAAGAGGTTTAATGGACTCACAGTTCCACGTGACTGGTGAAGACTCACAATCATGGTGGAAGGCGAAAGGCACATCTGACATGGCAGCAGGCAAGAGAGAAATGAGAATCAAGAGAAGGAGGTTTCCCTTATAAAACCATCAGATCTCATGAGATTTATTCACTACGAGAACAGTATGGGGGAAACTGCTCCCATGATTCAATTACCTCCCACTGGGTCCCTCCCACAACACGTGGGAATTATGGGAGCTACAATTCAAAATGAGATTTGGGTGGGGACACAGCCAAACCATATCACTAGGGCTGTTTCTAATGATTTGCTTATTCACACAATGCCATAATGAATACCTTTACACCCATGAAGGTGTATCGTTAGGATACATCCCCAGAGGTAGGCTTGCATCTGTAGTTAAATAGATATCGCTGAATCACCCTTCAGCATGCACTCTCATCCACGATGTACATATTGTCTTCCCACACCGCAGGGCATATTGTCCAAATTTTTCATTTTGGTTGAGCTTCTAAGTGAAAGAAACGGTATCTCAGTCAGCTGAGCGTCTTCTCTTGTATTTAAGAGCCATTTGCCTTTGCCCTTCTCTGGGCCAGTTTGTTCATTTCCACTGCCCATTTTTTTCTGGCTTGTTTTTTTCTTATTGATTTGTAAGGCCCTTTATATGTGAGAGGTATTCGTCTTTTGTGATATGAGCTGCATTTCTTTTAACTCCAGTTGAATTTTTGAGTCTTAGTTTCTCCAATCCGGGTTATAAGGGATTTTCCTGTGCTTTATCTAGTATCATCACGGTTTCTCTCACTTGCATTTTTTTGTTTGACCCATTTGCAGTCCACCCCAGTGTGCTGTGCTATGGGGATCCAAAGGTGTTTTCCCCCCGCCCAGTAGCAGAAAAATCCAGGTATTCGACGTTGTATTGAAAATCACACCTTTTCCTCTCACTCGAGCTGCCACCTTTATTCACCTGTTCATTCCCACAGTGCTAGTTTCTGTGCCTGAACTCTCCTCTGTCCCACCTGCCTCCGCCTGTGCGAGCCGGCACCGGGCCGCTTTCATTGCTGGGTCTTCGTGATTCATATCCAGCAGGCGAGGGCCCTGCACTGCTCTTCCTTTTCAGAGTTTCTTTACTATTACTTATTTTTCCTCATGAACTTTGAAATTAGCTTGCTTGGTTCAAAAAAAATCACTGTTGGTAATTTTATTGGGATCATATTATGTTTTTAGGATAACCTAAAGAGAATGTATAGCATTATGGTGTTGAGACTTCTTCGTCAAGAAAAGTGTGTCTTTCTATGTGTTCAGGTCTTTCGTGCACCTCCGTGGTATCTGAAAACTTTCCTCATAGATCTTGCCAATTCCTCATTGAATTTACTTCTGGTTCTTGCTGTTATTTTTGCTGCTGCTGTTATTTTTGCTGTGATAAATGGGGGTCTTTTCTTCCTTAAATGTTCTAATTTGTTTTTTGTATCTATGAGGGCTACTGGTTTTAAGACACATATATAAGGCAGCTGACCTGAACGCTTCAAAACCAACAATGTCATGAAAACCAAAACAAAAACACAAAAATGCAAAAGCAAAAGAGATGGGGCAGGGGGCGGGGGTGCTCTCGATTAAAAAGAAACAAAAGAGCTTCAGCAAGCAGGGGCGTGTGAGATTCTCCTGTGGATCTGTCTTCTTAAAAACCTACCAAGGACGTTTTTGGGATGGCTGGGGACATTTGGAGAGAGACTGTATAACCAGAGGTACAGCGCTGAGTCAACAGTGCTGACAGCTGATGCGACATCAACACTGAATCAATGCTGAGCTGCTTGGCTTGGCGTGTCATTGTGGTTATTTCAGAGAAGGTCCATGTTCTTGGATGACACCGGCAAAAGTGCTGGGGCAAGGGGCCCTGATTCCATGGTTTGCTCTCAGACGGGTTAGCAAGCAGTGGATCCAAAACGAAACTTCACGCATGTACATACACGCACATATAGAGAGCGAGAGAATACAGATGAGGAAACGCGTTAGCAACTGGTGACTTTAGAGTGCTCGTTACATTATTATCTCAGCTTTCTGTAAGTTTGAAATTTTTCAAAATAAAACACTGGGGTAAAAAGGAATCTAACTAGAATGCTATGCATGTAGCACATCCATGGTGATCACTGTTTTGTGGGTTCACATGCCCAGGGAGGCTGAGAATCCTGGGCAGAAGGCTGAGGGTTGTAATTGTAAGTGTCTGTGTGCACCTGCTGCCCCTCCTCCGGCAGCCCTAAGTAGGTGCGGCTCGCTCTTCCTCCCGGAAGGAAACCTGCAGCCTCGGAGTACCTCTCAACCCTAAGGGATAATGTAAAGTCCTCTGGTCACTCCCAGCCACAAGAATCACTTCTGTACTTAAAATGTCCTGGCCCACTACCTTCTAAAATTCATCCACCATTGAAGCGTCCCTCCCCGCTGCACCTCACATATTCAGCCTGGAAGCCTGGAAGTGGGGGGCTGTGGCCAGCCCCTCCCCTATTTCTTCTGTCCTCAGCTCTTCCCTCCCCGCTTCCTGTGGGGCCCAGAGAAGCGGCCCCACCATCGCCACCTGTGCTGTCAAGTGTGTCAGGCAAGGCCATGTGGACACCCTGGGCCACGGAGCAAGAGAGAAGCTCCGTCAACTGAAGGCACAAGGAAGCCTCAGCACAAGGGGCTGGAGGCGTCTGCCCTTCGCCCAGGAGCAGAGGGGGCTGCCTGAAGAAGGAGGGTGAGGGGAACAAGACCCCTGCATCCAAGGAACCCCTTGAGCAAGGGCCAGGCCCCCGGGGGCTGGAACCTCCAGAAGCTTCCCACAGGAGCCAGCTTTAGACATCAGTCCTGCCGGAGGAAGGCACCCATCACATGGAGCGGATCTGAGGGGCCCCTCTGCTGGAGGAGGACAGGTGGGGACCCTTGGGAGGACACCCCCGGGAGGACAGGTGGGGCTGGTGGGGCCACCTCTTGGGCTCCACAGAAAAGCAGGTGGCTGCAGACAGACCCTCCCTCCCAGGGTCTCCACGGGTGCCTGCATCCCTGAGCTGCAGGCTTACAGAACGAGTTGCAAATCTTCCAAATGTTCCCACAGAGACCCTCGGACTTGATTTGAGGTGAGGGGGGTGAGCAATAAGGCCTGACATCTGTCCTCAAGGACTTACAGTCTGAGTGAGAAAGAGAAACCACAGCCATTTTGGGAGTGTGACAGGAGTCAGCCCATGGTTTGCAGAAAGGAAACGGAGGGTGTGGTTGTCCCATCCCAGAGGCCGCCAGTTCCCTGCGGGGTCCACATCTGAGAGCAGGGGAAGGGCAGCCCAGGTGGAACCCACTCCCAGCTGCTCTACAGAATCCTCAAATGGGCAATTCAGCCACTGAGAAAAGCAGAACTCAGTAGGGGCAGATGGAAGGGCCATAAGCCATGCTGTCTGGGCCTTATCCTGGAGAAATGGATGGGGAGCCAAGGAGAAGTGTGAGGCCAGGCCGCACTGGCCCATCTGTACTTAGAAAGATCGGCATGTAGAAAGAGCATTCCGGCAACGGCCCAGATCAGCAGGGCTGGGGACAGGCTGGGGACCCAGGGTCCCAGGAGTCAGGTGGGGGACAGGCTGAGACCCACGGTCCCAGGAGTCAGGTGGGGACAGGCTGAGACCCAGGATCCCAGGAGTCGGGTGGGGACAGGCTGGGGACCCGGGGTCCCAGAAGTCGGGTGGGGACAGGCTGAGACCCGGGGTCCCAGAAGTTGGGTGGGGGCAGGCCGAGACCTGGGGTCCCAGGAGTCGTGTCGGGGACAGATGGCCCCCATAGATGTGTGGCCAGCACTGGAGGGACCTAGCACTGACCTCGGCAGGAGAGGTGGGTGACAGCAAATGGACATGGGAAGGCTTGCACTGTGTCCTTCTTGCAAAGAAGCCTGCAGAACCCCAAGCTGGGAGAGAGGGGATGAGGGTGAGAAGGCAAAATGCCAGGGACATGTGGGTCCATCCTGAACAGCAGCGAGAAATGCGTGGCACAAAGGCATCAAAGCTCCTCGCAGCCCACCCAAAATACAGCTGAAGGCTAAGTGGGAAGTTAGGGACCCGTGCAGGAGGATGTGGGGTGCAGGTGGCTCTAACGTGCACAGGGCCAGCCCCATGGCACAGGGGTGTCTCCTGAAGGCACAGGGGCATGGACCCAGCCAGGAGGCAGGATGGCCCAGCAGGCAGGAGGATGAACCAGCTGGGAGGGAGGACGACCCAGAGAGAGGGAGGACAGCCTAGCCAGAAGGGAGGATGGCACAGTGGGTTGGAGGACAGCCCAGCCAGGAGGGAGGACAGCCCAACCAGGAGAGAGAACAGCCGAGCCAGGAGGGAGGATGGTACGGTGGGTGGGAGGACAGCCCCGCCAGGAAGGAGGATGGCCCAGCCAGGAGGGAGGACAGCCCAACCAGGAGAGAGGACAGCCGAGCCAGGAGGGAGGATGGTACAGTGGGTGGGAGGACAGCCCCACCAGGAAGGAGGATGGCCCAGCCAGGAGGGAGGACAGCCTAGCCAGAAGGGAGGATGGCACAGAGGGTGAGAGGACAGCCCAGCCAGAAGGGAGGGAGGGTGGACGGCCCAACCAGGAGAGAGGACAGCCCAGCCAGGAGAGAGGACAGTCCAGCCAGGAGAGAGGACAGTCCAGCCAGGAGGGAGGATGGCCCAGAGGGAGGGAGGATAACTCAGAAGGAGGGAGAACGGCACAGCAGGAGGGAGGATAGCCCAGTGAGTGGGAGGACAGCCCAGCCAGGAGGGAGGATGGCCCAGAGGAAGGAGGGAGGACAGCCCAACCAGGAGGAAGGACGGACCAGAGGGAGGAAAAACGGCCCAGCGGGAGGGAGGACAACTTGGAGAGAGGACGGCACAGCAGGAGGGAGGACAGCGCAGGCACCATGGGCCAGTGCAAGCAAAGCAGCCAGCATTGTCCACTGGCCGAGGCAGGAGCACCGCTGCGCCATCGGGTCTGGTGCTCTCCCGAGAACGGGGGGGAGAAATTCCTGAGAACTGAGCTACACTCAGGAAATGCCGTGAGTGTCTACAGAGGCCCTAAGGAAGGAGTCTCTCCATGGGACGCTGGGTGTTGAATCCCCACCATCGACACTGTCAGGGACCTGCAGGTTCAGTGGATCCTTCATAGGCACCGGAACCTTTGCCTCTGTGTGCAGAAGCGTTTCCACCCAGCTGCCTGGTGGGAGCTCGGCAGAAGATTTGGAAGGATGGGTAGGTTCTCAAAAAGGAGGAGCAGTATCTCAGGAAGGAAACGACAAACTGACCTTGCAAGTTATTCTGCAAGATTTAAGATCTCCTGAAACTTTTGGCATTGCTTATAGGATAAAATTAACTGGTTTTGTTTGTGGATTAATCCTTTTCTGTCTCAAGGGCCATGTCTACATTATTTTCACACATGGATGAATGGCCAGTTGTTTGGGTCTCATCTACACAGCTCTGCTGTGCTCACACTGTCCTGAGTGTCCTTTTCTTCAGAGATTCCATCCAGCGGTTTCCGAGCTGCCCAGTGAGCAGGACCTGGGCTGGAGTGGGGGCGGGGGTGGTGTCCAGGAGAGGGCCTTGTTGAAGTCGGGGCCAACCGGGTGAAGAGAGATGTCAGGGAAACCAGCATGGTTGGGAAGGAAAGCGGGGGCTGGCGTGGTCAGCGCGTCGGAAGCCATGAGGGTCAGCTGTGTGGGGCCAGCTCAGAGGGCGACAAAGTCCTGTGCACCAGAGACTAGCAGGCACCAGCAGACACTTCCCAGTTGGAGCACAGCTGGCCAAATATCCCAGGAAAATTTAACCCCAAAGTCACACGCTGCCCCCAGTAAATCAACCATGACGAGATGTTTCATGACCAGCGAAGGCCATTCACAGGGTCTTACCTGTCCCTCGACACAGGCTGCTGACTGGGGGATGCCTCACAGAGCAGGTAGTTCAGCTCCCTCAAAAACATACAAAGAAACTGATGCTTTTAAGAAGTGATGTTATCAGATGAACAAGAAGAGTCTCCTTTCTTTTTTGAAGGCTAGAACTGTCTAGGGGGGAAATATGTGTATGCAAATATGAGACAGCAAATTACATATGAACCTCCCAATAAAAACAGCTTCTGCACCCAAACCGAGTTATTGGCATGGATCAGAGTGGTGGTGATGGCGGGGGTGAGGGCCAAAAACCAATGTCCCTTACGCTTGAAACCTTTGTTCTACATCCGACCCAGCAAACCCATTGCCTCTGTATTCTGCCTGTTCTGCAGGACTTAAGTCAGCCCTACAACAGTGTTCAGTTTCTCTCTGCCACACCAGGTCCCTAGAAAACTGCCAATAATTTGGAACAGAGACCGAAGACGCCTGTCCTGATACGACATAGAGAGAAGCCCAGAAACCCTGGTGCTGGGCATCAAGGTTGCCCAAAACATCTGGTAAATGACAAGGACCTCCATTAAGACTTGGTGTGAGTTGGACGTCGTTTAAAAGAGCAGGTGAATTTCAAGAAGCAAACTCATGAATCGTGCCTGAGAGGGCACCAGTCCCTGAGATAGGCCCAGATGGTAGCAATGCTGGCTCTCACCTGAGGGTGTGGCTGGAGCCATGGGGAATGGAACAGGCTGGGGGAGAAGGGTCCAGGTGGATGGCTACCTTCTGAAAACACTCACTGCCACACACAGAATTGTTGACTCATTCCCCCAAAACTGGAACCGCCGGCAAGAAGGCGACAGAGATGAATTCTCAGCAGATTCTCAGAGTTTACTATTGTTCAAATTTTCCCAGAGTTTCTAAAGATCCAAACTTCACCCCATCTGTCCAGCAGAAACTGCCTTATTTCATCACGCAGGTTAGATTTCTATGCCTGTTAGCAAAGGCCTCATTCTCAAGAAAACAATCTGATTGACATATTTTCCCACCATGGAGTTTCAAATGAAGTCAAAGTCCGAGCAAAATGCAACTGCCAAACCCCACGAGCTAAAATCAACGGGGAGCTTCAGCACAGCTCTGCGTGCGGTGGACTCACCGGGCTGTGTGTGTGCACTTTGTTGTTACTGCTCCCTGGGAGAGTAAGGGTTATGCGTCCCAAAGCCATGCTGGGCTGGGCCCTGAGAAGACTGTTGTCTGCATCTTGCAAACTGCAACTCCTCCTCTGCTCACAGGCCTGGCTGGAGAGAGCAGGAGGTCAGTACAAGAGGAGGGGACCCCTTTGCATGTGGGAAAAAAAAAAGCCGTCAATACATATGAGAAGCTTGTGCACAGGCCCATGAGATTGCTGGAGACACGCAGCCATGGACTCCAGCATCCTTCAGAAATGGGGGCTGTTTTCCACCTGCCCTTCCCGCAGGTCCACGTTAACTCAAGGTTTATGGAGTTCAGAAAGCAGGAAACACTCAATTCAGTAAATTCCCTTAGGGCTCCCACAGGGAGAGGTGAACCCATAGAGAACCATGTGTGGGTAAATTTTGTTCTTGTTTTGTGATCTTTGCTGATTATTCAATTTAATGAGTTATAACAAACAGCATTATCACTTACCAGAAAGATGTAAGATGCGAATAATGAAATCCATAGCGCGAGAGTTCTTTACGGCAGCGCCGGCTTGGGGATGCTCGCCTATGGTAGAGACCGGTCCTGCGGGAGTGGCTCTCACCCCACCAGAGGGCTTCTCTGGGCCCTGGGGAGCTGTGTGCTGAGTGTGGGATGTTAACCGTACACATTTGTTGAGCACCCACTGTTTACCTGGCACCATGCTACTGCTCCATACATACTGTCTCCTACGCACAAAATAATGCCACAAAGTACATATATTACTCCTGATTTGCAGCTGGGGAAACTGAGGCTCGGGGTGTTAGGTTTTGCCAAAGGTTTCAACACCACAAGCGGCAGCGCGATTATCTGGACAGGTGTGAGACACGCCCAGCCCGCGAGCCTTCTGCTCTCACCCATGGCTCCTCTCAGAACCTGTGGCAGACACCCCGGAGCCACTGTGGCTGTCAGGGCATCAGCGTTGCTGGGTGCCTGCCATGCACCCTGCACTCTGCGAGGCATGGGGAGCCATCCTCCTGCAACTTGCATTGGTTTCCTGTGTCCCATGCCTCCTCACTTTGCACCTGCTCTTCCCTCTCCCTTCCCCACAGCCCACCTGGGAGCTCTTCCTGCCTCGCGACTTGGATGGAGGTCTTGGTCAAATCCTCGCTCCTCTGTTTCCTACCTGCACACCTGAGTGACTTCCTGAGCCTGTGTGTGCCTCTGTTTCCTCATCCGTGAGATGCAGGGACACCCGCCGTGAGTGTCAGCAGAGACGGTGCCCCTAGAGCCTCCTTGACACCAGCAACCTACTGCTGCTGTTGGTGTCAGAGGCCCTTGGTCTCTCATCACACCGAGGAAAGAGCCCCATGCCAGCTCTCATCACCTGGATTAAATTGTTCACCCTTCTGCTATGTGCACCGGACGACCACCCTCCTGGGTAATTACCTGGATTCCCCAAGTCCATGCGAACAGAAAAGAGGGCCTCCCTCTTACTCAATGTAACATCCATGCTGGTGCGTGGCAGGGCCTCAGCAAATGCCTGTGAAGTGAGTGGCTTATGCTGAGTAATCAGGCACGTGGTCATCCCACACAGTGTGGACGTGCCAGGCAGGATGAAATCGTGACAGACAGGGGTTCTCTGCAGGGCTGGCCATCAAGGGCCGAGTGAGAACACACAGAGCAATGACAGCTGCAGCAGTGGGCCCAGAACCAGGTGTCCGCCTGGGCTTGCCATGAGGAATTCGGAAAGGAATTCCCAGGTGTGACCTGGTTCACAGGAGCCCATGGGAGCTTCGTGAAAGTGGAAAGAGGATTTGAACTTGGTGGAGAGAAGAGAGGTGGAGGAAAATGCAGAAAGGACCTCAGAGGCGCCGCTGCAGCCCCTCCTGTGGCCTGGAATCCGATCCCGGGCTGCAACCCAGGAGGCCTGCGGAGATGGAAGACGATGGCTGCAGGGAAGACCAGAGCCTGGCATAAGAATCAGCTGCTTCTGATGGCTTCGCCCTTGAGCCCCATGATGAGGGAAGAGTTAAAAAGGTCTCTTGAGCACAGTGAGTCATGGCCATGGCTGTCATTTCCTTTTTCTCCACCAACCTGCAGCTCTTCTTCCCTCCAGTTCTCTGCTCAAGCATGACCTTCATGAAGCCTTTGAAAGTCAGCCTCGCCCTTCCAAGATTCCACTCTGCCCCCTAACAGAGCCTCTCGCTTACCAGTGTGCTTCTGTGTAAATGTCCTGATATTATCCCCCTGGGATAGTTCCCAGAAACCTTTCCTGGCAGCCACCTTCTGCGCCCAGCAGGACCAGGCTCCACCATTGCCTGGGATACGTTCAATGGAAGGGCTGTCTTCTGGGGTCCCCCACTAGGTTGTCATCTCATCAATGATTAAGTCTTATTTAATTCTATGTCCCCAGAGCTTGGGAAAGCACCTACAAGTCATAGGTGTTCAGTGTTAGTAATAAAAGTTATTACTATTAAATAGTTCTTTTATTTAACAATATAGTTATTTAACTCTTTATATTATAGTTAAATAAAAACTAATATACTATAGTTATTTATATAACTATAGTTAAATAAAAGAACTAATGAATCAACAAATGAAGGAATAAATAAATGAACAAAGATATTCTACTTCCTCGGGGAACAGTGAGTTGTACCATTGATGGCTCAGCAAAAGAAACAGAAACCACCGCGGGGGCTCCAGGGCAAGCTGAGGGCCCCCTGGAGCAGGGCTGGCAGACAGGGCTTTGGTGGGACCTCCAGGATTGGCTCTTAGAACCCCAAAGACCTGACCCACTGACAGCCTTTGCCACAAGTTGAAAATGGGGAATCAGGTGCACCAAAACCACCAGATTCAGGTCAAAGACATACAACCAGGATCAGGGAGCTGCAAATGCCACTCAGCCGTTCAGCTGGGTGTTCCACCTTTCCACACAAACCCGCTCCTCAACACAGGACTGCTGGTGCAGGGGCGGTGCTGTGGGAGTGTCCGACGGTGCAGCCTCTCCAGGTAGCAGGAGATGACCACCTGCAGCAAGGAGATGGCGCCCACTTAGCCTCTGCTTTGACATCTCCATAGGTAAGAGAAGCTAGTGAGGAAATGGAAGTGGCGTGCAGAATCCCAGCTGCAGAGGGGTCAGGAACCGTGGCTCCTGCAAGCTCTCCAGCTTCTGCGGTCGAGGAAGACACACCAGATGAGGAAAGAAGGCACGCTTTGTGAAAAGGGCCATTTCCAACCCAATGTGTGTCCACATGGACAAAGCCCATGACCTAATAAGCAGAGCCCTCCATATCCCTAAATCTGGAATGTCCCCAATACTAAACAGGCCTGGTTCTTCCTCGCACTCTGAATTCATGGTCATTAGTAAGGCGTTCATTCCTGCAGGCCCAGTAGATGCTGACTCCAGTTTGGGCTGCAACGGGAGTAGCTATTTTGTATCTGGAAGCAGCAGTCCCACACCCCTGTCTGCACTCACCGCCCAGGGTCCCCCGTCACTCACAGCGCATTGGCACAATGGCCAGAATCCCCCGTGACCGTCACCTCTCCCCCGCTTCAGGCTCTCCTGCTGTAGCCTCTTCTGTGGAATTCTCCTTATGACCCATTAAAATAAAAAAGCAACCCCAGGAATCATTTCTGACGTTCAGATTCCAGATGGAGACAGGCCAGCTTTTGCACATGCAGTACTGCTGTGCAGAGGAAATAACTTGGCTCGCAGGGTCAATCTCAGCCCGTGCCTCATGCCTGCGCTCTCCAAATCCCACGGGAATCCCAGGCTCTTACCTAGGGGCAGCTTTGTGGTGCTGCTCCGCCTGGAAGCAGCCTCTGGCACACAATCTGGTTTCGGGTTCCACTACTCCTAGATGACCCAGACCCAGACTCATTCATTGACCCTCTCCAGGAGACTCCTGGGATTTCCCCTGAACAATGTCCCTGTGGAATCTGAGACTGTAAAAGTAAATATTAATTTTTTGCCTTTTTCTTTTTTTGGTCACTACTCATTGCCTAAAGAAGTCCGTTGGCCTTAGATGGAAATCGAACAGCTGGATAAAGCTATTTTAATCTAGGCCTTAGTGTTATGTCTGGAGTCTAAGCAGTGACTGACTTCTCATTGCATAAAGTTTCAGGGATGAGTGAGTTATTTGTACCTTGGCCGCTAGTGTGTGAAGGTCTGGGATCCTGTGGTAAGCAAGGCCACAGGAGCTGTCTCTCCAGGACAGGCCCAGGGTCTCTGCTGCCCTGGCGGCCCCATCCCTGCTGGTGGAATGTCCTTCTCCCTGTGGAAGGAGGCCTAGTTCCTGGAACCTGCAGACGGTCAGAATGACCCATGTACCCTCAGGGCATCTGCCAGGAGAAGCGGGAAGCAGTGACCCTTAAGGCCTGTCTGATGAGGGCTCCGCATTTCCTTCCTTGCAGGGTCTCAGGGGAGCAGAAGCACATTGGAGCATGGCCCTGTTCACCCGTGTGTGTGTGTGTGTGTGTGTGTGAGTCTGGGTCCCAGGAACAGGGAAACATACTTGCTTCCAGCACCATGACAAGAACCAAGAGAAAAGTTCTCCCCAATCTAATGGGTGAGCCACTGCCCTCCTGTCCCCCACCCAGAGGGTGATCCAGAGCCCTCCTGTCCCCAACCTAGAGGATGAACCACTGCCCTCCTGTCCCCCACCCAGAGGGTGACCCAGAGCCCTCCTGTCCCCAACCTAGAGGGATGAGCCACTGCCCTCCTGTCCCCAACCCAAAGGGTGACCCAGAGCCCTCCTGTCCCCAACCCAGAGGGTGACCCAGAACCCTCCTGTCCCCAACCCAGAGGGTGACCCAGAGCCCTCCTGTCCCCAACCTAGAGGATGAGCCACTGCCCTCCTGTCCCCATTTCAGGGGTCTCTTGTTCCTTGGGCTTCTTATCTGGGACTCATCTTTTCTGCCCCATCTCTCATCTCCTTCATACCCCGGCGGTTCTCCCTCATGTCTTAGAGACCTAAAGGGACCTGTTCAGTGTCCTCTGGCCAAGTGGTCCTATTGTCCTTCCCTGTAATGCAGAGCATATCAGAACTGGAGCCTACAGATTATCTCGTCCTGTCCAAATACTTTATTCCACTGATAAAACCATCTGAGAACCAGAGATTTTCCCAAGGTCAGAAATCTAGCAGATTAATGATATCAGGTTTATGTCTTCAAACAACGTGCCAGTCACTGCATTTATTATTGGAAGACAGATTTGTTCCTGTTGAACCAACAGCAAAATAGAGGCTATTTCTTGATGCTTAGCATGGATCAGAGACAGTGCTGATTCTCACCATAAGATTATCCATTTATTCAGATGAAAAGCTGAAGCTGAGAAGTTAAGTAGCTTGCCTTGGGTCACCCAGTTACCGAGTGGCAGGGGCGTTCGGCCCACGTGTTGAGGATCTGAGGCCCTTGCTGAGAGCCAATCGGGCAGGTAGTTCTGCCTTTCCCAAGGTGGCTGCGTGGGGGTCGCACTGCCTCTCCCGCCTTAGAAACGGCCCCAGTGATGCAAACGGCTCCGAGTGCACGAGATCTCTCTGAAATTTGTCAAATGAGAGTTGAAGCTCTGCAACTACCCATACGTAGCCCGGGGCCCTGCATTTTCCTCAGCAGCAGGGCCAGGCCCACCGTGACGGCTCCGCACCGACGCACCCTTCTCAGGGCAAGATCGACACAGAGTGCTCTCCAGGGCCACCCGGAGATGCCCAGACTCAGAGGCCTGCCTCCAGCCCTGCCTGCCTGGACAGCAGGCCTGAGAGCCGGACATGCTTCCGTGTGGCCGTCACATCCCCAGAGTTGCACCCGCGCAGGCCGTGTGTGCACGTGTTCTTGAATCCTAGGGTGTACATCATGTCCCCAACCCCACCCCACTCAGCGCCAAGGGAGGGAAGGGGAGTCCAGCTCCCCTCGCAGGGCCGGACTGAGCACTCTGCACTCGGCCCTGCCGTCCCCTCTCCACCCTCCCCTGTCCTCCACCCTCTTCTGAGTCCCGGAAGCTGATTTCCAGGGGATTCTGGCCTGGGGGTGGGTTTGATCACTGGGAAGGATGGCAGGGGCCTGGAGGGCAGGAAAAGTGGGGAGTTGGGACCTGTATCTCCTAGTCTCTCCTGGGGCTGCATATCAGCAGCTCCGCGTCTCCACCAGTGGCCACGGCGCGCAGCCCTTCCTCAGGCCCAGCTCCCTCCGCGTCTCCCCAGTGGCCACGGCGCGCAGCCCTTCCTCAGGCCCAGCTCCCTCCGCGTCTCCACCAGTGGCCACGGCGCGCAGCCCTTCCTCAGGCCCAGCTCCCTCCGCGTCTCCACCAGTGGCCACGGCGCGCAGCCCTTCCTCAGGCCCAGCTCCCTCCGCGTCTCCCCAGTGGCCACGGCGCGCAGCCCTTCCTCAGGCCCAGCTCCCTCCGCGTCTCCACCAGTGGCCACGGCGCGCAGCCCTTCCTCAGGCCCAGCTCCCCCGCGTCTCCACCAGTGGCCACGGCGCGCAGCCCTTCCTCAGGCCCAGCTCCCTCCGCGTCTCCACCAGTGGCCACGGCGCGCAGCCCTTCCTCAGGCCCAGCTCCCTCCGCGTCTCCACCAGCCCTTTCTTAGACGCAACTCTCTCAGCGTCTCCAGGTCAGCTCCCCTTCCCTGCTGCTGAGGGGAGACAACGGTGCCCACCCGCTGACACCAGCCCCAGGAGGCTTCCTAGTTGCTCTTGGTTCTCCCTAATTCTACCCACATATTTGTAAATATTTCCTTTATTTAAACCCTTCTCCCTTCCCCGTGCGAGTGTGCCTCTGCTCCTGTCTGACCAGGCGAGTCCATATCAAATATAAGGAGGGCGTTCTTCCCAAACCTACTGATAACGGCTTCAACCATGGCATTGAAAACTATTTATCTAAGTCTTTTTGCCTCTGCTGGGATCCAAAAGACTCTTTGAAAACCAAAAGCTGAAATATACCTACAATGAAAATGCGTAAGTTTATACCTCGGTATTGTTTCCCCGTCGTCGTTTCTGTCTGGGAATCACTTGGCACACGTGCGGGGCTCTTTCATGAGTTGAGGGTGTCTCAGAAACCTCCGTCTCCCGGATCCATGGCTGCTCTACAGAGAGGGGCCGGACCGTGTTCTCTCCGGCTGTGGGCAAGCCGTCCTGTCGTTTCTTCCACCTTATGTTGTTTGGTCAAACAAGCAAACACGGGATGAGAACCATTGCTTGACTGCGTCTACCAGGGCACCCGCGGCAAAGGAACTGCTGCTACCCGTGAGCCGTGGAGCTGTGTGCATGACTTGAGCCATTTGGAAAGACCCAGCAATAGCTGGTCAACGATGAAGGGGGCCATTCTGTTTACAGCAGTAGAAGGCAGGGATGAGCACAGCTCCTACCTCTATGTGGAGGCTTCATTGCCCAGCTCTGTCTCCGACCTCCAGAACGCCTTTCTGGGTGGGATGGACGGTCTTCGGTGGTCAGGACTACAGAAACAGCCCTTGGTATTTTTGAAGCCATTTTGAATGGCTCGAATATAATGGCTTAGAATTTGAAAAATTTGAAAAATAAAATGACTTCAAATTTGAAAAATCGTTGCAATAAACCCTGTTGCCATCTGGCTGGATTTCACATGAATATGTCCATGGAAGAGAAACTGATAACTGAGTAAGATGGATCTTAGGCATCAAAGTGTAGTGCTTGCCTGGTGTTTTCTAAGGCAAATTTGAGGCAGAGAAGGTTTTCTTTCTTAGTATCAGAGACAGCAGGAACTTCTCTACTGGCACAAAAATGTCCATCTTGAAATGTCTTGAAGTCTTCTAGAAAGGTTAAATTAATCCTATTTCAAAATTTTCTGAAAGAGGATTCTGGGATTTCTTTTTTTAGTAAGCAAAATTCTTTCTGGATCTAAATGTAACTTTGGGAGAAAACAATGGGAATGTCTCTCCAGCCCCCCTCACACTCTGCATCACTCAGATTTGGGCTTATTGATGCTATTTTCCCGTCCTAAGTTTGTTATGTTCAAATAGATTGATTTGAAAAGATGTATATTGAGTAGTGATTAGCATATATTTTAAATAAGGCAAAAATCTTGGAACTCCTAATCCAATCATTTATTTAGGATGAATCTACATACATACGCTGGGTCAACTACATTCTTATCACATGTGAGTAAATCACAGCGTCACCATGGATATCCCAGTTGCAAATGGCATTGCGCATGCTGGCCATCTGCTTTTATAAATAATGGAGTTCCCGCCTCCCTATCTAAGCGAAGCCCTCCAGGCTGGCCTGTGCCAGGTCTCCACTTCACCTCCTCCTGCTCTCTGCTGATCACACCAGCACTCACTTGAGCAGCACTTGCCAAGGTCCCCAGAATTGACTCCACACAGTTGAGTCCACGGCCAATTCTGTCTCCATCCAACTTCTCTGTCAGGAGTGGGCAAAGTTATCCTTATTTCTTCACCAGCTTCCAGGATCCAGCCCTCTCTTGCTTCTCTGCCTTCTCAGTCTCCTTTGCAGGTTCTCCCTCACTTCCCTGACCTCCAAATCCTGGGCACACCTATGCAGTGCCCCTCACTGCTCCTCCTCCAGCGGCCCTCAACTCTCCCAGTGGTCTCTCTCAGCTGCAGGACAGCTTCACCTCCCACTTGTCTCCCTTTCCTTAGATGTCTCGTATAGCAGCTCTTCAACACTTCTGCTTGGCTGCAGAGCAGGGGTCTTGAGCTTCACTTGGCCAAAATGTACCCCCACACACCAGTAGCAAGTAAGGCTACCTCGTGCCAATGTCCAATGGTGATCTGTGCTTTGTAGAAAATCACAGCGGGTGAAGGGAGTGAGAGCGGGGGTTAGGCAGGGACAGCTCTGAGATGAGGGGCATTCCAGCAGAGAGGCAAGGAGCAAAGGGAAGAGCCACACGCATGTTGTGTGTCGGAGGGAAGAGCTTTCTAGACGGGGTGGGCATCAGGAGTCGGGAGGCAGTTGGAGGGAGCATGGAGCAAGCCCTGTGTGCATGAGGCTATAATTTCTCCCGGCTCCATCTCCAGAGCCTGGATCTCCTACTTCAAGCAAGGGTCTCAGTAAAAGCTACCTGGGGAATTAACAAGAAACTGAGTCACTTTTACATCTATAATCATCGACCAAAAAAAAATCAATTAATCCTCCTACATCCTAAGCCAGTCTCCATAACTCCTGGTTTCCTGTGTTTCTGCTGTAAAATAGGATGAATTTCCTTCATGAGAATGACAATTATTACAAGTGTTTCAAACACTGATTTGAAGGAAATCTAAAATATATTTTTCCCTGCTAAGGAGCTCTGTTAGGAAGATAAGCAACCACACCAGCCTCAATGCGTCTACACCTGCGAAGTTCAAAGCAGCAGCTCTGTAAATTGAATACAATTAAAAATGCACTTCCTCTGTTGCATTCACCATACCTCAAGTGCTTTGCAGCCATGTGTGGCCAGTGACCACAGCAGGGGACAGACCAGACACAGAACATTTCCTTCATCAAGAAAGCTCAGGGCTAAACCCTCGATCACCTTGAATTACTCTCTGATTACTTGGGGGATAAACTGGGGTTGTTGAATGCAAAGAAAAATAATTTATCTTCTTTAAATACAGTTCCATGGTGATAAAAATGAGCAGATTCATAAAAAATTTTTCAGTAAACCCTCATGCCATCTGGGTGGATTCCACGTGAATGTGTTCATGGAAGAGAAACGGATAAAACTGACCAAGATGAATCTTAGGCGTCAACATTTGGTGCTTGTGTGAAATCATTCCCACAGCACTTGGTGCCAGAAGTCCCTGCTTTCCAGCTGTGGGCAGTGGTGAAACTGTATCAGCATCAGCATGAGAATGTGGAGTTACAAACTGCGTCAGCACCCACGGCAATCACAAAATTATGGTGCAGAACGAAGCCACCAAAAGTAGGTTTGGGTGCATGTGTTTCTTCCCTTCCAAAATGTATGGGAAGCTGCAGTTCCATGATTCTCACACCTCCGTGATTTCCAGGACAGAAGGACTTGCTGGTGGCCCCACCCTCATATTTTATTGTGGCCCCGGCCCATAGGTTGGGCTTAAGCCTCTGGCCGGCACCAGTCACCCACAGCCCTGTGCTCCTTCAACTAGGAATCGAGCTGCCAGGTCCTGTTGAGGGGTGGGAGGTGGGCAGGAAGAGAAAGAAGTCTCAGCCCAGTGCACAGTAGTGACATTTACCCAGAGGAGGAAAACTGAAAGTAGAATTGATTGATTCTTTCATCTTTATACACCTAAAATCTCATAGGGCAAAAGCAAGCAATATCGCATTCCTTGTAGAGACTGAGTATGGTAAAGGTTAGCAACTGTAACTTTAGTAGCATTTTCTTTCCTAGAGAATCCAAATCCATGCTGCACTGCACTGTTTTTGGGTGGGACAGGAGTGAGGGGAGGTCCCTCACCAAGCTGTGCTGCCTGTTGGCACACATGCAGCAGAAATGGCATGTTGCATAAATGGTTTTTATTCAGGCAATTATTGAAAAATGACCTCTCTATCACAACACTTTCCTAGTGGGTAATTGACAAGTGCTCACTTTTTCATGCAAAAAAAGGTAAATCTCAAACAAACTATAGCATATGCATGGAAACATACAGCATGCTTTGTCTCACTAAGAGGCTCAACTATTTGTTGAAATGAAGCTTGACCTTTGGCTATGTTAACACCTTTAAAACCTTTTTTAAAAGACCAAATTACTTTAAGACCAGTGAAACCACTGATATTCCTAGTTGCATTCTCAGAAAGATCTATGGTATTTACTTGAGAACATGTTAAGACTCCTCCTCGGACTCAGAGTCCCCAGAATCCTTAGATCTCTTAAGACAGCATAAGTTTAATTTAGGCTGATGCCGGGGGCTGGGGGGAAGAATACTTTCTGTTGGAAAAACAAAGAATTGAATTAACATGTGAGATTGGGACTGTTTTCTGTGAAGTTAGCACACTTTTTTATTTACTAGGAAGATGAACCACTGGAATTCAGCTTAACAGCGAAAAAGAATCTCCAGCCTAACAAGGTGTTATATTGAAGTGAGTAGAAAAAGACTCCCCAGTGGTCTCACTTGGAGTCTGCAAGGATTAGAGAAGGCTGAGGGCTGTCAACTGCTGCCTTCTCTGCTTTGCTGTCTGCTATGGGTCACACTGGGTCCCCCAAAAGCCATTTGGAAGTCTAGCCCCCAGCCCCTCAGAATGAGAGCTTACTGGGAATAGGGCCTTTGCAGATGGAGTTAGTTAAAATGAGGTCATGCTGGAGTAGGAAGGGCCCTACATCCAATATGCCCGAGTCCTTGTAAGAAGAGAAGACCCAAAAGGAGATGAAGACAGAGACACACAAGGGGATGCCATGTGCAGACAGAGGCTGAGGCCGGAGCGCAGCCATGAAACACAGAGGCTGGACCACTGCTGCCAGAGGCTGGGAAGGTCAAGGGAGGACCCTGCCCAGAAGAGTCCCAGAGAGGCACAGCCCTATGGACACCTTATTTCAGACGTCTGGCCTCCAGACTGTGAGACAACAAATTTCTATTGTTTGAAGCCAGCAGTTGTGGGACTTTGCGATAGCAGCCCTGGGAAACTGACACCCCATGCTGTCATAGTCCCTCCCAGGAGCAGGGAAAGGAGCTGTCCCACCTCCCAGCTGGACAGGGACACATGGATGGAGCTTTCTAGGCCCAACTGTACAACTATGGAAAACCACATCCATACAAACAAAGATCAGGAGGGTCATATAAAAATGATTATTTAAGGTGGTAGAGTTGGGTTTTTTTTTTCCTTTTCTCTGCTCTTTCACAAATTTTTGTTAAGGTTGGTTAAAAAACATGCAAAATTCCTAGGCTAAAAGGGCCTTCATATTTGATTAACCATATTATTGCTTCAAAACTCCTGAATCAGCTACTTCCCCTGACGCTGGGAGTAAAGGCGACATCTGCAGGCTCTTCCAGCACAGTCGAGAGCTACTCCTCATCCTGATGACTCAGTGTTGTGGCATCTCCTTAAATTGTGCACCAGAGGCAGGCTCCTCATCTCCTTGCCCTTGCCCCAGCCCTGCCTGAAAGCATCACTCCATGATTTTCTTGTGTCTACTTTTGTTTGAAAGCCAGCTGGGGAAGACACTGTTCCTAAAGGTAGTCTGCCTGCCGTCACTGGCTGCTTATAAGTCTCATCTGCCTTTGGGTTTCTGCAGTTTCACTCTAACGTACCCAGCTATGAATTTCCTTTCATTTATCCCACTTGGGACATACCAGGTTTCTTGAATCTGTATTTCAATTTGCTGTATTAGTTCTAGAAAATTATCAGCCATTATATTTTCAACTATGTTTCCTTCTCCATTCTTGTTCTCTTCTCTTTTTAAGACTCAAGTGTGTGTTGAACTTTCACACTGTATAGTCTATGTCTCTTACTTTTACTTCTGAGGTTTTCCTTTTTCATCTCTCCATGATGATTTTTAGGTTTACTCTTGAACAGTCTCCCAGTTCACAAATTCTCTCTTTAGCTGTATCTAATCTGATCTTAAATCTATCCAGTGACTTCTTAATTATTTTTTTCTTCAGAGTTTTTAAAAATTTCTGTTTTACTTTTGGGATTTCCAATTCCCTGACCATTTTTTCAGAGCTTTGCTTAATCTCTTGTTATATACTAAATATAATGCATACCTCATCTATTGGCTTCAGTGTCTGGAGTCACTGTAGTTCTGTTTTTGGAGTCTCTTATTTCTGTTTCATCTCATTTAATGGTGTTTGGTCTCCTTGTCTCTGGCCATCTTCCACTATCTACTGGCACAGTAATTTTTTAAATTTTTGAACATATAATTTGAGGCCTGGGATATCATCATCTTCCTGTAGGGAAGATTTTTATTTGCTTTTGTAGCTCTCTGGGAGGAGTAGCAGTACGAAACGAAACCTCAAAACCTACTCTCTCTATCTCTGCATTAGAGACAGGACTGAAGACTGATATTTTAATCTATGCTTTGTGAAAGCAGAAAGTGTTCTTCAGGAGATGAGTGGCAACCACGAACTGCCAGGAAATCAATGGATAAAATGTGCTTTCAGTGCATAGTTCATACAAATTACTTCAACCATAAAATTTGACAGCTTGTAAATAATGGCCTAAGAAATCCAGAGAGGAGAGACGTAACATTAATTTAGAGGCTGTTTCTAGTCTTCAGCTGTACCCTCAAGTCCCTGCTTCCCAACCCATACCAGCATTTCATGGATATTTATTTCAATTCTCCTTCACTTTCCTCAATGTTAAAATGACAGAAGAGTTATAACCCAAATGTCCAATTATTTTAGGAAGTACATAGGATTGAGAGCAAGTTTACATTTTTTAAAATCAGTAAAACTAGCTTATATTTTAGCAAGGACAAAGCAGCATGGGATGGTAATTAGTAACCAGACATTAAATAAGTACTTACATGCTAAACTAGCATTTAAAGTAGTGTGACCCTAAAATATCTCACAAATTGTCTTAGATAGTGGACTTGGAGAAACACCATAATGCATTTTTATCGTTACTGTAAAATATAAAATAATCAATCTTTTTTGTGTGAAACACTGCATATAAACACACGTTCCAGAAAAGTATCAAAACAATAATTACAAATCCTTATTCACTTCTCTAGGGATTCATTGCATAAGCCTGCCACAAAGAAGTACAAATATTGTTTTTCTCTAAAGCTATCTGAGTAAACATCAACCTAGTAGAAAAATCTGTCGACCTATGCTTTGGGGGAGCACCTCCCAGGATTCCTTTAGAATGCAGACTCGTGGGCATGGGGTGGGGCCCAAGATTCAGCGTTTCTCAGGAGCTCCTGGTGGGGACCACACTACAGGTCATGGAGTATTTCATCTTCAAGATACAAAGCTCTGATGGACAGCCCTTGAATAACATCAAGGAGACATGAGAAAAATCCAGTAATGGTGCAAATAAAAAAGAACGCCCAACCATAGGCCAATCATCTCTTTAAATATAAGCAAACATAAGTCTACATAAGTTAGATAAGATGTACGTTTTGTTCAGCATTGCCCTTTTAACAATATTTTCTATCCCTGCAAATTACTATCCAGCTGGCACATAAAACACATTTTTTCAGATGCTTTTATTGATGCGAAGAATTTCAGTTTTTGAGAGAGCATTTTATAGAGGGCAGGAAGAAAGGTAGAGAACACGGCTTCAAGTACAAGACCTTGGTAAGTGTCGATCTCATTAAAAGAGAATGAAAGAGTTCTGGGTGTGTATGTGTATGCATGTGTATGTGTGTACATGTGTGTGTGTGTACATATGTGTGTGTACATGCATGATGCATCATGTATGTGTGCATGTGTGCACATGTGAACATGTGTGCATGCATGTGTGCCTGTGTGCATGTGTGTACGTGTGTATTCGTGTGTGTACGTGTGTGTGTGCACGTGCTGTACCTCCAAGGCTATGAGGATGGTAAAACAAAAATGTGCTCCAATGTTAAGTAGCAAAAATGTGTGTGTGTGTATATATATATATAGAGAGAGAGAGAGAGAGAGAGAGAGAAACTAGATGTCTTCACAGGCAATACTACATTTATTCGAATGATGTAAGTACTTCTTTTTTTCAAGTATTAAATTTCAGGATGAAACATGCTTTCTTTCATTCCAGATTGTAATTCATTTAAAATGGAGGACTCATAACTACAAATAGTAAATTATCTCGAGGAGAGAATGGAAAACAGGGGAAGGGAGGAAGAAAAACCCCATAAGTCTTAGAGTGAATGTTTGGCTACTATTTTTTCTAATTCTCAAAGGAAATGCATCTTTATTTTATCATTATACAGAGAGGCCCAGAGTCAAGTAACTCTTCAGCTCTAAAGACTTTCCCCTGAACCTCTTTTAAGAAGAAATTATTTCAAATGCCCTTGGGCAGCAATATGAAAGATAATACTCAGGTTATGTTGCAAACAAATCTCCATTTTAAAAATGAGCCAGATTCCTCCCTCTACATTTCTGTCCCTTGTCTTTAATGCATTCAAGGACTCTTGGGAAGATTGAGAAATAGGCATAGAAACAACCTAATAATACAGAGAAGTCAGCATGTTTATTGTATTTTTGAAGAACTCAATAATTCCTCTACATAACCTAGTTTCTGACTGGAAGATAACAGGCATTTCATCTTCAAGAAATTTGAGAAGATTGGGTTAACAACTCATGGTTGGCAAGGTATCCTGAAAGTTCACTGACTTCCAGAGCTTCCCTTTGCTTTGTGATAAAACATCATTCTCAACCTTGTGTTGTTTCACGCCCTGTCTTTCATTTTTGCTTCGCCTGTAAATAAACATTCAGTTTGCTGGAATTAGTGAAGCCAAGGACGTGGTGGCATTTGACATCCTTGGGCATCTGATAAGCCGACACTAATTCCAAAGGGGAGCCTTACTTTTTAAACACTTAATTTTCTTTCAAGTAAATTACAGGAAGAAGAACAACCTTCCTCCACGTCTGCTGCTCTTCATTTCTTCCCCAGTACCCATAATCCTGAAGGGCTTCCTTCAGAATTTTGGTAACGCAGGCCTCTGCTAGGAATACCGTCAGCCTTCACTGATGTTAAAAGATCTTTTTTCAGCCTTTCTTTGAAGGAGGTTTTTGTTTCATACAGAATTGCTGTGGCTTGACAGGTTTGTGGGGTTTTTCTTTCATCACTGTAAAAATGCCCTTCCGTTGTTTCTGGCCTCCTTGTATTTTGTACAGGGGTCCACTTAGACCCCTGTATGTGTGGATTTTTCCCTTATCTTTTTTTTTTTTATCTGTTTAACTACAATGTGCCTAGGTATGGTTGTCTTTTTATTTTGCATACTCCTGCTTGGAGTTTGATTAGATTCTTGGATATGAAAGTTATGTTTTTCATCAACTTAGGTAAGTATCTGGTCATTATTTGGCATATCCAGCCAAAGAAAAAACCAAAAAGGTGATGCCCAATATCACTTCCTTCTCCTCTGGGCCTCCAATTCCATGTGTGTTAGGCGGTTTAATATTATCCATAGGTCCCTGAGGCTCCACCCCTTTTCCTTCTAGCTTTCTCTCTGTTCTTCTTACTGGATGATATCTGCTGATGTCTTCAAATTAACAACTCTTCCTCCTGATATTCCTTACCTGCTGTCAAGCCTATCTAGTGAATTTTTCATTGCAGTTATTATACTTTTAAGATTCTTAAGTTCCATTTGGTTCTTTATCATTTACATTTTGTCGCTAAGATTCTCAATCTGTTCTCTTGTTAAGACTATATTTTCCTTCAATTCTTTGACCATGTTGTAAAAGCTGCTTTAAGATCTTTGCCAAGTGCAACATCTGAGCCATCCCAGGACTGGTTTCTTTTGACTGCTTTTTCTCTTGACTATGAATCTCATTTTCCTGTTTCTTAGTTGTCTGGTGATTTTTTTCCACTGATACTGACTTCGTGGATAAAATGCTGTAGAGACTCTGGATTTTGGTACCTTCCTTTTTCCGTTATTGACTCTTATGACAGCAGGTAGTTCAATCACTGAATGATCTCTGTGAATGTGAGCATATCTCTGGAAGTCCAAAGTGCTTCCCAAGCCCCTCCAACTTTGCCAGACTTACCTTTCAACCTCTATATCCTTTGTGTGTCTTTGCAGAGCTTGATATTAGGTTTTGTTAGGGCAGGACTAGAGTGGTCTTACACTAGCATTTGATCCCACCACCTGTGGCAGTCTATCTGGCATCTCATCTGGACACCACAGGTGTTAAAGTGGCATTAAGATCTCTCCGCCTTGACAGGACTGGAACTCTGGCAGCACTCCACTGCTCAACCTCCCGTTTTTCTGCTTAACTCTCAATCCCCTGCCAGCTTCTATCGATAAGCCTTGGTTATTTCTGCCTTGTTCATGGGAAGCCCAGCCCTCAGCCACAGACCATCTTGTTACTTGGCTCTCTGCTCTCTACTCTTAGACCCTATGGATTCCAGCTGCTTCAGGTGCTTCAAACTTTGACCTCTGCTTTCCCAACTCAGAGGGACCACCATACTCTCCCTGGGTTCCAGCCCCCCCTGGCCATGGCCGGGAAATTGTTCACAGGCAGAGACCAGGGCAGGGGCTCATTTCCAGAATTTTCCTTCATTCACAGGTCCTTAGGGAACACCTATTGCCCACCACTGGAAAACGGTTACCTCATATATTTTGTCAGGTTTTACAGTTGCTTATTGCTGGGCACTACTTCAATACCAGTTTCTCCACCATAGACAGCCACCCATCATTGCTGATCTGCGTGCATCGAACAAGTATTTATTGAGCATATTCAATGTGCTGGGCACTAGGCACAGTGTGGGCCAAATGTGATGAGCCCTGCCCTCATGGAGTAGACAGTCCATGCGAAAAAATAGACATGAAACAACCACAAATCTAAGTCTGTAGTTAAATTATGATAGATATTGTGTGCTGAAAGTAGAGAGTGCAGTGAGAAAATAACACTGAGCACCCTAATGTAGATGGGGGGGGGAAGCCTCTTTAAACACGTGGCTTGGGAGATGAGTGGGCTGGATGAAAGGCTGAGGGGAGACTTTGAATATGTGAGTGCGCACAGGGGACCTGCACAAAGAGCAGATGGCAAGGAGGCCCCGCAGCAGGAGCGAACTGAGTGTCCTTGGGCTGGAAACAGAAGCTGAAGATGAGGTTGGAAAACCAGCAGACCTTGGAAGATCTCAGGTTATACCTGCGGTGAAATGGAATTCCACGGAGACATTTCCAGCAACAAGATCAAGTTCAGAAATGTCTTCTTACAAGTAGGAGCCAAAATTCCAGCAGGTGCTGATACGGCTCTCATGGGTGAGCCTTCAGGAGAGAAGGAATAATACGCCTTTGAGAGAACACAGAGCCAGCTGAGGATCTTTGCCTGGGAAGAATCAATGTATCCTAGGTCACTATTTGTTGAGGCAATAGAGTTTCAATAGTTAAATCTTTCTCTTTCAAATCTTCGGATGATAAAATCTTACCTAAAAAGTCATTTTAAACCTACGAGTTAGTTCTTTGCACTCTAATATATTTCATTTTATGTAGCTAGGACCAACTGAGTGAAGAAGCTAGAATTAGGTGGATTGGGCTAGTATGCTAGAGGGTATTATAACAAACGTGAAGTTGACATTAGCAGAAAAGGACGGCCTACAGGGAAGGAGTTCTAGGTGCCAGGCACCACACTCATGCAATTCCTAAAACTTTCTAGAATTGTTTTTTGATCCCTGACATAAACCTGCCAATTAACAAGTGTCTATTGCTATCAGGGTCTCCTTATGTTAACTTCTTCAATGTATGCTTAAACATTTTAAAGTCATTCAACGCAAAGTTCCAAACACAGCACTTACAAACTCATATTCTAGGTCAGCCCTTCACATGGTCACCATATTGTTTATTTCCTGCTACTCAACTGAGGCAATTTTTGCCCAATATAGACAAATATTGATCAATCTGGTCAATTTTGCCCTTAGTCATCCAGTAATTAAAATTTTTTGGCAAAAGGGTATTAATACTCATATGCATGACATACTTTTCCAAAATATTGCAAAAGGAGCTATACTAAAGTTTTAAAGAGATTCTGATACAGTAAAAGCATGCATCTTTTCTGTGTAAGATACCAAAAAAGATGCATAGCTATCACTGTGTGTGTGTGTGTGTGTGTGCATGCGTGCGTGCACACTGGAAGCAGCTACATGCCCATAATCACGTGCATATATAACCTAGTTTCTCAATGTCACCTCATATATATTTTGCTCGGCTAAATTACTGAAAATAAAATGTATAGCATGATATATTACAAGCATATATTGTGTACAGTTTGTATATAAAAAAGAAAGAATGATTAAAAGTCGATGAGAGACTGTTTATAAATCTTGATTGCTTCATAATTTTAACTTTGAGCAACATTTTTATCATAATTATAGGCTTTCTTAAAGCATTTATGCAGATTGTTGTTACTCAAAAGGGGGTTTATTCCATTTTGGTATAAACTACACTTTTTTTTTCTTTATGAAATCACTCTTTGAGTTCCTAATACCCAGTACTCTGCCAGAGCTGCAAAATGTAAATAGCAGGAAGCACGTGTCTTAACAGGACTATCACTGGGCTCCCTCTCATCTTGTGCCTTATTGCCCCATTGACATGGGAAAGAATAAAACTTGTCTATAATAATAAGCATTTGACATGTTTAGAAGCTTCTGGATTCCTCTCAGAACACTAATGTTCCTGGGAGGCTAATACATTTTTGTACCCACCTCACAGATCAAAAAATTAGACCCTGGGGGTCTAAACCATGATGAAATATTCCATTATTTAATTTTAGAACCATGAAGCATTAGATTTGAAAGGTGGATTCAGAACCCATTGAGTTTGGCTGCCTTATATTCCAGCTTGGAAAACTGAGGTCCTGGAAGAACAAAGCACCTGCCCAGGGTCATGCCCAGACATTTGCCTACATCAAGCTCAAAAAGCACCAGTGTAGTGAAATGTAGACTGACTTATTCAGAGGCTTTAGCATCATGCAGAATCAAAGCCAGGAGAAAAAAAAAAAAAAAAAAAAAACTACATCAACTTTTTCTACCAAGGAATCTTTATTGTAGCTCCATGATCACAGACCCAACAGGAAAGAAGGGAAAAAACTCCTCATCAGAAATAAAAATAAAAACAAAAAGCAAAAAAAGCTTTAAGAAGTGCGTGACAGATGGAAAGAAAGAGCATCAGAGAAAGGCGGAGAGGGGCCAGCCCAGAAAAATAACCAGCCAAATACCACCAGTGAGGCTTTGCCCCACATTCTGTGAGGACAAAGACGGCACCTACTTTTCATCACCTTTACATCCCCAGGCCCAGTACAGTGCCTGGCACATAGGAGGAGACTGGGAAATGTTTCTGAAATGAATGAATGAATGAAGGGAGGAATGAATGAATGAAGAAATGAATGAAGGTCCAAAATTTAAAAAACTCCCCAAGCAAGTAAGAGGTAAGACCTCCAAATCCTGTAGTTGATGAAATAGGAAATGTGTATTCCAATTGCACTTTAATTCTGGTCCATAAATAAGCCTTTATGAGCAAAAGCAATAAGACTTTTAGATATGCCCACTGTTCCCACAAAGGGCAGTTGGGTTACATGTGACAGAACATGACAGAGTGTCGAATTTTAGTTAGTGACTGGAGATGTTTAAGGACTTCTGAGAAAGAAGCACTAGGAAGAGAACATTGAAATGTCAACGTAGATCAGGGTCTAAGGTACTGCAGACAAAGACCTCTGGCTAGGAGGCGATGCTGGATACACAGCACACACCACACTGGACACACCTTTGGGGTTTTCCCTAAGAAAGTAAGGTGTTTCTTGGCCTGACCTCACTCTCTCCATCACCCCTTGAGCCAGGGAATCCATGTGAGTGGGTCTGCCAAGAAGACCAAGTGAAAAAAATGAGAGTCTTCCAGTGATGTTTTGAGTGCCAGGTCCAGGTGCTTTTACATTCATGACATCGTTCAGTTGTCACAATAATCCTACCATGTAGGATTTAATATCTCCACTTTATGGATTAGAAAATTGAGGATTAGAGAAGTCACCAACCAGTGCTCCAGGCAACTGCAGGTCACGAAGCTGTGACTTGCCTCCAAAGACTGCTGACTAAAGGCTGGAAAGTCTGGCTTAACCTACTCGTGTGCATATCACCTATGAATTAGCATAGTCAATAAATACTAGAAATGTTACAGTTGTTTTAACTTTTCAAATGAAATTTGTTTTTATTGTGAATTAATGACTGAGAAGGCCCTTTCTTCCTATATAACATGGGTTATTTTTATTTTTATAGCATCTAATATTATTACAATATTATACACACACGTATCAGCAGACTCTTCCTCTTTTGAATGACAATTACTCAAACTCACCCCATTGACAATATCTAACTCTTCGGTGAAGTCTTTCAATAATTGCAGCTGTGCTTCTATATTCAAGGACTGGAATAAAGTGAAATATTGACCCTGGTCAGCTCCGATTCAGAGAAGATTTTGATATACCAATTGTATTCCTATTCAACAATTTGTACATTCCATTCTAATTGCATCTGGCTTACTACAGAGGTTGAGTGTTGAGAAAAAAGAATGGGGCAGGAGAACATGAGAGGGAAGCTTGTGTTCAGTTAAACATAAGTACAGAAATTCAACAAACCTGTGAAATTCATTATTTTATGGCTCATCAGTTGGTTCAGCTTAAGTCCTTGGATAAACTGCATAGAAAAATATTACCGCTTTAGTGAAATTACTGCTTCTAATAAAGAATGGGTAAGCAGAATCTCAAGTTATATAATTTTTTTTGATGAAGTCAATTCCAACAACGTGAAAGCCACTGCCCTGGGTGATGATAAGCAAATGATGCCTGAATGTGAAGGTCATACTCGGCTTTAGCTGATTTCAAACAAATAAACAAAAACAAAAAACAAAAACCCTCCACCACAAATGATGATTTCGGAAAGTTATCTCACCCCTGGAATCACCTGTGATGAGAGCATGATCCTTCTAGCTGCATCCTCTTCATCCTTCAAGCTCCCGCACCATGAGGCCCGACCCTCCCGGGGTTGCACAGCTGCACCCCACAATTCCACACTGAAATCTCGGGGTCCCTCCGCCACATCCGCACAGCACATCTGCCCTGAGCAATTGTTCCCTGCCCCTCCCTCAAAAGACCTAGGCCCAGTTCCACCTCACAGCTGAAATAAGACATCCAGTGCACTGCACGAGCCCGGGCAGGGATGCTTGCTGGAGTTGACATCTGTTCCAGTCAACCCCCACCTTCCTGAACGGCACATGCACCTCGGTAGGAGACGAAGCAAAATTCTGTGGTTAGATACTTTTACGTGGGAAAATAGTGAACTTTAGCCGGAAGGTGAAAATACATTCTTTTCTGTACATTTAGAATTAATGAATCCTATAGACCTGTGGAAACTGCTTTTAAACATCTGATTTTCCATTAAGATATAATTAAAATTAATGGCACAGAGAAGCTTTAGTTCTCTGGAGCCCCCCCCCCCCCGGCAGGAGAATATTTGTTCTGTATATTTTTAAGAGGGTTTGGGGGGCATTAAATTATGCTTTGATTGTATTCCATCAATGAGAATATAAGACACACACATTATTATAAGAAACAAATAAGCACTTATTAACTGTGTGTGCATTCATGGGACACAGAAATGGTCTCAGGCTGAGCTTATAGTGAAGCAAATTAAAATTAGTGTTTTGACTTTTGTTCATTATAAAGTAAATACTAGCCTAAAGATTCCTAATCAGTTGCCAAATACCTATCATGAAGGAATATGCATTGCCGAATGAAATCGCTGTCCTCAAGAGAAAGCTCTGAGAATTCTTTTAATCTACATAAGGACAAATTTGCCTTTCATCACATTTTGTAGTAAAATCCAAAGCTTCGTTTTGGCCTTCCAGCCACAAGTTTAAGTTCCCAAAATGAAGAGTTGGTATGATGGTTATTCAAAGAAAAGGAGAAGTGTGAGTTAAGCACGAAGTCAAATGCAATCCACGTTGTAAAAATCGGAAAACCAGTGATCTGCTGTGATGTGGGATCAGTCATGGGATGCCTCCTGTTCCCATGTGCGGTTGGTGTCGGAGTTAGACATCATCAAGAGGTGAAAATTTGGGAAGACATTTCAAGGATGACGGAAGCTCTGAGTGAGTGAACAGATATTCTTCGTGCAGAATAATCCCCCGTGGCACTGGTTTGCCGGCAGAGCAGAATGTTTGAGACCTCACCCCGCAGCCACGCGCGGGCGTAAATCGTTCTCAGCACGAGAAACACAAAGGCCGCAGGATCCCGCGAGCCGCAGGGGGTTGGGGTCATTTTTTTGATGCCGCCGCCCTTAAGAGTTCCAGTCCTTCAGGCGAAAGGGGCAGATCAGGCCTTCGGGGAGGACCCTTGCCTGGGAGAGGGAGGGCAGTGCCCCAGGGGCCGCCTCCGGTGCCTAAACAAAGAAGACGGTCTTCTGAGCGTCCGCCCTCCCCGCCTCGCCGCGCAAGGACCCCGCGCTCCTGGGCCACTTCCTCTTGCAAACCACGAGGAAAAGCCAGTTTCCACCCAGACGGCCGGCTGTGGGCAAAGGGAATAAAGCGCCGGTGCCGCCACGCTCTGCACTTGGCTCTGGGCCTGGCGGGGGTCTGGCGCGGCCGCAGACACCTGGGTGACCTGGGCCGTGGTTGCCGGCTCTGCTCGGACAGAGAGTCTTTTTATTTGTCGCCTCCGCCTTCTCACCACTGAGGCCGCAGGACAGCCTCGCTGCCCGGGGCCGAGTTCGGTGGACAAGGGGGCAGCGCCCACAGCAAGCCGGAAAGAGGGAGGCGCGGGGCCGCGCTTGGGGCCTGCCGCTGCACGCCAGCCTGGGCAAAGAGCTGCCACCTTCTGCGGGCGAAGCGGGTCGGGACGCAGGACGGCAGCGGGGCTGGAGGCAGCTACGTGGGTCCACACCCCCATGCCCTGCAAGGCTCCTTGGCCCTGCTTCTCCTCTGTCTCGGCGGGAGAGGAGCAGCCTCGGTTTTACAGAATTTCAGGGTCGCGTCTCCAGCGCCCCGGGCGAGGCCACTACGTTTAGGAGCGCTCGCCTTCGCTGCGCTGTGTACCGTGTACACACTGGCTCCGTGCGCGAGACCCCGATGTGGGTTAAAACTCCACTTCACAACCCCCATTGATACGGGTTTGACATCTGTTTGCCAGAGTGTTTTGCACTTAGCCTAACACCCGCTATTAAGTGACAAAATTGTGGCAGCCTGTCAAAGCCAGCTGACTGGCAGCTGCTCCGCTTACAAAAACCATTCAAATATTTGCAGGTTTTGAAGGTTTATGCAGTGTTGTACCCAATCTTTCAGCGACTTAACATGTAAAATATAAGTCAAAGTTTTAAATCTGGATTCCAAAATGTTTCCATTTTCCATACAAAAGGAAAAAGCTTTCAAGGAGCCTGCTGGAATGGGTCCAATTCCAACGTGTCTCCGCGTTTCCCGCCACGAAATTCCTGCACAAACCCGGTTTTTTAAAGATGTCAAGGACCAACTTCCTCTTGTTACCAGCATCTTGGAGGACTGAACTAAATTGCCTTAAACTCCAAGGGAATACAGTTTCTCAAAAGTAAATTTTTTAAAAATCCCCAAGTAAAGAAACGTACCTGCTTAATTTTGCTTTTGACACTTAGACCAACGTGCCTTTGGGGGAAAGCGAGGCTGCTAGGAAGAGTGTTCCTAGTCAACATCTGAGCTCTGGCGGCTTCCAAAACACTCACTCCTCCACTCGCACTTCTAAATAGCTTAGTCCGATTAAGAAATAATTTGCAAATGACATAGTGTTTCTCTAGATTAAGATCCATCGAGTGAAGTCATGTGGGGTTTTTGTCTCCGAGATTAGAGCCAGACAGACAAGGATCTCCTGCAAACTGCAGCTGCCGACAATGGAAAAAAAATTACCCTGCGTTTGTCCGGGGGAGATGTGTGCGTGGGTCCGCGCGCCCCGCACCGACACTGAGGGCTGGCACGCCCTTACTGTCTTTCGATTGTGCTGGACTTGTGCGTCCTTTTTTTTTTTTTTATGTTGGTAAACATATTGCCTTGGGTGTGAGGGGGTCACAAATCCTCTGGGCAAACGTGGGGTCGTCATTTTCAAAAAAGCAGTGAGTTTGCTTGTGATACATTTGCAGGGAGTCTCAAGGGTGGTGGTCTTAAGTCCGAAGTGCTGACAGCCTCACTCAACTGTGGGGAGGAGGCAGAGAGGGAGGGTGGAGACAGAGACCCAGACCCCGAGAAACAAGTGTGGCTCCAGCCCAGGAGCCTCACAGAACACATTTCCTCCTCCGCCTTCGGCTCTGCGTGGGCTAGCCCCGCGCTAGGGAGGGCAGGCAACTAGGTCCTCCGAGGTGAGGCTGGGGCTCCGCCTGCAGAGGGAGTGACAGCGCGCCGCGAGGGTCCGCGACCCAGGCAGGGGTGGCCGCACCACCCCGGAGCGCCGCACAGCCCCGCAGGCCTCCCCTCCCGCAGTGCGTGCCTGGAACGCGGGGCCGCCTGGCCGAGGGACGTTTACCTGGAGAGCTTTGTGTCCACAACACTAATCCTTAGACACTGCTTCGTTCAGCAGCTGCCGTCAGTCGTGAGGGCACTAGTGTGGGGATGGGGGCGAATTCAGGAGCCCGTCGCAGAGCAATATTTAAAAAGGGGGGGGGGAGCCGGAGCTGCTCCCAGGGGAGGCCTCGCGCGGCGGCGCCCACGGCCACGGTGTCCCCGCTGCGAGCCAACAAAGCTGAGGCGCTGTCCGCGGGAGGAGAGAGCCCAGCGCGGGGACCGGCGCGGGTGGGAGTGGGGGCGCGGCGCGGAAAACCCCAGGGAAGGACCGGGTGGACACGGGACGGGAGGGGGGTGACATCCTCCCACCCGGGGGTTAGAAAAGGTCCGGGTGGTAGTTCCAGGCGAAAATAGGCAGCCCTCTGTGATGACAGAATTGACAACTATTTTTTGGGGGGGCGGGGGTTGGACTTCCGAGTCCCTCGGGACGGAGGCGCAGGGGAGCAGGAGGGGTGCCCCGTCCCTGCAGTTGCCTCGGCCCGAATCCCGCAGGCCAGGCCGGAACGCGGGGGCGGGGGCGCGGGAGGGGGACCCGCGGCGGGAGGCGAGAGCGAGCGAATGGGGAGAGGAGCGGGGAGCAGGAGGGGACGCAGGGGAGAGGGGACTGGGGAGCGGCGAGAGGAGGACGGGAGACGCGGCTCCACCTCCCAGCTCAAAACGGCGTCCCAGCTGCTCGCAAACCAACTGCTCGATTCTATTCACTGTCGAGTAGGAACAAAAAAGTGGCTATTTATTAGAATACTTGTTTGGTATTGTTCCGCGCCACACAAAAGGCGTTTCATTATGTGGAGGGATCTCCTTTTTCCAGAGAGAAACAATAACTTGAAATTGTCTTTAAAGTCTTTTCTATCAATAATAAATTTCATTTTCTTGTCTCTCTCGCCTGCAGTGTGTGTGCGCGCGCGCGAGGCGAGGAGAGAGGCGCGTGTGCGAGTGAGTGTGCTAGCGGGGGTGCGCGTGTGAGTGTGCGCGTGTGTGTGCGTGCGCGTGGCACCGGCGCCCGCGGCTACGGGGCTGGCGCTGCCGGAGCCGGGCCGGACCGGGGTCCGAGATCTGCGTCGCGCTGGGCACGCTGGCCACCCGGTCCGGAATGAGTCGGGGCTCCGGGAGGTGCCCGTGGGCAGAGCGTTAGGGGCGCGGCCGTGCCGGACCCGCCCTGGGGACCCGCTGGAGCTGGAGGAGGAACTAACTGTAAGTGTGTCTCGAACTTGCGCGGGGGCTTCAGCCCGCCCGGGGCTGCGGAGCTGGCCGGTAAAGGCTCTCGGGAGAGGGGCGCGGTGTCTCCACGGTGACTTTCCGTGAAGGAGGATGGGGTGTCTCCGCAGCTTTGGGGCCCCAGGAAAGAACAGGTGGGTAGATGTGGTGGCCACGGCTAGCGGACTCGCCGCGGGGCACATTTGTCATTTTCTTATCTGTGCGTTCACTCCTCCCCCATCCTCGGCTTTTGGGATTGGCCGCCGCCCAACGGACCCAGACTGTTTCTCTCTGGGTCGCCATTTTTGGGGAGGGGGGAGGGAGGTCGAGTCTGTGGATTTGGGGGAGAGGTTCTTGTCCGCCACAGCTCCGCGCCCCCTCCCCGCCCCTCGCGGCTCCCCCACCCTCGCGTTCGGCAGCGCCAGGCTGCGCTCTCCCCGGTGCACACCCGGCCGCGCCGAGAACTAAATCCGCGGGCTGAAATTACGTTTTAAAAATTAACATGTTGAAGCGTGTGCCATTTAGTGAGAGGTGTTTTGGGCAAAGAATCAATTTAACTGTGACTGACCGACGGGCTTGACTGTATTAATTCTGCTACCGAAAAAAAAAAAAAAAAAAAAGCAATGAGCCGCAAGCCTTGGACTCGCAGAGCTGCCGGTGCCCGTCCGAGAGCCCCACCAGCGCGGCTCACGCCTCAGTCTCGCCGCCCCAAGGTGGGATCCGACGCCCAAAGGAGGGCGCCCCAAGGTGGGATCCGAGCGGGCCGCCCTAGGAGGAGTGAACCCCGCCCGGGCGCACAGCTCCGTGCGCCTGTCCTCCCTCCTCCAGCGAAATCACACCCGCTTTGCCTCCTCTTGCAGCACCGCGCGTGCCTAGGTTCTCGGTCTGCGCAGCTGGGAGTCTCCCCCACCAGCGCCGCGGAGCCGCCCGCTTCCGCTCCCTCTTTCCGCGGGTTTGAGCCTCCCGTGGAGAGGAAAGGTCACGAAGTTTCAAAGGTGAAATGGATTTTCGGCGGTGGCTGGTGCGGGAGTCAATGGGCAGGGCGGGGCAAGCCTGGCAGTCATCGACCCGAGCAGGGACCCGGCTGGCCGCCTCCCCTTGCAGGAAACAGGTGTTTGAACGCGATAGCGGCCGCCAGTCAACTAAGGCATTAAAAGCTCGCTTTATAACATCGATTTCCTGGAGTGCGGTGGGGCCTGCGTTCTGGAAGCTCGTTTGTGAAAGGCGGGGTTGGGGGAATTGCCCTGATGGTACCCCAGTTGGCGCAGAAGATCCCCAAAAGTCCCTGTCACCGCAGCGGCGGACAGCGGGGCTGCCCAGGCGGCTGGGAGGGCAGCTTTTCCCTCCCGCTGGGGTGGAAAGAGGAGTCCTGCTCCGTTCCCCACCCAGGACAATGGTCTTGTTACCCCGGCCTCCTCCCCTGCACCTAGGGCCTGGCATGCAGAGAGCGCCCGCAGCAGAGGGGGAAGTCTCCAACAACTGGCAGGTGTCCCCCGAGGAGCTCCGCTTGATTTGGAAGGGTGGTTAAACCGGGATCCAGGAGGAAAGCAATTCCGTTGCCACCCACATCCCCTGGGCCCTACCAGGCTTCTTCCCCTGCTAGCACATCTCCCGGATGCGACGCAGGCCAGGTGGCAGGGCTGAAGCAGGCAGGCACACAGGAGATGGCATGCGTACCTGTAAGGATGAAGAGAGAGCCTTCAGATGGCCTAGTGCTAGGATCTTGTTATCAATGTCATGGAAACGGATGGAGCCCTGTGGGGAGGCTGCCACGGAGGCAGAGAGAAAGGGGTTGGGGAAGGGAGGGGGCTGGCACCTGGGCGGCTGGACTTGCTGGTCCTAGTCTCCCTCCCCGCAAGGAAGAGGAGGCCCCGAAAACCTTGCCTTGGCTGTGCTGGGTCTGAGGGAAGAGGCTCCAAGTGGCGAGCCTTCCTGTGCCTACCTGGCTGATGGCAGAGGATACACCACCTGAGAAGGCAGGCTGTAACCAGCCTCTACTCCAGAAGCAAATCTGCCTGTGTGTTCTGAGCGTTGAGCATAATTGTAAACAGCTGAAAATAATGAAAATGCATAGAACCCCTACCCTGAAACCCACACACCCCTCCACTGCCGCCCGATGGGGTCCTTTGTCTGGGTGGGGCTCCTCCACTCCCCAGAGCCATGGGAGCCAGTCCAGAAGGAGTCAGTCCATGAAGGGACAGGTGGCCCCTGGGGAGTCAGAGTGGCGTGTTTCTGCTGGCAAGAAGAGGTGCAAATCTCCCTTTAGCTGGTTTAGCAGAAAACTCACCTATGTTTGCCCACTTCTTCTCACTGCCTCTAAGTTGAGATTTAGGGTCAAGCACCATCCAAAACAGGGCTCTTTCTCTGCCTGATCTGCCAAACCTCCCCTATCTCATTTAGGTGGCACTCTCTCCCTAAAGCTAGTGTCTGTCCTGTGGGGTATCCGACCCTTTCAGGGTCAGCGCAGGCCATTCCCGTTCCCCCGTCCGAAGGATGCTGCTCTAATACAAATGTGCTTTCCAAAGAGGCCCTGTGCCCAGGTAGTCACAGGCCTCCACCCAACCTGAGGGAAATCTGATTTCTGCTCACAGGACAGCTGGTTTCTGTCTCTTCGAGGTAAGATAAATGGCATTCAAATGGGGCCAAGAGGCCCTCTATTAGCTCAGCGTGCAGGGCACTGGCGCTGCGTTAAAGCCCCATCCCACAGCCTGAAGATTTAAACAGAACCACTTTCCCCATTTGCTGTTTTCTGAAGTAAGCAACCCATGCGACTGAAAGGGCTTGAAATTGTGTCAAAGTGATGTTTTAATCTCATTGAAAAGTGTATTAAAGGACAAGATGTAATTTATGTGAGATGCTTCGATGAAAGCAGAGATTGGAGTGGATGGTCCTTTCACTCGTGTGAACCTCGTGTCATGTTTATATTGAAGCCTGTGTAGCTAATCTAATTTGCAATAACAGGGATGGCCTGTAAGAAAAAGCATCTCTGATTTCACTTCATTTCTTTTCATATAGAAATTCCCTATGACTTGTCTCCTCTTGTGAGTGATGCCTTTTCCATCTGAGGGCTAATGAGAGAGGATGGAGGAAAGGCCTGTTGACTCATAGCTGCTGCACTGGCTTGCAGGCAGCCCCTGGTCACTGGCTCGCTGAGACTAAGCTGGTCCCTGCACTGGCCTAAAACGCTGTTTTTGATCCTGCAGAGTGAACACTACAGCAGCCCTAGAATGTCAAATCCCACCTGCTCTTCCACACTCCGGGGAGCAGGAGTGGGGGTGTAACAGGCCAGACCAGTTTGTTTCTCCCCAGAATTTCGGCTTTCCCAGTTTAGTCAGATGTCCTGCACTCTTGGACATTTATAATCGGCAGTTTTTAATGGGAGTGGTTATGAAGCTACCCCAGATTCAGAAAAGTCTGATCTCGTACCGGCTCTTTACACTATTACAGAAACAAAACACACCTAGTGCTCAGAGGAGGTGCTTTGTGTGCTCAGGATGGCATCGAACACAAGCATTCTCCGTCAATAAAAAACAACATGCGTTAGAAAATTACAACTTTTGTACAACGTAAAAAGGTGTATTCAAGCTGTTAATTACGGGGGTTTGTGTAAATGAAACTTTAGCAGTGACCCATTTAATTTTGCCGTAATTACTGACAAAATAAGACAAGGCTGAATCACAACACGGTATATTTATCTTGAAGGAGAATATTGCGCTGATGTGGTAAAACCAAAGAGTAAGAGCAAAAATTTAAAAGGGAAGCGCAGAAGTATAAAAAGTGCAAAAAATCACACCCTGAAACCATTTGGGTTAAAACCGCGGAAGACTTAGCTTAGGCGACTTCTCTAAAGAACTCAACCAAATCTGAAAGGCACAGGCATTTTCTCCTCAAAATCCGAGGCTCGAGAACCATCTCCTCTGGCAGGGTCCAGTCTCAGCTCCGCCTCTTGCCTCCTCACCCACTTGGGCATAACTTTTGCGGGTCCTAGAAATCTGGGCAGCAGAAGAGGGAGGGGAACGCTCCCAGCCGGCAGCCGCTCTGGGCGTGCACCCGCCACGCGAAGCCAGAGGTTGGACGACGCAGCCGGCCAGGCGCGGCTCCCGGGGGACCCCGAAACCGCCTGTGGCTCAGGCCCTACTTGGCAAGAAGAGACTGGGGAGTGAGAGGAGGGGTCACTCTTGCTCTCTCGCACAATAGACTTCCCGCAGGCGAGTGCGAACGGCCTTTTGCTTCCTCCTTCTTTTCCAGGACCCTTAGCGACAGGAGAGGAAGAGAAGCGGCCCGGCGGTTTAATTGCCAATTTCCTGATGCAGCCACAGGGCCCAGCAGCGGCTCAGCCTAGGCCACCGGGTCCAGGCCTCTAGGCAATAGGCCCGGCGCCCCCTCCAAGCACCGTTTCCCGCCGACCCCGCAGTCATCACTGTGAGCTCGAGAGTATGGGCAGCCTGTGGTGCCCTGAGGCGCCGGGCGCTCGGCGCATCCGCCGTGCCCACAGCGCTGAGGACCAACTAGGGCTGCCCTCGGCCAGGGGCACTGTGCCCGTTTGAGTGGCACTCGGACCTGGCGAGGGGTGGAAGCCCAGGTAGAGCTCGCGTCTTTAAGAGCCACCCGACAGAACTGCGCGCTACATCTGCGCCAGCTGGGCTGGGTGGGAACAGCGCAGAAATACTCCCGTGCCGGGGCGTACAGGGCAGGTAGGCCCAGCAGAGAGTCTTCTCGGAAAGTTTCCCACAAAAGAAGGGCCGGGCAGGCCGAGCGGCAGGAAAAGCCGGTGCTCAGCGGCGAGGCCCGAGAGGTCTGGCATCCGGCGGCCTCCCAGCTTTGCTCGGGTCTCCCGCCGCCTCTCTCCAGAGCCGCCCGTAGCTCCGTGGGGCGGAGGGCGCAATGCCCCGCTCTGGTTCCAGCCTTTTTCCTCCCCTTGTCTCCTCTTTCATTCATAAACCTGGTGGCTACAGACGCAGCTTGAATATTGACGTCTCTCCCCCAACTGCTCTGCCGTTAACCCAATTACAGAATTCATCAAGAACTGTGTTGAATTATCTCTTTCCATACAGTATCAGCATTAGCCTAATTAAAAGCTATAATGTCTGATATAATGATTAAATCGTTAGCTCTGCTGTAGGGAAGCAATATTTTGTTTTCCCTTCAATTAGAAGCTGATTGAGGTTTTCAGAGCAGGTCAGCTGTGAAATTTGAATTATATGTGTGAGTACTGCTCACAGGGTGAGCCCCTACTCCAAAGCTCCCAGAGCTTCTCCAAATGCTTTCACCCAGAGAGCTCGGAGGCACACAGCACGCGCGCGTGCGCGCGCGCGCACACACACATACACACACACAGTTGTTTGTTCTTCGATTGTGAATGTGCGGCTCTCCACACGAACCGCCCGAAAGAAAGCCTGGGTCGCTTTTGAGGAGAAGGAGTTTCTTGACCCTTCCCCGCAAACGCTACTGGAACGGCCTCCAAACTAGGACGCCTAGTCAGGCAAAGGAGAGAGCGGTGCGCCGGCACGCAGACAGCTCTGCTGCTATCCCTGATGGCCAGGGCTCTCTTTCCGTTCTCCTTCCACACACCCCCTTTCCCTGGGCTGTTATTATTTTTTTTTCCTCCTTCAAAACCAAACCAAACCACCACCAACAAAAACTTCTGTGCTACTCTGGCTTCTCTGGTTTTGTTTGGGAACAGTGGAACCAAGTTAGCCCGGGCCAGGGCGCAGATGATGGACTCAGAGCGCCCAGGGACCCTAGAGAGAGGAGCACTCCTCAAGAGCCCCCTGGCCATCACCCGAGCGCCCTGGAGCGCCATCACCCGAACGCGCGCTCCAGGCCCTCGAACAAGGCCTCTGGCTGCCAGAGCGAGTGAGGGGCGCAGAGGCGGCAGAGAGCGGAGAGCCCCGGTGTCTCCGCGAGGGCGGCGGCGGCCAGCAGACGGCGATCGAGGCGCGCGCCACGGCACGGCCAGCGCAGACACGCCGCGGGGTCTCGGGCCGGAGCCGTGCAGCCGGGCCCGCTGCCTCTTTGCCCCTCATGGCTCCGCGCGGGAGGAAACCGGGCCTTCTCCGCCCGCCCTCCTCTCGCTGCGGTGTCCCCAGCACCCCCGCCCCGCCCCCGCGCGGTCCCCACCGTCGCGCTCCCCTCCCTCCTCGCCCTCGCTCCGCGCCTCCTGTTGGCAGAGATGGCCTCGAAGGCCTCTTCCAATTTGAATGGCTCTTTCTTCTTCTCTCTCCCGCGCTTTCTTTTCCGCCTTCTCCTCCTCTCCTTCTGACTACTCTTGTCTCTTTCAAAAGCTCCGCCTGGAAACTAGCGGCTTCCTCTTCATCTGCCTCCTTTAACTGTGGCCTCGGCCCTCTGGGGCGACACCAGAGCGCGGAAGCCTGAGCCCCTCGGAGATCCGGGGAGGCACCTACACATGGCCTCAATCCTCCAACCGGCCCCAGAAGCCGTAGGAGCTGAACCCAGGAGGGCAACCGGTTGTGGTGCGGCCACATGTCCCTGGAGAGTGTCAGCAAGACGGGTCGACTTCACCAGGACCACGAAAGACAGGGCAGAGTTTCTGTCTTCTTTCACTGTCCCGTAGAACTCCTAGCTTGTCCATCGTGCTCCTTGCTTGGGACTCGGGACTGACACTGGGCCAGAAAATCCACCTCTAGATGCCTCAAAGCTCGCTTTCATGCTGGGGGGCGGGCGGGAGCGGGGAAGGGGGACAAAAGCTAAAAGTGCTAATTATTCCATACAGACAGTTTAAGCTAATGGTGTTACAGTCCAGCACTCAATTTACTTGAAAGTTGAGGTTTCTTGCATAATGGCTTAACCTATCACATACATACAGGCATATATGTGTGCGTGTAACTTCTAGGGATGGCTTGGTTCTGGATTGGCTTTGAAGATTATGACCACAGGTTACATACAACAATAGAAAGTGTCTTTATCCACATTTCTAAGTTGATCTTCGCTTTGGCATTTTGAGCAAAGAGGCACAATGAAGTTTCTGAGCTGCCAAAAAAGCAAGTTTGGTCAATCAACAGTGACAGTAACCCTGTGCCTGGGGGTCTAGACTTCCTATTACATTACTTGGGAATAGGGAAGTCAGTGTTCAAATCTCCAGGAGTCCAGCCTTTGGGAAAGTACTGGGTTTGAAGGAGGTAACTGCCAACTTGGCTGGAGGTAGAAGGGAGAAGGAGGTGCTTTTCAAACTGGTTTTGGACTGTCTTCTCTCTTCTTAAAGAGTCACTGAGGAAAGAGTTTAGAAGGAGCAAGAAATTGAGGCTTCCAGAAGCCATCGATCACCAGCAGGAGTTAATATTATGCTCGTCAATCCTCATGCCAGGAATGAAGGCACAGAGGTCTAGCATGCAGTGCCCTGTGCTGCCTAATTGGCACTGCCTGCTGCTGCCAATCATTTATCGCTTGGCAACAAGTTACACCTGCAGCTTTGGTTTAATACTTATGCAGGTGGCCACACATAGTGCGTGCAGCCGCTTGGGCCTAGGGAACATCTCGTCACTGAAGAGGGCTTATGGAGAGCACCCTGAACGTTGAGCACTAGTGTGAGCTCACAGGATGCTAAACCATTTTCCTCTTATTTAGATGCTCTGAAAAACAAGGGTAACGTCGTATTTGGAAACAATTTTCGGGACTATGGTAGAAAAAAAGTAGACCATTTCAAAGTCAGCTATCCAAGTTCCCCAAAGCATAAAGCATTCCTGCAAAGCACACTGGAGTGCAGGGTGTTTATAAAATAAATTGCTCCATTGATATGGAAAATAATGTGCCAAGCCTGATTCATACAAAGCATTTTCAGGGAGTCTTAAGCTATTTAGTTTAAACTCTAAATTGAAAAGCAGAGGAAAGAAATCTTTCAACTGCTAAGTGGATAATATAGTTTATAATTTGTAAACCATTTCCTTTATTTCAGTCTTGCTGACTTTCCATAACACACTGGATCTCACTGCACACCCATTGCCTCCTAAATTATCAAAGAAAAAAATGGGGCTATAGCATTCCCAAACAATATTATTGCTCCTTTTTTGTTCATTCACAATGTAACTGATATTTGTAGGTAGTGCATGTAACAAATCAAAAGATTTAACAAACTCGACTGGTGAAATAAGAAGGTAGTTGGAAGCCCAGTTTATAACCTAGATATTTAGTGAAAAAATAAATATAAAATGATGTTCCCTTTCTAATATAATTATATATTACTTGATGGATTTACTAGTAAATGCTGAATGGCCTGGAATGAAAGCAGTTTAATCTGCAGAGAGATCAATTTGCTGTTGCACTTCACACTGTAGCAACCCTGCAATAATAAAACAAACCCTACAGTAATAATCATAGCAATTGAGAGGAAATAAAGCATTATTCTTTTACCTTGGACAAGCAACAGGGTCAAGAAATTCACAACCTCAGAAGTTTTTTTAAGAGGAAAAAAAAGGTGTCACGTGTTCGCTGCCCAACAGACTCAAACATCCTATTACTCCTATTACCGTTATCATCATCTTTACTGAATATTCCTACTACAAGACAGGCAGACATGTGACATGCGGTGAAGGTTCTACTTTACCCACCACCAATCTCCACAAGCACTCTCATCTCAGGGTGCCTCGGGGAGGGCAGAGGAGGAATACTTGGGCTCAAAAGTCGTCTTTGGACCACTTTCAGATCAGTCTGGTGGAAACGGTAGTGTGAGCGCTATGCTACTTGAGACTGCGTTTGAAAATCTCTTTCACGTTCCCAAATCAAAGCCACTTTGAGGTTTAAGAATGATAACCACAGGTGAATGCCTTACTCTTTCCACGAGCCAGGCCTTTCCTTTGCATGACGCAGACCGGCGGCTGAGACCCGTCCTGAGGCCCCGCCTTTCATTCGGTTTATGTGGCCCCGCGCAGTTCACGCAGTTTTCTCCGTTCTTAGGCAACCAGCTCGTGGGAAATTCACTCCAGAAAAGCGTGCGCCATATCATTATTTTGCGATTCAACAAACTTTTTCAACTGTTGTTCAGGAACTAGATTCCAGATAGATCTTGTTGTGTTCGGCCTTCCTAGAAATTCCTTTTCCAGAGGAAGAAGATCCGGGTTGGGAAGAGTGCGTGACTATGGCCCCGGGCTCATTGAAAGACTCCTCCCCACAAAAGTTTAGGGCTGATACTAAACGAAGCTATGGAGCCATGCCCACACAAATACTCCCCCTTTACCCGAATTGTGGGGCCTGGACTGTGAAGGCCTTCGCTGCAAGAGCGGGCACTGGCGAACTTCAGTGCACGCCGCGGCCGAGAACGGATGCAGGGCGGGGGATGGCTGAGCCGCCTGATCCTTGCAGAGAACCTGCAGGGGCCCTCGGAGGGTATCCCCTGCGTCCAAGGGAGCGCCCCTCCTTTTCAGCACTCGGGGGAACTGAGGGCGACGTGCCAGCCCCGCACTCAACTTTCCCCTTCCCTGCAGGCACAGAGTTGGCCGGCGGGGGCAGAGGAGGAGCTGGGTCTCCACTGCGCCCGTTTAAACCTGGCCAGGGGCTGCGTTTCCTCCCCCCACCCCACGACGATCCTTTCTTAGTCTTCGCTTTTCAACCCAATCGTTAATCATTCGGAACGCGCGGGCGGGGAGCGGCGAGGAGGGCGAGCTCGGGGTTCGCCGCCGCCGCCGCCGCCGCGCGCGCGCGCTCAGGAAGCGGTGTGGCTGTCACCCCCTCCCGGGCCTCCTCCCCCCTCCTTCCTGCTTTGCTCCCCCTCCTTCCTCCCCTCCTCCCCGCTCCGCCGCCCGCGCCCAGTGTATCTACTCCCTCCCCACGTCACTCGCCAGCGCGCCATGCAAATCACCGCCGCCGCCGGCTCCCATTGGCCGCGGCGCGCTCATTTAATGGCAGCCCGGGCCCGGCGTATGGCTGCTGGGCCCCGCGCGCCGCCGGCCCCGCGTGCGCCTCCGCTCCGAGCGCACGGCCCCGGGCAGGCAGCGGGCAGCCCATCCCGGGCTCGGCGGCCCCGGCTCTCCGGCCCTCTCCGCGAGCCCGCGCTCCTCCCGCTGTCCCCGGGCCCCTCCCTGGCTGCACCGTAATCGCCCCCTGCAGGCCCCCCTGCGCCTCCCCCCCCCCGCCACTGGCGCCTGGCTTCCCCCGGGCACCTGGGACCAGCACATGCCCAGCGCACGCGGCGCGCCGCCCTGCTAGAAGTTGCAGCCTCCGAGTTGGAGGCCGCTGAGGACCGAGCGCAGGAGGAAGGAGACAGCGCGCAGCGGCGGCCGGCGAGGAGACAGCACACCCCGGGCCGGGCCCAGCGCACCGCTCCCGGCCCCAAAAGCGGAGCTGCAACTTGGCCACGACTGCACCTGTTTGCACCGCTCCGCCGAGGGCGCCTGGGCTGCGGTGGCGGCGAAGACGGCGACCCCGACCGTCGGCCTCTTTGGCAAGTGGTTTGTGCATCAGGAGAAACTTTCCACCTGCGAGCCGAACCGGCGCCGAGTGCGTGTGTTTCTGCCTTTTTTTGTTGTCGTTGCCTCCACCCCTCCCCATTCTTCTCTCCGCTAGGACCCCCCCGCCCCCGTCTCACTCCGTCTGAATTCCTCTCCGTCTCCCTCCCACCCCGGCCGTCTATGCTCCAGGCCCTCTCCTCGCGGTGCCGGTGAACCCGCCAGCCGCCCCGATGTACAGCATGATGATGGAGACCGACCTGCACTCGCCCGGCGGCGCCCAGGCCCCCACGAACCTCTCGGGCCCCGCCGGGGCGGGCGGCGGCGGGGGCGGAGGCGGGGGCGGCGGCGGCGGCGGGGGCGCCAAGGCCAACCAGGACCGGGTCAAACGGCCCATGAACGCCTTCATGGTGTGGTCCCGCGGGCAGCGGCGCAAGATGGCCCAGGAGAACCCCAAGATGCACAACTCGGAGATCAGCAAGCGCCTGGGGGCCGAGTGGAAGGTCATGTCCGAGGCCGAGAAGCGGCCGTTCATCGACGAGGCCAAGCGGCTGCGCGCGCTGCACATGAAGGAGCACCCGGATTACAAGTACCGGCCGCGCCGCAAGACCAAGACGCTGCTCAAGAAGGACAAGTACTCGCTGGCCGGCGGGCTCCTGGCGGCCGGCGCGGGTGGCGGCGGCGCGGCTGTGGCCATGGGCGTGGGCGTGGGCGTGGGCGCGGCGGCCGTGGGCCAGCGCCTGGAGAGCCCAGGCGGCGCGGCGGGCGGCGGCTACGCGCACGTCAACGGCTGGGCCAACGGCGCCTACCCCGGCTCGGTGGCGGCGGCGGCGGCGGCCGCGGCCATGATGCAGGAGGCGCAGCTGGCCTACGGGCAGCACCCGGGCGCGGGCGGCGCGCACCCGCACGCGCACCCCGCGCACCCGCACCCGCACCACCCGCACGCGCACCCGCACAACCCGCAGCCCATGCACCGCTACGACATGGGCGCGCTGCAGTACAGCCCCATCTCCAACTCGCAGGGCTACATGAGCGCGTCGCCCTCGGGCTACGGCGGCCTCCCCTACGGCGCCGCGGCCGCCGCCGCCGCCGCTGCGGGCGGCGCGCACCAGAACTCGGCCGTGGCGGCGGCGGCGGCGGCGGCGGCCGCGTCGTCGGGCGCCCTGGGCGCGCTGGGCTCTCTGGTGAAGTCGGAGCCCAGCGGCAGCCCGCCCGCCCCAGCGCACTCGCGGGCGCCGTGCCCCGGGGACCTGCGCGAGATGATCAGCATGTACTTGCCCGCCGGCGAGGGGGGCGACCCGGCGGCGGCAGCAGCGGCCGCGGCGCAGAGCCGGCTGCACTCGCTGCCGCAGCACTACCAGGGCGCGGGCGCGGGCGTGAACGGCACGGTGCCCCTGACGCACATCTAGCGCCTTCGGGACGCCGGGGACTCTGCGGCGGCGACCCACGAGCTCGCGGCCCGCGCCCGGCTCCCGCCCCGCCCCGGCGCGGCGTGGCTTTTGTACAGACGTTCCCACATTCTTGTCAAAAGGAAAATACTGGAGACGAACGCCGGGTGACGCGTGTCCCCCACTCACCTTCCCCGGAGACCCTGGCGACCGCCGGGCGCTGACACCAGACTTGGGTTTTAGACTGAACTTCGGTGTTTTCTTGAGACTTTTTGTACAGTATTTATCACCTACGGAGGAAGCGGAAAGCGTTTTCTTTGCTCGAGGGGACAAAAAAGTCAAAACGAGGCGAGAGGCGAAGCCCACTTTTGTATACCGGCCGGCGCGCTCACTTTCCTCCGCGTTGCTTCCGGACGGCGCCGACCGCCGGAGCCCAAGTGACGCGGAGCTCGTCGCATTTGTTATAAATGTAGTAAGGCAGGTCCAAGCACTTACAAGTTTTTTGTAGTTGTTACCGCTCTTTTGGGTTGGTTTGTTAATTTATACAAAGAGATTACCACCACCACCCCCTCCTTCAGACGGCGGAGTTATATTCTGGGTTTTGTAAAACTTTATGTATCTGAGCATTTCCATTTTTTTTTTTGGGTTTTGTATTATTTCTTGTAAATGCATTGTGAAAAATTTTATTTTCGGCGTTGCAATGCGGGGAGGAGAAGTCAGATTATGTACATAGTTTTCTAAAAAGCCTTTCTTCTAAAAACGAAAAAAGACCCCCCACCCAAAATGTTTCGAGTCAACAAATTTAAGAGACAGAGCCCATTTTCTCCATAAATTTGTAACATGCTATTTTTATGTGCATGTTTTATGAGTTCAAAATGCAATGAGGAAATCTGACAGGGAAATTATCTGTATGAACTAAAAGTAAGGGAACCCCGGGGAATGGGAGGACAGGATTTTTCAAGGAACCTTTTTCAATGAAAGAGAAGGAAGTTAAAACCTATAGGTTATTTTGTAGAGCTGAGTGTTAATACGGGCCGAGAAATAAAAGTATCTTCTGCTCCGGCTGTTTCACTGCGGACGGCTGGGGCTGCTGCGCGTTACCTTGCTGCAAGCGGGGCGCCTTCCACCTGGCTGGGGGTCTGCGCCACAGTTTGGTCCAGAGGAGGGAGGAGGAAGGGAAGACCCCAGTGGTGGGACCCTGGACCAGGCCATGGATGAAGGACAAAGACCAGGGCAGGTCACGGGTTTCCCAATTCCCCAGCAATTAAGATTTCGAGCAGAATTTATCTAAATGTGTTTCAAGGAAACACAATCGCTGAACCAAAACGTACTGCAGCCGAGCCCCCTCCGTCCATCCTCTGCCCCTCCCCCTGGCTTCTTTCTCTTGGGAAAACGGGCAAAATAATTGTGCTGGATTCTCACACACACAGAAATATCGACCATCACCCTCCCCCGCGTGAACTGGGATGCAAGTTGCTAACCGATGTGAACGCAAAATGCCTTGTTCATTATTCCTGACGAGATCTTGAGGTTGTTTGATGCTTTAAATTTTTTAATTATATTATTTTCTAGGTGTTTATTGGTACATTGCAGTTTTTTTTTTGAAATTTAAAAATTTCTGTAAAACTTTGTCTTCAAGTAATCTGACAGCATTAAATATTGCATTTAAAAATTATACTGTAGCAAATACATTTAAAAATTAATCACAACGTTAAGATGAAATTATATTTTTGGAAAAAAAAAACACTTGAAGCCCAGATGGAAATACGTTTATTTCAGCAGCCTTAGGTTTCCCCTCGCTTTCTCAACACCCTTCCTTGTCCTGGAGTATGGACTGTCCGTCCAAAAGTGAGCCTATGCTATAAGTTTAATGAGAACCGAATTCAGCCTGCATTCGAGAATAGCTTTAAGTATAATGCTGATCTGACAATTGACGTGTAATTTGGGAAGTCATTTTGATAATTTTGCTTAAACCACTCATTCGTTAAAGTGATTACAAAAAAGTTCAAGAATGATGTCCACTGCTTTCTAACAAGATAATAAACCCCCCCCCTCTTTTCTTTTTCTTTATTTTTATTTCTTTTAGCTATTTGATCCTTTCTGAAGCAGTTGTTTCTGGAAGAGTCTGTGCGCCCATGGATGGCTGAGCACCACTACGACTTAGTCCGGGATAAGGGCCTCCCCAGTCCTCTCCGGGAGATGATTTGGGAAATTTTATAATGCTTGTTCTGTTAACTCACCGGGACCTTGAGGGTCCAATGGGACCTTGAGGGTTTTCTCTGAAATATACAAACTTAAAGGACTCTCTCTGAGGTTCTTTGACTGACGTCCACTCTCAGTCTGGCCCCTGTGCTCCCCTGTGTGTACCCTGGAGTTTCTGTGTCCAATTGTTGGCATCTAGGTCTTGGCTCAAGATTAGGATGTGGGCCCCACTTTAGAGGCACAGACTATGAAAAGCTGAGTTAGTGCGCCCGGGACGCCAGGCAAGCAGCTTTTACAGTTTGGCATCTTATTGCAGGTGCTTCGTGCACAGTCAGCTGAAATAGCCAATGCCAGGTGCTCCAACCACCTTATTTCCTTGTTTTGTTGATTAGAACAACACAGAAAAAAGCAAATATAAATTTTTAATGACTCCATTTAAAAATATCACAGGGTGGGGGCAAGGAAATTAGCTGAGATTCATCTCAGGATTGAGATTCTATCCCCCCTTCCCCGCCCCCAGCAGTGTCGCTCCAATTCAAATTAGTGGAGAAAAGATTACAGTAGGCCCTGAGCCGACTGTGAATTCGGTGCTTGGCCAAGGTAACACTCATCGTATTCACGGAGTGAAATACTATATGATGATAGTTATTATATTATATGACGACTTCATTCACTTCCCAAATCACAGGGTGGTGCTTCTGTCGCTTAGTCCAATTATGTTTGCAACCCGTGTAGGGAAGGCGGATAGGAGTCTTTGAGGCCTAGTGCAAAGTTTGCATCAGTTTCTGCGGGGGCGACAGTGTGACTTCGTAAATCTGCCATTGCGCTCGGGCCCTGCCCTCCAAACTGAGGGTAGGAGGGTTTACTTGAGGGTTTTTTTGCTTTGTTTTGTTCTGTTTTTGCCTTGTTTTGTTTTTCAACTCACCCGCCCCTTTTGTTGTTGAGATTTTGACGTCCCCTTCCCCGGAGAAACCCACCCGTAACGTACTAGATGGATTAGTTTTAAAGAAGACTCGGGCACAGCGTGATCTCCAGATGCGCGTCGGGAGCGTGACTGATAGGTCTATTAAAATCACGCGTGTGGGAGAACGGCACTCATGCTCCCGCGTTTCATTCCCCCGGCAAAGACTGGGCGCCGCAGATTTCTGTCTCCGGAAAATTCCAGTTAATTCAAGAAACCCATCCCCGGACGTGTGCCCGCCCCCCCCCGAAGGCTCGCTTCAGGCCAGCCCGGACTCCAGCGCCCCCTCGACCCCGTCGGGCTCCGGCCGACTCCCGCCCCCTCCCCACCCACGCTCGGCCTGGGCCCGGGGGCAGCGGCTCCAGAGGCGTCGGCGGCAGAATTTAACCCCCGGTCTGAGTCCTTGGAAACTTCAAGTGAAAAGCAGACTTGGCCTTGGCGCGGCTCTCTTTCCAGCGTGACTATCTGGCGAGACTGAAAGGCCAGGCCAGATGGGGAAAAGTGAGCGGGGTGCGGGCCCCCAGTATCCGGCGGGGTGGGGCGGCGTCAGGACGGAGCGAGGGCCGGCGGGGGGGCTCGCGTGGAGGCCCAGGCCGGGAGGTGGGGACGCAGGGACCCCTCACCCAGTCCTCTGCTCCCGCCCGAGCCAGGCCTCGGGATCACCTCCCCTTGCCTGAGGGCGAGCTCTCCTCCTCCCTCTTCCTCCCCGCCTCCCCCGTTCTTCCCTCCCTCTCTCCCTCCTCCCTCCCCGGCCCTTCCTCTCCAGCTGCGCGCCCGCCGGGACCACGCTCCTCCCGCCCCCGGGAGCCGAGCGGCGTCTGCGGCTGGTCCGGACGTGTCCCCTCCGGGCGGGGGTGGCCGGGCCTCCTCGGGGCCTCGGGCCTCCCGGGCGCACCCCCCTGCCTGCGCCTCTCCAAGTCGCCCTTTCTCCGGCTCTGCCCGCGGCTGAGCCCCGCACACCGCGCCGCTGTCCTTGGGGTCCCGGCACACGGCGTTCCCTCCCCGCCCCCGCCATCCACTCCCACCGCCTCTCCAGTCCCTGTGCCGTCTCCACCGCCCTCTGACTCCCGCACCGAGCTGCGTCTCCGCCGCCGGCCTCTCTCAGCGCGGCCCGGCCTCCTCTTTGTCTTTGAAGCTCCCCCGCCGAGGCCCGCGCGCGGCTCCCCTCTCCGTCCCTCTCCGGCCCTTGGGCGCCCAGTCGGAGGTCGGGGCGGGATGGGGCACGAGTCTCGGGGCGGCCCGCGCTCCCCCTACTAGTCCCCTCATTGCCTCGGCCCCGTCCCCGCAGCCTCGGGGCGGGAGGGCGCAGGGGTCCCCGGGCGCCCTGGGAGCCCATCTCCCTCAGGTCCGCGCCGGTGTCAGCCGCCGGCGGGGGGCGGGTGGAGATTAAGATGAGTGCTGCGAGGGACGGGGCCGAGGGTTTTGTGTAGAAGGAGAGCAGGATTAGTGGAGAGAAAGTGCTGACCCGGGGTCAGCCGCAAGTCAAACCCTTTTACACTCAGCCGGCGGAACGAGCACGGCTCGGGCCGGACGGCAACAAGTGGGCGCGAAGGGAGGGGGAGGGGAGGCCGGGTACCGGCCGGGTCCGGCGTGAGAGAGGGGAGGGGGAGGGGACGCGGCCACAGCGCCCCAGGGCCTCAGCGTCATCGGGGACGGGCGCCGAGGGGAGCGCGCACCAGCGACCCGGGCGCGGACTGGGGCCTGCAGGGCGTGACTGGCTGCCCCCCAGGACTCCATCTCCTTCATAAACACCTGCCTTTTCCATTCCCCGGGGCCGCTTCGGCTGCTCCTCTGGAGGGAAGACTGGGGAGAAGGTTGCCTGCGCTCTCTGCCCCAGAGGCTCTGTTTTAGAAACTGTTTCTTAATTTCCATAAGAAACAAAAAAATCACAGGAAGGCCTGGTTCCTCTCCCGGACGACTGCGTCCCCAGGCTCTCCAGGAATCTTCGCCTTATCCGAGCTTCTTCGCAGCCCTGGATCTATTTCTGGGGGGCGTGTGTGACGCAGAATCGGGGTATAAAATATCAATGCTGTTTGTCACGACACCGCTTTCTCCACCCGGGCAGAGCTGCGGCTCCCGGGCGTTGCGCGTGGCGTTTTTCATCACGGAGGGAAAGCCGCGGCTCCGCGGGAAAGGAGTGAAAACCGAGTGTGGGTGAAGAGGAGAGGGAGGTCAGGGGGCAAGGGAAGAAAGCAGATAAATGCATCTTCCCTAGCAGCCAAGCTGGAAATTTGTGCTGAAAGTACAACAGCAAGAGTTTTCACATGAAAAACACGTGAAGAACCCGAGCAAGTGATAGATCCAAAGACGGAAAATGATCGTCTATTTTGATAGTAAAAATAAAAAGAACAGAATTGACATATTTTCGTCTAAATTACTTTTCATCTGCCGATATGAAACACCAACACTCAAACAAAAACAAAGGACAAAGCAGTTTTTAAAAACAACACAAAACAAGCAACTCTGAGTGAATGACCTGTCCACAGCTTACCCTGGGTGACATGGGGGCGCTGTGATGGAAAATGGGTTCTGGGTTCAAAATCAAGCCACAGAACGCTGCCTGGCGAGTTGCTAAGTGTGACTTGTGGGGAAATCGTGTCTGCGGCAGAAACACTGGACCTTGTGAGTAATTCCCGATGCCCGGTAGGCAGCTGGCGAGGCTGTAATTGCCCTCGGCCACTTCAGAGCAACCATGTGGGTGCATTGAAGACGTTGTTTGTGGAGAGCAGCAGGTCATCACATGCAAAGCCCTGAAATAGTCAGCCAGTCAAATCAGTGGAAAAAATCCGCTTTTGTTAGATTTTGCAGTTTCAGGAATTAGGCATTCACTGCAGAGCTGCAGTTTTGAGAAATTGCAATGTCAGGCATGTTCCCAATGGGGAAATATTGTGAGTGTGGAGGAACGTGAGATGGGGTTTGACAATGGGGAGACTGACAAGAGTCATCACCCAGACATTGTTTTCTCTCTGAGCACCCCGGAAATGCTAACGAGAGATGATATTTAGTGGCAGCAATAGCACTCTGCGCTAGTCCTATGCACTCCTAAGACACAGAAACGAGTCTCGGGCAGCTAAGGAACTGACCTGGGATTTCCCAGGTCAGGATGGGTCCCTGGAATTTGCAGGGCAGAGGTGCCTTCTAGGTACCTAGAACCTAGAAACATTAGACTAGTGGTGTCAGGATCAACCTGAAAAAATTCAAAGCAGAGGCCAACGTATCATTTTCGTTCTAAGTAACAGAACAGAAGGAAAGCCAGGTGAGCAATATTTTAACCTCAGAAAGGGTTTAGCAACCCCGTGTTTTAGGTAATTCAAACTCCAGTGGGACATTTCAGTAAGTGGAAAAGCCTGAACTTCAGTGGTGAGAGTGTCCAGGTAGATGGAGAAGCAGAAGCCAGCTCTTTATGTTAGAAATTGAACTGAAGAATGAAGTTTCCTTGTAAAAACTGGCCGTTTTCACCGTGTCATGCAGGCCAGAGATTAGCTCTGTGTCCTTGGGCAAATGTCCTTACCTCTGAGTCCATTTCCTCAGATGTAAAGCAGAAATTACAAAACCAGCTTCCCAGGGATGCATCATCTAAGGTGCATGCAGGGCCCAGCAAATAGGAAGCACTCGCTCCAGAATCATCTGGAGTGGAAGCCCGTGTGAGCTCAGGGCACGTCCAATGGACAATTGGGACATTAAGTGCCAGATCTGCCCTCGGCAGGAAACAATGGAAATGATACAAACCACAGTCTTTCCATGTATCCATATTAATAGTGATTTCTCTGTAAAGTTGCTTGACAGTTACGACATTCGTTCTTTCATCTGTTCAACAAGCATTTATTACAAGTTTGTTACGTGTTCAAGTTGAGTATGAACACATGCTATGTATGCAACCTGTGTCCAGGTGCTGAGGATGCAAAGATCAACCCGACAGGGCTCACCATCTGGTGGGTGAGACTGATGATCACACAGGCAAGTATGATGTCGAGGGTTATGGGTGTGGGACACAGGCCCATGCCAGATGCTCAGGTAGGGTGCTCTGGCCCAGTGTATGAGAACCGAGGAAGGTTTTGCAGAGGAGGTACACCCACGGTGGAGCCTGTGACTTCCTGGTGCTCCAATAAATACTCCCTCAGGTGGCCTTCCCATGAGATGTGCATGTTGGATGTTCTTTATCAGTAGATACAGATTGCAATGTAAATTTGAACAGAGTGTATGTGATAGTTGCTTTGTTTTTTAATGAATGATTGCTTCGGATTGGTCTTGGTGGTCAAAGATTGAAACTCAGAGGTTTGCAAGGGCAATGGTCTTTCAGCATCAAGGTGCATGGGATCACTAGGAGAGCTGGCTCCAAATTCAGGTTCTCAGACCCAGTGCCGCTGGTAGGCTGCTTCTGGGGCTCCAGCGGGCCTCAAGGATCTGCCCTTTCTTAGACACACTTGGGGGAGATTTTGAGGCCAGTCCTGGATGACACTTGGGAAACCCGTGTTAGGAGATGGGCCTATTTTTTTTTTTATGGTAAGTAGCTACTAAGACTACATCATTTAAATTTGAGTAGCTATTTATTATTTATAAAGTGCTCTTACTTAATTGTTCAATTGAGATGATTTTTGAAAAAAATTAAATTAGTGGAAGACTAAAAAAAATTTTTGAGCTGAATTATTAGAATCTTCCTAATAGAAAAGACTGATGTACTGATTTTAGTTCCATTTTCCTACGGGTTGTGTTAGCTGCCTGTAAATACATCCTAACTCTCCTGAAGTGCAGTCAGTGTGGAACAAGGGAAGCAGAAACCACATGTGATCTTTGATTTAAAGAAAGGTTGATTAAAAGGACTACACACAGTCATGGATTGTGTCTCATCAATTTCTAATTGTAACAAACTAATTTGTATGTAAGTAGACTGGCTCTGTGCAATCCTTATGAATACAATATAGGCCAAAACACTCATGTTGTTGAGGGTTATTTTAAGGACCTTTGAAATGTCAGAGAAGGGCCATGTAATAGTGCCGCAACAGGGTTGAACTGCCTCTGTCCAATAGATCATAACTATAATAATAATGATGATATGGTATGTAGCTACTGAATTTCTCGATAGTATCATCTGTAAAATGGGAAGATCTTATTAGAAAGGCTTGATAGAATAAGTACTTCAGATTTCTTTGAGACAAAGGGGTTATGCAAATAGAAGGGGCTAAACAGAATAAATTATTGTGTATCAACAGTATTTTATCTACAAAGCATTTAATTTGGCATTATGGATGTTACCATACTGCTGCTCATAATGAAGAGAGCATTCATTATATTTCTAGATAGAGATACAGATTAGGGGATGGTTGTGGAGGAACTCATTCTCTGTTTGAATAGCATGTAAGAAAAATAAATTTTAAATAAGAGAATTTTACAAATATTTTAAAATTTAAAATGTTTATTTAGAAGAGATATATTTTAGTTTTTCAAACTGAGAATAATGCTTTAAATATGTTCTTAATTTTAAAATACTGACCGTGAAATTTGGATAACAAACCAAGTTATTTACTTACTTGGGAATTATATAAAATTATTGAAATGTTTTAACCAACACTTTATTATTTGAAAATGAATATATCACCTGTAGCAACTATTTGCAGAAAAATAAAATTATATTTAAAATCACAGCTCAAATTAAATCATGCAATTGCATTAAGATATAATAAAAGCAAAATGGATCATTTTAAATCAATCTATAAACTAAAAGCTCAATACCAATTTGAATAACATGTTTTTACTTAATTTGAGCCAATTCTGATGATATTAAATTAGGTTTGAGAAAAACAGAACATTTGCAATAACATTTTAAGGTGATTTCATCACTTGAGAATTTTTTTCAAAACTTAACCAAAGAAGGGCCAAGGCCCCATGCCTGCCCCTGCAGCCCCTGCCGCAGCGAGTCCTCCTCCACTGGGTGAGTGAAGCCTTCCCCCCTGTGGAATGTGTCCTGAGGCAGCGGTGCTCCTGGGTAGAAGCACATGGAGGCAGGTCCCCCCCTCATCACCTGGCCTCCCCAGGCACAGCAACTGTGTCTGGCTAGACTTTTAAAGTTTTTATTTCCAGAATCAGCACAGCCCTGGGCACATAGCAGAGGGGCAATAAATATTTACTGAGTTTAATTCAGTACAGCAGGGCAGACGCAGGGATCCCAGAGCCAACACAGGGAAAGGCTGGCCCGTGTCGGCCCAGGGAGTCCCTCTGTCCCTGTGGACATGGGACCAGCCTGTCCTCATGAGGGGGCCGTGGACCCCAAAGGCTCTGTCACAGAACACCAGGAACGTCAGTCATTGCCCAGCTGAGGCTGCTGTTGCTGTGGTTATTAAGAGACAGAAAGCGCAGTCCGGCGCCCAGAGATGAGGGGCTGGAAAAGCCGGGGAGATAAGCAGCCTGCTCCCGCTGCATGGCGGGGCGTGGGCCCCTGCTCAGGTGCAGGAGAGCTGGGGAGGGTGCCTGAGCTGCTGCGGGAGGAAGCCACAGGGCGGGGCGGGGGTCTGTGTGAGGCCAACACTGGACCTGGGACTGCGGGCCAGGGAGCCCGCTTTCCAGCCCTGAATTCCCCGGGACCTGCTGCATAATTCCCCACGTAGTTTGGTGCAAGGAATGCTTGTAGGTTGTGCTGTTGTGTTGTATTGTGCTGTGCTGTTTTGTTGTATTGTATTGTTACACTATGTTGCGTTGTACTGTGCTGTGCTGTATTGTGTTATGCTGTTTGGTTCTGTTGTGTTGTGCTGTATTGCGCTGTGTGTTGTGTTGTGTTGTGTTGTGCTGTATTGTGCTGTGCTGTGCTGTGTTGTGTGCTGTGTATTGTGCTGTGCTGTGTGTTGTGCTGTGCTGATGTGCTGTGTGCTGTGCTGTGTGTTGTGTTGTCTGTGTGTTGTGTGCTGTGTGCTATGTGTTGTGTTGTGCTGTGTGTTATATTGTGCTGTGCTGTGTTGTGCTGTGTGCTGTGTGTTGTGTTGTACTGTGTGTTGTGTTGTGTTATGCTGTGTTGTGTGTTATGTTATATTGTGCTGTGTGCTGTGTGTTGTGTTGTACTGTGTGTTGTGGTGTTGTGTTGTGCTGTGCTGTGTGTTGTGTTGTGTTGTACTGTGTGTTGTGTTATGCTGTGTTGTGTTATGTTAATTGTGCTGTAGTGTGCTGTGTGTTGTGTTGTACTGTGTGTTGTGTTGTGTTGTGCTGTGCTGTGCTGTGTTGGGTCCTATTATATTAAGATAAGGTGCACAGGGCTAGTTCAGGCACACAGAAAGAGCAGGCCAGGCAGGGAACAGGCAGCCCCACTCCCTCCCCCAGACTGAAACCAGAACTGTGAGGGACCCTGCTGGGCCACACTCTGGCTTTGTCATGGAGCCATTAGGAGGCCTCTGCGGGGCACACCATGAGACAGAATCTTGACGTAGAAATAGGCCCACAGCTAGTCCCACCTGCTCTGCCTCCGGGGCCGGGTTATGATTCCACTTTGTGCCAACCCTTGCTGCAGTGTGGATTTGACTGTGTTACTTGCTTGGATATTTGAAATATACAAACCTAGGAATTTATTTTTGATAATCAGAATGATTGGTGTCAGCACAGTGCAAAAGCAGCAAAAATAGATAATGTTATATCAATTATGTCACCCTTCCCTGGTGACAGGGTGGTGCCTCGGGACCCACCTCAACCTGGTCCGTGATGCCTGTGGTTTCTCAAACTGTGAGCCAAGGAACCCCAGAGCCCCACAAGCTCAGCATAGCTTTAAATTCTGAGGGAAACAGCAACGCCGGCCACTTCCCAGGCCCTGTGAGCTAGCTGGAGGCAGTTTTAGACTTCACTTCCCAGGCCCTGTGAGCTAGCTGGAGGCAGTTTTAGACTTCTCTTCCCAGGCCCTGTGAGCTAGCTGGAGGCAGCTTTAGACTCCCAGGGTGAACTTGCAGCTACACTCCCTGGATGACATCATATCTTTGTGAAACTGGGTTCTTGGCAGTTGCTGTGTCAAAAGCAATTCCTGTGGGAAAAGTGCAGACCAGGAAATGCAGGGTTGGGCGGAACCAGAGGCAAGGCTGGAGAGGCCGTGCGGCTCAAGACAGGCACGTGCAGACCACCAGTATGCAAGGCTGGTGTGCAAGAAGTGAGGTGAAAATAGTATTCTTTATTTCAGTCTATATGTGTCACTTTAAAAAATGACTGCTACGTTATTAGAACAGAAATATATATGAAGTTGTTTGAAGTTAACTATTTAACAAACAGAATAGTTAGGCATTTCAGCTTGGGGCACTGTAAAAAATCCCTGGGGGTGCTAAGGGTGTTATGAAAACCTATACTATTCAAATTGATATCAAACTTGTAGCCAACAGATTGATGTAAAATTATCTATTTTTGCCTACATTTTGTGTTTATGCAATTATACCATTTAATTGAAGCTGTGGTTTTGAATACAATTTTAGCTTTTTGCAAATAGTTGCTACAGGTGATGTGTTCATTTTTGAATAATAAAGTGTTGGCTTAATTATTTTAAGAATTTTATATAATTTTCCTTCGTGTGGATAATTTGCTTTGTTATCCATATTTCATAGTCGGTATTTTAGAATTGAGACTACATTTCTAGTAGTATTCTCAGTTTAAAGGCTGAAATAAATTTTTTTTTTTAATGAGCAAGAAAGCTTTTACGTTAACATCTTACTCAGATTAACATAACCAAATTTAAATCTATGCAAGTCAGACAGAATTAGAGATGGCAGAATGCTAGCATGTGCGCTCACGTGCTGAAGAACTTCTAAACCGTGTCCATCAGCTTGTCGCCTATTTTGGTCACAGATGCTCCCCATGCCAGGATTTCTACGAACTTTCTAAAGAAGATGCTTAGTCTAATAGTTTTGACCATCAGCAAAACTGCTCTAAGAGTTACCCTAGATTCTACCTTTCTATTTCATTAACTCTCCTAGAAACAATTCTGTTCCAGTACATTCTTTCTTTCTTTCTGGGTTCAGAGTTCTCTTCTCTCTAGGAAAACCATCAGGTTACACAGTGTTTGTAGTTCCGAACGTCACGGGCGGTTATGAGGGACAGTTGATGTGTCCCACCAGCAGCAAGACTGTGAATTGTACATGACGGTGACAGAAATGACCAGTCCAGTCCATGTGCAAAGGCAGGAGTTTACAAAGTAAAGGGGTCAGTACTAATTGATCACTGGCACCCTGAAACCACAACTTTTCATTCACCTTTTTATTTTTTTGAATAATTATTTTATCTTATATGTTCATCAAATATATATGTATCTGGGGAAAATGCTCCCTTTGAAAATGATAACTTTTAGTTATACATGTTAAACTACTTTTTTGAGACAGGATGTTGCTCTGTTGCTCAGGCTGGAGTGTAGTGACACCGTAACTGCTCACTGCAGCCTCTGGGGCCCAAGTGGTCCTCCCACCTCAGCCTCCTGAGTGGCTGGGACCACAGGCACACACCACCATGCCCGGCTAACTTTAAAAAAAGTTTTTTTTGTTTTGGCTGTTTTTTGTTGTTTTTGTTTGTTTGTTTGTTTGTTGTTTTTTTTTTTTTTTTTGTAGAACAATGTCTCTCTATGTTGCCCAGGCTGGTCTTGAACTCCTGGGCTCAAGTGATCCCCCTACCTCAGCCTCAAAATGTGCTGAGATTACAGGCGTGAGCCACCGCATGTGGCCAAAGGCATTCTATTATTTTAAAATTTACTTTCTTATTTTTTTCTTGTTGAGTAAAATTGAGAAAGACTGAGGAAAATATGGGGCAGCAGTGAGAGAAGGAAGTGAACGAGAGCAAGAAGGTGATTTACATTTTAGCCAGTATTTCACTGGACCCCAATTTGAGCAAAAAATGAAAGACATCAGGCTTCCTTACCTGTTGTTACCCATGCTCAGTGAAAAGGCATAAAAATAACCTTCGACAACCTTATGCCTATTGAAGTCAGAACCCTGTAGTGTAGTCATTTAATTGCATTTGTATTAGATGTGATTAAATATTTTAGTTGTATGTATTCATCACAATGACTGGACGTTAGAAATAAATAATTCAGGCCAAGAAATACATGGAACGTTAAGGAAGTTATTAGAAGCAAGGGATTACCTACAAGCTAGAAGTGAATCCAAAGCAGGGTCAGAGATGGGTCACATTGGAAAGACCAAATGTTAGAAAGACAAGGAGATTTTGGTGATGAGGCCACCCTATCCAGAGAGATGCTGCTGCAGAGTTGATCAGGGCTGGAAAGCATGGATCAAAGATGAAGAGCAAGTGTTAACAGCCTCTCCTTATGCTTTCAAAGGATTATTTTAGGAGGATTAAGTTAGGAGACTTTAACCTTCCCATGTGTACTAAATGGGGCCTCACTGTGTTAGTTTCTGGGGGCTGCCGTAATAGTACCACAAACTAGGTGGCTTTAAAAAAAGAAATTTATTCTTTCACAGCTGTGTAGAGAAGTCCAAAATCAAGGTGATGGCAGGGCTGGTTCCTTCTGAAGTTGTGAGGGGGTCAGTGCCAGGCTCCCTCCAGCTTACAGTGTTGCTGGCATCCTCAGCATTCCCTGGTTTGGGGACACGTCACCCTGATTGCTGCCTTCACCCTCACAGGGCTTGCTCCCCGAGTGCATGCATGCCTGGTTCAAGTGCCCCTTCTTTCAAAGGACAACAGGCGATGGATTAGGGCCCACTCTAATGACCTTGTCTTGACCTGTTCATCTGCAAATACCCTATTTCCAAATAAAGGCACATTCAAAGGTGCTAGGGTTAGGACGTCAACATTTTTGGGGGAAACACCATTCAAGCCATAATGGGTGGTGATTGATAATGACACTGAGTTTTCTTGCCTAGTAAATAGTCCATATTCTAAAGGCCTTGGTACTGCTGAAAAAAGAAGTAGTTTAGTGTTTCATGAGCTTTTGAATACCCTTACTATCCCCTAGACCTGTTTGCAAACAGGAGCTTTTAATACGTATTCCTACCAACTGGTTACCCTCTCAATGACCTTGAATCTATCCTGAATTAATCACCTACATCATGGCACTGTAGAAGCCACAGCAGGTCAGAGGGGACTTACTTCTTGTTGCCATGTTAAGACAGCATGTAGTGGCCACTAATGTGAATTCTACTCCAAACAACACGGTCCCTCCGTTACAGCAGAAAGGAAACTGAATAACCCTCAGATGCCACCTGGGAGTTATTTTTATTTTTACTAAACCACCTTTACCCCTTCGGAAGAATGCAGTGCAATTCCATGCAGTTCACATAATCTCATACTATCCCCACTACATCTCTGAGATGTATAGTTATTCCCCTTTTTATAGAGTGAGGAGACTAACAGGGGTTAAGTAATCTACCAAAGGGCATATTATCAATGAACAGAAGATTCAGGATCAGCCCAGAGCTGACAGACTCTAATGCTAATAATATAATCCATATGAACATTTCTTTAGAAGGCAAACAGTATCATAGGCTCCCAAGGAAAACAGCAGACCCACGCTTTGTTCAAGCCCATCCCTTGGACCCATTCCCCAGCAGCAGCTTCATAGAATTCTTTTGGCATTCTTCTCACATATTTATCTCCATATTTCTGGATTATATGTTTGTATTGCTTATTCTTGATTTATTAATTGTAGACATCATCTATTCAGACCTTAGCAGGACTATAAAGCTATGGTGTTCTTTCACATTCTTTCCTACTCCCGTCTTTCCCAAAGTAGGTACATCATTGGATTTTGTTAAGTGAATGCCAGTGTTTACCTTATTTTGAATGTAGAAGTATTGTTCATGGCTGAGCCCAGTGGTAAACAATAACATTTCCATTCTTGGGAAACTGTTCTTTTACCTAAAGTTTTTAATGGTCTTGTTTTGTGAGAGTTGATGTTGTTCATCCTTCGGTTTTCTACGGTCCTATCACAAATTCTTTCCAAATTCTGCATCCGTATTAGTAAACACCTTTAAATAGTATGTCCTGCAAGGTTGAATACATCAGGGACTTCATCAGCTCAGCTTCTTCTTGCAGCCAGGCCTGGGGGGCCTCTGTCCCCTTGCTGCATGGTGGTTATTGTCACATTTCATGTCATCTCTCTGCCACGGATCTCCCATTTTCCATATCCATGTTTTTTCTTGCTGGATTTCCTTTCTTGTTTTGGTAAGTTATGCCTTCTAATAGGCTGTACAACCCTAGAGTGATAGTTTAGCTAGGTATAGAAATCTAGATTAAAAAATAATTTTCCCTTGTGATTTTATCTCCAACACATGATGTTGCTTTTGAGCAATCTGTACTATTTGTGTTTTACACCTTACTGAGGGATACTTGATATGCAATAAACTGTACACATATACCATAAACAATTTGATACAGCTTGACAAATATATATACCCATGAAATTATCATCACAATCAAGATAACAAACATATCCATCACCGTCAAAAGTTCACTTCCCTTCTTTGCAAACCCTCTCTCTTACCTCTTTCCACCTGCAAACAACCACGAATCTGCTTTTTGTCAGTATGGATTGGTTTGCATTTATTAGAATTTTGTATACATGGGATTTTATAGTGTGTGCTCTTTCTTGTCTGGCTTCTTTCACTTAGCATAATGATTTTAAGAGTAATCCATATATAGCATGCATCCATAGGCCATTCCTTTTATGGGTGAGTATTCTGCTGTAGGGAGAGACAGTTGTTTATCCATAAGTAATGTCCTTCAGTCAACCAGCCACATCTCCAGTGCTGAGTCGTCACAGGGGGCTACTGGCAATCATCTTGATCAGTACGACAAATAGTAGTGCCATCATTGCAAAATGTTCTAATGAGCAATATTCTAACATTCTATAGTTTTAGCTCTCACATTTAGGACTGTGATGCATTTTGAATTAATTTTTGTATGTGACATGAAGTAAGTGTTAGTATTTTTTTGCATATTGTTACTCATTGTTCCAGTATCATTTTTTGAAAAGATTATTCTTTACCCATTAAATTGCCATGGCACCTTTGTCAAAAATCAATTGACCATATATGTGTGGTTTTACTTCTGGACTCTTTATTATTTTACATTGATCTATTGATCTATGTTTATGTCAATACCACGCAATCTTAATTACTGTATAAGTCCTAAAAACAGGTAGTGTAAATACTCCAACTTTGTTAATGTTTTTTCAAAGTTGTTTTGGCTGTTTTATGTACTTTGCATTTCCATATAAAGTTTGGAATAAGCTTGTCAATGTCTACAAAAAAAAAAGCCTTCTGCAGTTTTAATTGAGGCCTTATGGAATCTATAGATGAATTTTGGGAGAACCGATATCTTAACAACATTGAGTCATCAATCCTTCAACATGTTATATAATCTCCACTTATTTAAATCTTCTTTAGTTTCCTTTAGTCATGTTTTTCAGTTTTGAGTGCAAAGATCTCATACATCTTTTGTCATATTTATCCCAAACTATTTTAGTTTTGGATTCTTGCCATGGACATCCCGTCATGTGCAAATAAAGGCATTTTTATTTCTTCCTTTCTAATCTGATGTCTTTTTTTTTTTTCTTATCTTATTGCACTGGCTAGAACAGCAGTCCCCAACCTTTTTGGCACCAGGGACCAGTTTCGTGGGAGACAAACTTTCCACAGATGGGGGGTTGTGGGGGGATGCTTTCAGGATGATTCAAGTGCATTACATTTATTGTGCATTTTATTTCTATTATTACTACATTGTAATATATAAATGAAATAATTATACAACTCACCAGAATGTAGAATCAGTGGGAGCCCTGAGCTCATTTTCCTGCAACTGGATGGTCCCATCTGGGGGTGATGGGAGACAGTGACAGATCATCAGGCATTAGATTCTCATAAGGAGCACACAACCAAGATCCCTCGCGTGTGCAGTTCACAACAGTGTTCACGCGCCTATGAGAATCTAATGCCATCACTGATCTGACAGGAGGCAGAGCTCAGGTGGTGATGTGGGCATTGGGGAGCAGCTGTAAATACAGATGAAGCTTCGCTGGCTGCCCACCTCCTGCTGGGTGGCCTTGTTCCTAACAGGCCATGGACAGGGACAGGTACCAGTCAATGGCTGGGCAGGGAGCTGCGATTCCTGGGCTAGAACCTCCAGTGCAGTGTTGGAGTGAAGTGGTGAGACCTGGCATTCTTGTCTTATTCTTTATCTTAGGGAAAGCTTTCAGTCTTTCATGTTAAGAATGGCATTAGCTGGCTCACACCTGTAATCCCAGCACTTTGGGAGGCTGAGGCGGGCGGATCACGAGGTCAGGAGATCGAGACCATCCCGGCTAAAACGGTGAAACCCCGTCTCTACTAAAAATACAAAAAATTAGCCGGGTGTAGTGGCGGGCGCCTGTAGTCCCAGCTACTTGGGAGGCTGAGGCAGGAGAATGGCGTGAACCCGGGAGGCGGAGCTTGCAGTGAGCCGAGATCCCGCCACTGCACTCCAGCCTGGGCGACAGAGCGAGACTCCGTCTCAAAAAAAAAAAAAAAAATCTGATCTATGGTTTTTCTATGCAAACTATTTTGTTGTCTGTTTTTATTTTCTCTTTTTATTACTGGTTTTTGAAGTTGCGTGATGATGTGTATTGATATCTTTTTTGATTTCCTGTGCTGGGAATCTGATGTACTTTTTCCATCTTGAAAGTCATATCCTTCAATTCTGAGAAATTCCATGAATTGTTTCTTTAAAATTTTCTCTATTTTTCTCTGGTCTTTCTTTCTGGAATTCCTATTAGAGATCACATCTTTTGCATCATCTTTTGATTTTTATATTGTTTCTCTCCTTTCTCTCTCTTGCTCTTTTGGCTCTGTTTTCTTGGATAGTTTCTCACATTTATCTTTCACTTATTTCATTGATTTGTTTTTGTTCAACAATCATATTTTTACATTCCAGGACATATTTTGTCCTCTGAGTTTTTCTTATATCTTTTTGGTTTAAATACTGTGCTGGTTTCATTTCATGAATTATAATATCCTCTTTATGAGTTTTTATGTAAATGCCTCTACTTGTCCCGAATGGCTTTGGCTGCTTCTGAATCCCTTTACCTGTTAATTTTGGACTCAGCCTTTCATGTAGGGGCTTTCCTCTAATGTATGTTTATTCTTTTTATCTGTTAATATTTTTAAATGAGGCACAAAAAAGCTGATTGGAAGCTTTGGGAGGGGCTGTATGATACCTGGTAGGTTTACTGCAGCCTGAAATTTGAATGTTTCATTGCAGGAATATCCAGATGTCAGTTATGTGTAGTTTTGGGGATCTCCCCTCTTCTTGAATCCTTTTGTTTCTCTAGAGAAAAATTTTGCCATCACCTACAGGCATTCTTGCAACTGCACAGAAGGGACGGAGGGACCCCCAGTCCAGGACATAAGCTCTCATGTAACAGGTCTGTTCTCAGGGCAGCCCTTCTCCCCTCCCATCTGCTACGCTTACTGTCTCCTCCTCTACTGCCTCTCTCATTCCATTTTCTGTAAATGAATCTGCTGCGTTGGAGGAGGGGTCGCTGCCGGTGTGCTGGGGAGGGGAGGGGACTTCCAAGTCTGGCCTCTCTCCTGTGGACTTCAGACTCCTTTTAGTTCTATCATTTCAGACACTGGAATTTCAGGTTCCGGGTCCTTTCTGGTTCTGTAGTAAGATTAGCATGGTTCTTATCATATCACTCACTTTAGGCATTGCGTTGGCTTTCTTAGGTCTGCTTTCTCTTTATTTCTGATCTCCAAAAAATTTACTGCTGTTCATAAGCCAGTAAAGCCTCCTCTCCTTTTTGATACTATTTAATTTTCATGTGAGTGGGGTTACAAGAAAGAAAAAAATCAATAAAACACGTGTTGAAATCGCCAGGTTTAACCAGGAGTCCCCTGCACTGCAGTCATCATCCTAAATGGCTTTCCTTGGCGATGCTGCCCCCTTACCAGAAACCTAGAGAAGGTCTCAGGAGGTCTCGCTTCTCTGGCTTGTAGTCCATCGTAAGGTTTTGCATTGCTAACTGGAATTTTCTCCTTTATCAGGTCTTGGACATTCACTGTTTTCTCTCACCAAATCCTCTCTTTTTTTCCTCTGTCTCCCTGTGTCCTTGACCCTTATGGAAAACCAGAGCCAGCTTCCGTTCCTCAGCCTTTCTTCTCTAAACACCAAGTTCCACCATTGACAGAACACTGAGTCCTGCACAGTCACATGGACACGAGTAAGGAGAGTTCAGAGGCTGCAGTGGAGTTCCACACGAAGCACAGGAGGTGAAACCCCTTTTTCCTGGCTCCTCAGGAGACATGTGAAGACAACGCGATTAGAGGTCCTTCAGGCACGGATAGGGTTTGTATCTGCTGAATCCCAATCCATCTCACATCTCCATCTCTAAATGCGCACTTTCGGATATCTGTGAATACCCCCTGTGAAGTTCCTGGTTGGCAGCGGGCGGGGTGTGCAGCTCTGTGTCCAAGTATGAAATGCCCCAATGCCAGTTGCAATTGTTTTGATTTTGGTGTTAGAGTCTAATGTTAGCTGTGACCCCTTCCTTTCCCTTTTCATCTTGAAGAGACTGTCTTCATTTGAAATAGGGAAAGGAAAGGAGTGTAACTCTCATAGGAGTGACGGGAGCCACCCCACACTGAAGCTGCGGTAGAACCTTGAGGTGGAACCATTTCTGCAAAGGGTGTTCTTAGAAATAGAAACCACAGTGCTAAACACCACCACCACCTACAGCCCCAGCAATGAGGCCGATCACCAGGCAGACTCCGGCAGATGGGGAGAACACAGCCACAGAGGGATGCCAGTCCCTACAGACAGCAATGAGGCCAATCACCAGGCAGACTCCAGCAGACGGGGAGAACACAGCCACAGAGGGATGCCAGTCCCTACAGACAGCAATGAGGCCAATCACCAGGCAGACTCCGGCAGACGGGGAGAACACAGCCACAGAGGGATGCCAGTCCCTACAGACAGCAATGAGGCCAATCACCAGGCAGACTCCGGCAGACGGGGAGAACACAGCCACAGAGTGATGCCAGTCCCTACAGAGGACGAGATGATCTCAGTGCTATTACATAAGCGCTAACAGGGTGATTATTCCACCTAGTCCACGAACATGGAATTTTATCTAGTGGCCAGAGATGTCCAAAGAATTGCCACAGAAAGCTTTTCACAGAATTATTAAGTGATTCATGGGCCCTATTCAGAAATGTCCAGAAATAGAAAATGCACGTGGTATTTATAAAGGGGTTAATTCATTAATCTCTTCTCTATCACAAAAAAGTAGGCTACTGCTGGAACCAAAGGTCCCCAAAATAAAGTCAATGAAACTATTGTGACCCAAAACTTAGAGACGTTCTTTGAGCATATAAGCGAATTGGACTCAGGGACCCAAAAATCAAACAAATACTGAAAAAAAAAAAAAAAAAGCATTTTATGGCAGGCCATTGTATAAGTGTCAGAATTTGGATAAAGAATAATAAGGAAAATTTTTTTTTCTTCTCAAAATACACATACATAGCTATACTTAAATATAACTGTGCCCTTCTTCTCACTGGTACATAACATATACAAAAAAGACAAAATGGAATTATGGCTGGTATTGGGACTATTTAGATGATTCCTATATAATCTGGAAAATGTGTATGATGTAGCATTTATAGGGCACAAATACACCATTGTGTGATGTGTCTTCCACTATTACACCAAAAGCACAAAACACTACAACACAAAACAATTTGGTTTGGCTTTTAAAATAAAATGAATTTAATTAAGCAAACAGACAAAAAAATCCTTTTAAATATAAGGTTGGAAAAATCTTTCTAAAATTATTTTTATAGACACAATATCCTGCAGGGTTTTTAGTTTGAAGTAGAAGAAACCCAGTGGTTCAATGAGAAATGGATGTGATGAAACATTGGCTCTGGCAGGCTTAAGAGGTAGCTTGCCAACTCAGTGTTGAAAAAGTTGATGACAAAAGGTTCCTGAAATCAAATTTTCCTCTTTGGACTCCTTCTAGAATGCCTCCAAGTCTGATTTTCATAAAATGAATTCAGGAAGCCAAATCTGTCTTTATCCTATGTTATTATGTGAGAGAATTTTCCATGACCTCGAAGGGAGAACACACGTTTTGGTGAGTTTGCGAGTGAAAATCTTATTATAATTTATTTCCAAGAGAAAAAGACGAATGATCCAGAATGTGCTCACACTCACACGTTTGCCTGTGAAATGTGTCCTGCCAACACAGAAGCAGGGCGCTCAGCTGGACCAGGGGTCTCAGGCCACACTCAGTTCACTCGTGTGTGGAGCAAGTGTGTTCAGAGACAGCATCCCTAAAACATCTCTCGCCTGGATTTGCTCACTCAACAAGTAAATAGGACCTCTGTATCCTAAGTTCTAGTACACAGAAACATGACATTTTGAATCATCTGAGAAATGCAGTTTGCTTTTAATAGAATAAGGAAAAAATAAAAAACTTTTTTTCTACATTTAAAAACAGCATAGGCCGGGCACGATGACTGAAGCCTGTAATGGTAGCACTTTGGGAGACTGAGGCAGGCAGATTGCCTGAGCTCAGGAGTTAGAGACCAGCCTGGGCAACATGGTGAAACCCAGTCTCTACTAAAATACAAAAATTAGCCGGGCATGGTGGCAGGCGCCTGTAATCCCAGCTACTCAGGATGCTGAGGCACGAGAATTGCTTGAACCCGGGAGGAGGAGGTTGCAGTGAGCCAAGATTGTGCTACTGCACTCCAGCCTGGGCGACTAAGCAAAACTCTGTCTCAAAATAAAAAAACAAGGAGGGAAGGAAGAAAAGAAGGAAGGAAGGAAGGAAGGAAGGAAGGAAGGAAGGAAGGAAGGAAGGAAAGAAGGCAGGCAGGCAGGCAGGCAGGCAGGCAGTTCAACACCAACAAAAGTTACAAAAAGAAAAATTAGATAATTGTCCACACCATGCATGTAAACTCACACTGATTGAAGTGGCAACATTTGGTTTGAATATTTGAATATTTTTTCAGCTTTTCTTAAGGCATACTCATGTATCAGAATTACCTAGGATGTTTCCAAAAAATGTGGATTTCTGAGTCCCACCCAGTAGTAGATAACCATATTAAATACCCCTTAATCTGGGGGTGGGTGTATCTTAGAAATCTTTATTATAACAAACCCTCCAACTAACTGCTTTGCCTATGAAACTTTAGAACCACTGAGTTCAGATAGGTCCTTCACTTCTTTCCTAACATATTAACTAATGAAATGAAAAAAAAAATTCACACCTGAATTTCCCTAGTGTATAAATTTCTTCTTATGCAGTCATTGAGTCATTCCAAACTCTGGAAGTTGAGTTAATTATTTCAACATACCAAAAAAAAAAAAAAAAACTGGGCCAGGCATGGTGGCTCCCATCTGTAATCCCAGCACTTTGGGAGGCCAAGGTGGACAGATCACCTGAGGCCAGGAGTTTGAGATCAGCCTGGCCAACATGGCAAAAACCCAGCTGTACTAAAAAAAAAAAAAAAAAAATTAGCCAGGTGTGGCAGCAGGCACCTGTAATCCCAGCTACTCGGGAGGCTGAGACAGGAGAATCGCTTGAACCCAAGAGGTAGAGGTTGCAGTGAGCTGAAATTGCACCACTGCACTCCAGCCTGGGCAACAGAGTGAGAATCCATCTCAAAAAAAAAAAAAAAAAAAAAAAAAGATTTTTACAAAATTGACTTTAAGACCTCAGAGCTGTGTTATGACCACTTGAAATTTGGCTACTGCTATTGAGGAACTGAGTTTTTAATTAAAGTAAATGTAAATAACCACATGGGGCTAGTGGCAGGCGTATGAGGTAGTGCAGACATTGATCATTTCCATCATCACAGAAAGTCCCATCAACAGCCTTGTCTTAGACAATAAACTGCAGTGCCCAGTGCTGCCCAGCTGATTTTGAGAGTGCCTGGATATGTGTGTGAAGTCCCTCAGCTTCTTTGCAGGAAACATGCTTGAGTCAAACGAGGGATTACTCACTTACATTGTATTTTATTTACACGAGACAAGCTATTTTGTATACTGCATTGTGTTTACGGATGAGACAGGCATTGTAATCAGAAGGTTTATAGATAAAACGGAAATGTTCATATTCAATTGCATTTTTCAGTTCTAGAGTTCTCGTGTGTTTTCTTTCCAATTGTTTTTGCTTCTCTATTGATATTTCCTATTGATCCCACAATATTTTTACATTTTCACTTAAATCTTTCAACCTATTTATAATGGTCGTGTTAAAGTCCATCGTCTTTGTCATTTCCAGTCAGTTTCTTTTGACTGATTTTTCTCCTCACATTTTTCTCACATTTCCTTGCTTCTTTATATATCTGGCAAGTTTTTATTGCATGCTGGACATAGTGGATGCCAGCTTTTTGAATGTCTGGGTTTCGTTGTCCTCATTTGAAGAATATTGAAGTTAATGGTGGTAGGCAGTTAATTTACGTGCAGCTCAACTTGATCCTCTTAAGGCTTGATTTTAAGCTCAGTTAGTGAATGCCTGCAGTAGTCTTGACTCTAGGGCTAGAGTAACCTTATTCCTAAATCACGTCTGCTCCAGGATATTAACTGGAGTGCTTGGTGTGTTCAACGAGGTCTCTCCATACTGGTTTGTTGGTCCTCATTGTCTTCCAGCCCCATGCCAGTTCTGGAATTTCTACTCAGCTCCTCTCCCTGGTAGTTGGTCTTTGTCTGCTGTTTTGGAGTCTTGCCTTAGCAGGTAGAGCTGAGTATTCAAAGATGCCAGCAGGCCTCCCTGTGGATTTCTGAAACTTCTCCTCTGAGCCTTCAGCCTGTGCTCCCCTCCAGCTCCACTGCATCTCCTACACTTCTCGACCTAGCAGGATGGCCTTGTCCTGCCCGGGCTCCTCTGGGACCTGCTTTGGGAAGGCTCATGGCAGGACACTGGGCAATCCTGGGGCTCACCTCTGTTATGGCCCTTCTTTCAGGGAGCACAGGCCTGCACTCTTATTGTCAAGCATCTGAAAACACTCGTTTCACACATTTTGTCCAACTTTATAGATTTTTAACAGCAGAAGTTCTAGTTTGATACCAGTTTCATCATGACCAGAAGTAGAAATGCACATGGAAATTAACTGTCACAGCTAAAAGAACAGTGAGAATTTTCAAACAGTTTAAACAGTAGATCTCCCACTAAAAGAAATTTGCCTAAGAGGACACAGTCCAGATAAGTCAAATATACTTAAGTAGAGACGGTTTTCAGAATTTAACAGACCAGTAACTTGTTACATAATTTCATCAAGTTCTGGACACATGTCCACTGTCCATTTATAAATGAAATCAGAAGAAGGACCTCGTCCTTGCATGAATATGGTTCACGGGACTAGAAAGCAAGAACCATTGGTTCTTCTGGATCCAGGGCACCTGCTTGTATAACTTAGGCGACACTTTGCTCCCTGTGTGCCAAGGTACCCTGGGACCTCACAGCAAGCTCACAGGGGTGCCAACAACATTGATATTTTCAATGTTCAAGGGAAACACAGTGATAACTGTTGTCTGTGGACACCGCACAAACTAGTAGCCCGATATGGTTCATGGTTCCATATGAGACAGGGCTACAACCCTCATGGCAGCAGCCTTGTCTCTGTGAATCTGGGTTTTGACATTTGCTGCAGTATAAAAGCAAGTACCCCACAAAAATCAAAGCAGAAAATGAAACGAAGGTGGCAGCTGCAAAATCTCCTTCCAATGGCAGGCACACACATGCCATTAGTAAGAAATTATGATTATTAAAGAATTTAATTACAATCTCACTCTTCTGTCTCTCTTTTTGGAATTCTTTGGAAAAAAAAAAAAAGAGGGTTATTTACCATGCAGAGTTTCCCACGGTCTGGGTTGCCAATTGCATCCGTGGTATCCTTTATCATTGCCTCTTCCGTGACTTTTCTGGGAACTGACAGTTGGCCTCAGAGTCCTGATACTGTTCAGGTTTGATTCAAGGGCAAAAGGGAAGCAGCGTGACTTCCGGGAGTTGGTGCCATTGAGGGTTAATGCGTGAATCCATTCGTTAATTAGGAGATGCGAAATGCTTTTTCAAATTCTATCATTACTGTAATGTATTAGCTATAATACTTCTACAAAGGAAAAAATATGTCTTCTTGACTATTAGGTTACCCAGTGGTAGAGTTAGTACAGAAACCAGAATGCACATGCTACAATCTTTCCCTTTACTTACCAGTTTTCAAAATAACGAATCAGTTCCTTATATGCACTGTATTTTGTGCATTTAGAAACATTATCCTGAGAAGGGGTTCAGAGGCTTCACCACAGTGTCAAAGGGGCTGATAGTGTCCATGGAACTCCCATTTTAGACTATTCCAGGAGTCACAGAGGTCAATTTGACATCTTGGGCTTACAACAAAGATGTTCATTTTAAGCCATGACCTGATTTAAGTAAATCAAATTTGCCCTTGGGTTTTTGCCAATGTCAACCCTCCCAGAGTCCACTGCTGTTCAACCTCTTCTCTTCTAAGTCCCAGTGGATCTACAGAGTGATTCCAACTGATCGCTTCCTTTGTCTCCACAGCACTCAATCTTTGCATCTTGGTGGTTGGTGAAATTCCACCTTAGTTGTACTGTGATCTACACCGTATGTAGACCCTACAGTGGTAGCTGTGGTATAGGGATACTGATTTGAAGTCAGATGATCTAATTCAAACGTTGACTATGCTACTTACTAGCTTTGTAAACATGAAGCAAATTGCTTCACGTCTTTGAGCTGGTTTCTTCAAATGGAAAATGGCAAAAATGATATATAACTTGAAGGACTGTGAGAACTAAAGAAGGAAATATTCTTGAAAGATTGAGCCATTAGAGGTTCTCAGCAAATATTTGTTAAATCTGATTCTCAGTTCCCAAATGCAGGGGATTTGTTCATTAGATCTTTGGTACTGGCCATCGTAGTAAAAGAAAAAAAATTATTGCACTGTGAGATAGTTCCGATTTAGGGCTGTAAGCGATAACACATTCCCATCCATTTCAGCAAACTCTCTCTCTCCCTTCCTCTCTCTCCTTCCTTCTCCTTCCCTTCCCTTCTCTTGTTCTTCTTCTTCTCTCTCTCTGACTCTTCCTCTGTGTCTCTGTCTCTCTGTCTACCTCCGCCCCATATGTGTCTCTCTCCTAGAGGCGCAGGGCTGAGCTCTGACAGTCAGAGCTGTGTGATTCCGAAATGCTCCTGAGAGCAAGTTACACTCCACTCACGGCACAGCTGATCTTCCCTGGGCTCAACAAGGCTGCCCCAGTGAAGACATTCAATGCAGTTGGCTTCTCACCACCCTGGCTTGAAATGGCCACATCGGGCTCTAACCTCGAATCCAGTAGCTTCTGTACTGTGTCTCAGCCATCCCTACACCATCACGGTCCATCCCATTTGGTTAGTCTGAAAAACCAGTGATGTCCTCAGCACTCCCCAGGATTCTTTTTTGTGCCCCTCCCTGGTCAGAAAGCACGTCCATTTCTGAGAACTGCAACCTCCTCCAGCCATTCACCCACCAGGCCCTTCTCTTCTCTTCCAGATGGCTTGGCATCTTCTTCCGAGCAAGCGCAGCTCTCAGGCCGGGCCTGAGCCTGCAGCCTGTGTGCCCTCCATCATCAGGGCCCCCTCTCAGGACAGGCTACACCGAGGGTGGGACGGCGGACTTCCAGGGACACTTCCAAGTCGTGCCCATGCAGGTTTGGATATTACTGTTCCTACCGATTCCCTGTGTCTCCCTGAACCTGTTTCCTTATTTGTCACAAGGGCATGAGAAACACTCACCTCAGCCTTGTTAATAAGGATAAATAACAGATTTTTTCTTTTTTTTTTTTTTTATTTGAGTTGGAATCTCACCCTGTTGCCCAGGCTGGAGTACAACAGCGTGATCTCAGCTCACTGCAACCTCTGCTTCCTGGGTTCAAGCTATTCTCCTGCCTCAGCCTCCTGAGTAGCTGGGTTTACAGGCATGCGCCACCACACCCAGCTAATTTTTTGTATCTTTAGTAGAAATGGGGTTTCACCATGTTGGCCAGGCTGGTCTCAAACTCCTGACCTCGTGATCCACCTGCCTTGGCCTCCCAATTTGCTGGGATTACAGGTGTGAGCCACCGCGCCCAGCCAATAACAGATTTAAAGTGTCTCATGCCTGGTATGTGTCAGCAACCGTCAGAAACTTAACAGGCAGCAGCCCCCTTCCTCCTCCCTCCCCTTCCTCTGTCCAGGGAAAGGTTCTCCCTCGAGTTTGGTCTGAAGGCACTCCTCCTGGTCCCACGTTACCCTCAATAGTGCCCCACAGCTCCATGGTGAAAGCCCAGCTGTGGAGTCACACTCCTTGGGTCAAACCCAAGGCTGACACTTACTATGTGATTTACAATTAGGAAAAGGAGACAGGGCTCCTATGAAGATTAGATGAGGTTGTGAAGGTGCAGACAGCTGGGCTCCTGGTGCACACTGTGTTCTTATTAAACACTGTGGTCACAGTTGTCCATTCTCTGGGATCCTCAGTGCCTCCTGCCATTGGCCTCCTCTCTGCACTGCTGCAGCCCCCACAGCACTGTAGCTGCCCTCACTCCCCACTCTGAGCTGAGCTCCTTGCAGAGCTGTGTTCTCTGAGCCCCTCCTCCTTTCCGGTCCTGCCCCTCCACTCCCCCCGGAGTCATCCTGTGAGGGCTCACAAAGGCCTTTTACTTCTCCCCACACAATGAACATGCTGGGAACTTCCACCAACTGGACTTCCTATGGCCTTTGAGATAAGTGATAGTTCTTCCTCCTTGAAGTCTCTCCTCCCTTGGTATGTAACTCCAAGCAAGCTATACTCAATGTACACAAAACCATTTAGCATCTGTCATGGTTTCTCACTGTCTGTAGGATGACGTCTAAACTCTTTAGCATGGCATTCACATGGCTTACGATATGATTCCTGGAAAATAAGGTTCTGGTCTTATTTTCTCTGTTCCTTCATAGGCACCCTACTCCCCAGCAATATCAAAAAATCTTGCAATTTCCCAACCCCAACATCTTCTCCTACAACTCCATGCATTTTTGCTCATAGTACATTCCCTGCCTTCTCTGCCCTCAAGCAGAAAATTCCTACTCATCCTTTAAGACTCAATCCACTGCCAACCTTCTCAGAGAAGCAAGGCCTCCTGGAGCCATGCAGCAAGGGACTGGCAGAACAGGGTTCTACTAGGTTCTCCGAGCCGCACCTGACCTGCGTGGAGCCACCTCTGCCCACGGCCCTGGAGTGTGTCAGTGTGCACGGGTCCCACAAATCCTGGCACACATAACGGTAAAGACAATAGCAAGCGTGGGTGCCGTGCTCACTCTCAGACTGAGGCCAGGATGTTTCCGGATCATTCTCTGTCTTTGAGAGCATTTCCCTGACCCTATTCTAGTCCCCACACAGACAGTTCCAAGGCCTGAGAAATAAGCTGAGTTCTGAGCTCAGCCGCGATCCCGTTCATGGTAAGTGAAAGTGAAATGTGATCATTCCACAGAATTAGAGACTGGAAAGAGCTTCTGATTTTGGAAGAACAATTTTGTAAAATGGATTTGTATGCATAACATCCATTGCAGTTGGTGACGGTGGAGTCAGTGACTAATAAAAATGTCATTTCCTGTGATTTTTATAAATTACAGTAAATATGCCAGTAATCACCCACATTAGCTGCTAAAATGCAGGCAGCCAGCTGGAATAGAGGCCAGGGGACCCCACTGAGGCCTCAAGAGGGAGACCCCACAGGTACAAATTGACACCTAGGCAAACAGTAGTTAATACATGCTAGAATTTGGAGAAGGGTAAAGTGTTAAAATAAATGTATGTCAAGCAGACGAATTTGGACTTCTCCATGAGGATCTGTCACGTCAAACAGGAAATCGCTATAAATTACTTGTAATAGTAAAAATCTTGTCATTTATAACCTTTAAGGCGACGGGCTCATTTAACACATCAACTCACAGATCATAATCTAGGCGAGTCGGCCTGGGTATTTATTTCACTTTTAATGTGTAGAAGCTGGGGCAAGCCATGCATGAGCTGCGAAAGCCCTCACAGTGCCCTGTCGGCTCCTCAAGCCGTGGGACAGGCCAGAGAGATAACTGCCTGAGGCTTGGGGGATGAACACATCAAGATAGGAAAGCCCTTCCTGCTCCTGTAAAAATTAAGACATGCCTGAAAATGTCATGCCTTGGTTAGTCTCGTAATGAATAAATCCAAATAAATCCCACCATTATTCTGTTTATTTGTTTTACTTATAAGCTATTTGAAGTCATTGGAGCTGAAAGTGTGTTTCAACACGCCGAGCACATTTAGAGTATCTTGTAATCATCTTGCTAACCAGTGCACAGGCGAATGATGAGTGGAATTTTGTGTTTATTTCAGATACCTCAGTATACACTGCCCACAGTTAAGAAACCACGACCTGAGACATTGTTTTGAAGAGGTGAAAATGCCTCCACTCAAGTGGCCCAGGAGCGTGATCCAGGAAGACGAACACACAGAACCATCTTCTGCATGGTTTGAAAATTCAGTGGAAACTAGGTATTTATGAACGAGATGCTTACTGCAGTTTGCATGCACTGAGTAGACATTTGTGGATTAATTCATCTAGGGTTGGGGGAGAGGTTCCAAGAGGAGGGTAAGAACAAAGAACAGACACAGGCCCAGCTGACCATTCCCTTCAGTGAGAAAAAGACCCGCAGGCAGAGTTGAGCACGCGGCTCACATTCGCACATGCTTGGCATCATGAACCGTAAGGAAGAGCAAAGCTGGTTTCCAGAAAGACGTTAACTCACAGTCGTACTTCTCTCCACTTCCCTTGCTCCTCTCCCTGGCCTCTCTACATCTCCCTGCTCTCTCCTGCACCAGGGCTTGGTCAGTGCTTAACTCTGGCAGGTGCCACGAGTGCTGCCTGCTGCAGCTTGCTAGGATTCAGATGCCACTCATGAGGCATGGGCAAGTGTGAGCACACAGAAACACACACGCACACCTGCACAGGCACGTGCAGCCTCTGTGGGGCATGTTTAGAACTCCTGGGTCTGCTGGCGGGTACCTTTCCCCCTCGTGCTTTCCACGTGCAGCCAAGGCCTACTTCTATTGCAGTAAAAATTAGTCTCCGTGTCTGCCTGTCTGAACACAAGCTAACTTACAAGGAAACATGAAATTTAATTTTAAATTGAAGTTAAAAATTTTCCATTAGACTTAATTTAAAAATTTTTAGCTTCATTTTAAAATTTAATTAAATTAGATTTAACTGGTTCCTTGAAAATTGCTGATCTCTCTCTGAACGTAATCCTATTTTCAAAATTATGGTTGGTTTTCTTAGATTGATAGGGTCCTCAGTGTGGGGAGGGAGAGGTATTTGAAGGTGAATATGAGAGCATCTACAGGTAAAGAGTTTAGGCACAGTTTAGATCATGTAGAGAAAAATCTGTCATTTAGGGGGAGAAGCTGATTCTTGGAACCAAATTATTCAAATTAACCATATCCAATCTGCAGTGCCAAAACCAAAACCAAACCAACCAGCCTAAATTGTTCACTTTACTTTGGCAGGCACCAAATATGCATATGTGTATCAAATAAAGTGAACAATTGGAGTTCTTTCTCTAATTTAGATAATTTCTGGAAAAAAACCAGCAATCCACATCTTTTGCCTCAATTGCTAGATTATTACTGATGAGAGAATATTTATGTTTTTAACTTTTCTTTCTCCTTTGGGTGAGGTGGCTGGAATGGATAAATGTTTCAATTCTGCATTTCTAAACTCTGCATATCTATAGAGTCGTGTTGCATGTGTTACTCACATATGATTATTGACACATTTATTAATTTACAACAAAGTTAATTTCTATGGAACAATGGATAATTTTGAAAATATTCTGGATAAAATGTTACAAACTCATTATTCAATGAACTCAACAATGCATATTGTATTTCTTTGGTTCTAAGACACTCATTTTAAATATTTTTATCATCTCTGGAATCTAAATGCACCATTACCATCAGCGGCAACTTAGAATTACAATTGGCAGAGTTTTTTCTTTCATAGCAGCATGTAAAATAAAGATGCATCTTATAAATGGCATCTTAGGCTTGTTGAAATAGAAAAAGTGTGTGTGTGTAGAAGTAGCCTACAGATAATTTCTTGTCCCGATGGTCTCAGGGGTAAAAAAAATTGTTTGTGTCAAATATCAGCTATTCTTCCCTAATATTTCTTTATGTAGGGATTATAAATTATAACCCCAAACTTTTGCATAACTATTTTTATTCTAAAAACCTCTTGTCCTTATAATGAGTGGTTCATGCTAGTTTGCAGTGTGTATTCGACAGAGAATTTCTGTTGCTTTGTCCCCCGCTCCCATCAACTAAAAAAAATCTACAAATGAAAACTCTAGGAGACCAGTTTCCCATTCGGTACCAAAGCTAAAAATGAGTTCCCTCAACTCCTCAAAAAAAAAAAAAAAAAAAAATCAAAGTTAGTACCATTGAATGGGGTTTAGCTAATCTTATAAATTTTTAAATAAGCATGCCCACTTGCAACCAAATCCTGTGCTACATTTGTGCTTGTTCTCTGGGAAGTTTAGAAGGCAATTTCTGTAATGCAGAAAAGTCTGTACCACTGACCTCCCAGCCACGCCACAAGATATTTCTGGTCTGAATTCTTTCTATGTCTTTTCTCAGAGCCAGAAGTCTTGGAGAGCATTGAGAGGCAATTGTAAATATTAAGTCAGTTGGAGGTGATGTGGGAATAGTGGAGGGAAGAGAAACTATGTTTAGTGTTTTTTTTTTTTTTTTTTTGGTGGGGGGACGGAGTCTCCTCTGTCGCCCAGGCTGGAATGCAGTGGCGCGATCTCGGCTCACTGCAAGCTCCGCCTCCTGGGTTCATGCCATTCTCCTGCCTCAGCCTTCCGAGTAGCTGGGACTACAGGTGCCTGCCACCATGCCCAGCTAATTTTTTGTATTTTTAGTAGAGACAGGTTTCATTGTGTTAGCCAGGATGGTCTCGATCTCCTGACCTCGTGATCTGCCTACCTCGGCCTCCCAAAGTGCTGGGATTACAGACATGAGCCACGGTGCCCGGCCTAGATTTCTTTAAATTTTAAATGGTCGGGGTTCCAGAAAGGAAAATCATCCATATTAGTGCTACACTAGAACACCTATTCTTACCACAAGCATGCTGGCTGTGGAGCTTACAGAGACATGTGCACACATACATGCAGTGAATATCTAAATTTTGTTTCCTGACAGCTATGCCATTTAAGAGTTGAGGTTGATATTTCTTCACTTTCAGCCCTCTGCTCTCTACCTCATCTCATTCTTTCTGGGACCATCCTATATGCACGATTTAAAGGGAATTACCTATTACTTCAATTATTTGTTTCTTATCAACTGATGTTAAACTACAAGGATTTGCATTGAAAAGACACAAAGAAAGAGCAAGCCATGGCACGTCGCCAGATGAAAGAGTAATGTTCTGGTGAATTTAACCTAAATAATTTACTGCTATATAAAAGTGGAAAAGTGGAAGGTGAACCCTTTGACCAATAAATCTCTCCTGCCCATGAAACCCTTATCTGGTCTCCTCCAATGTATTCCACACGCGGAAGCCATCATCACGGGCTCGGGCTTGTGATTTGTAAACCTTGATCTTCTGCACTCCGTGTCCTAAATATGGATAATTAGCATCAGTTTATCACGCCTCTGCATATTTTCTCTTCTCTCCAAACATGCATGCTTCTGTTGGCTGCCATTCTGCTACAGAAGATTATGGAGACAGATTGCAGAGAGTGAATGTGCTAAACGAGATTAGGAAGGAATAGAAATAGCAACTTGGCCAATAAATTCCTCGTGAGAGCCTTATCATGCAATTACACGTTGACTTGCTTCACACTCTCCCAGCCTCTTAATCCAACACCCCCACCAGGAATGAAATTTCACTAATTTCTGAATTACTGCATATCCTCCTGACTTGTTACTGAGAGTGGTTGGAAGGAGAAACATTGCTGAAAACAACATGTAAAACTTTATCATAAAAAGCAAACTTTAACTGTCAAAATGGGCGGTATGAATTTGGAGTGTTTAAAGCATTTCAGCGTCGACGAATGGATGCACAAAGTCTTGGCATAGAGAGAGATTCAACTTTTCTTTGAGATTCACCAATTCTGCCATTGTGCCACCTTTGGGGATTCAGAACTGGCTGGGGGTGGGGGTGTTCCTTGCTCTTAAACGGGACTATCTGATGTGTTTAAACACAGGACAAAGCACCCACTGATTTTTCTGACTTCTCATTATTACTGATAACAGTCGCGATGCCTCTGGGTAATTCTGCGCAAATCACTTGACCTCTTTAAGTGTCACCTCCTCCTAGCTTAGGTGCACCCCTTCACCACCACAGCCCCTCCCGGCGCCAGCGTGCTGCAGCTTCTCATGCACATTAATGTACATAAATAGGAAAAGTCCTGCCTGTTCCGGATCTCCAAGAATGCTGTAATAGGGCATCTACAGGGGGAGCTCTCTTCTTGCTCTTCTCTGCCTGTTAATGTGATTCTCCCAGGGCTTTATAATAAGTTAGGTATTTAAAGAGGCCCATTAAACCTTTCGATCCACCAGGGGACTATTTATAGCACAGAGCAGCAGTCAGACATTGTGGTGCCCCTACAAAAGCAAGGTTCTACAGCAGGAGAAAGAAAACCTGGCAGGCCTGAACGTGTGTTTACTAGAAGGAATGGAAATCTAGCTCACATATTAAAACTTGTGCTTAATATTTGTGCTTGCAGAAAAGGAAAGGAGTCCAATTCATGGTGGCAAGAATTAATTAGCAAAAGAAATGCACAGCGATTGTAAAAAGAGTTTTACACGTAGATCATAATGTTGTCTTCACTTTCTTTCCCACAAGTAATGCCTATGCGGGTTCACTGATGAGAGGGCCCTATGAGCCATCCAGAGAAAAGCTGCCATATTTCCCTTCCAGAAGACCTGCTTGCAGGCCTTGAATTTTGAGAGGTAAAACTGGACAGCATTCACTTGATGAATAGGTATTGAGCATCTCCTCTGCACACACTGCCATGCACTGTTGCAGGACCATGGGGTGAAACAGCAGGAGGAAGGAGCCCTGCCCTGGAGGAGCTGGCCACGGGGAGAAAGCCGCCCCGATGTTGTTGCCCACCTGCTTGCCTTCTGCAAGCTGGTTGCTTTTCTACTGGCTGCCAAGAATCTCCTTTTTTGGAAAGAAAGCCAGCCTGGAACCCTCATTTACCTTGATTGGGAGGGAGGGACCCAAGGCCTGGGAGGCAGCCCTGGGAGGCACTGGTCTGAAGGGCTAGACCCTTGGTAAGAACCTCTGGAAGAACGCCTGTCTTCCGGAACCAGACAGGGAGGCGTGCAACGGGGTGGGGTGGGGGGTACTCCCAGCTGCAGGCACCTCTACTCCTAACTATCTGCAAGAGGACACACACACACACACACCCTGGGTGTCAGAGAAGTCCTCCCTTCCCTGTACCTCCTCCTTCCCAAGCCCCTGAAATCCAGAAGTGCCTGTTTCCAGGCGCCAGCCCTGCTGAGTGGATGTGGGGATGGAGGTCACTGGAGGCCCAGGGCTGGTTTGTTGTTTTTGTTTCCTGTTAGGAGTACTGTGAAGGCTTTGCAGGGCTAGTTTTGGGAAATCTTAGGTTTGGCTTCATCTGACTCCTCTACTGGAGCGAGGCGTGCAGCCAAGCCTGCTTAGACCTCCCCAGGCCACGGGCCCGCGGCAGCCCAGCTCAGCACCTGCAGGCGGGGGGACCGCGCGCTTGGCTCGAAGACCCCGCCCTGGGCAGGGGACAGAAAATATGAAATCAGATGGGGAGTTATGAATAACTGTCCTCCCCTCCCCTCTGCCGTGTTTCCTGAATCCGTACGCTATGCAGGAGGGGGGCGGGGGCGGGGGCGCGGGGAGGAGGAGGGGGCCGTTTGCCATTAATCTGGGAACAAGCGGCTAACCTCGGTGACTGGTATTTTCGCTTTTCTTTTCTCACTTTTCTCAGTGTGGGGAAAGCAGTCAAGCCCGCGCGGAGCGATTGTGAGGGGCTCTGCTGGAATTTGGCAGCGCGGAGGCTTGGAGAGAAGCCCCATGCTGGCTCCCATTCAGCCGGCCCGTTTTCCTCGAGCTTTGGAAGTTTCACTCAGCCGTGCACTCAATGGCTTCACAAAGCTGATTACAAGCTTCAGCGCATTCCTGAAGGAGCCAAAAGCGACGCAGGTGCAAACGAGCCGAGGGAGCCCCTTATCCCGGTGACAGAATGGGACAAGCTGGGAAAGGCTTAGACCACACAAGTCCAAGGCTCACCAGGCCGCAGAAAGCCTGCCTTGGGAACCGGGGGTCATTATCCGCCCTATTCAGCGGGGCCCGGGGACCCTGGGGGCCGAGCGAGGCCAGCCCGGGCGGGAGCACCGCCGCCAGCGCGCGCCGGCGACAGGGGGGAACCCCGCTGGGCGCTGCGGCCAGGCCGGGGCTCAGGGCGCTGGGCTGTGCGTTTGCACAAATCTGTGTTCCGGCGGGCCGGTGTCAACCCTAGTGGGGACACGGGAGAAAGAGCACGCCAGTAGGCCACGCGGCGCGTGGGCAGTGCGCAACTTCTGTCGGCGTCCAGGCTGTACGGCCACGTTTCAGCCGGTGCCCCCAGGCCATGGACACCCAGCTCCAGGGTCGCTCTGCGCCCTTTCTCCCCAGCCCACCTTTCCCATTGGTCCCCTCTCCTGTCCGAGTGGCAGCGCGGCCCCGCAGGGAGCGACCCCGGGAGGGACAGTGACCGCACGCGTGGAGTGGGGACGGCGGGGCACAGGACGGTAGTCTAAGAGTGTTCGCATGGCCGAGGACGCTTTCGCTGCGAGTTTGGGGTCGAGGGGCAGTTCCCTCCCGGAGTCATTAACTTCGTCTCCTCGTGCTCAGGGACCAGCAACTTGGTGCTGCGGGCGCCAGAAAGAAAAGGGTAGCGCCTCGCGGAGCGCGCGGGGGAAGAGGGACTGCGGCAGCGGGACGCGAGGGCGGGAGGGGCGCAGCAGCGGGGAGCCGGAGCGCAGCGGAGGGGAGCGCTGGGGGGCGGGGAGCGCTCGGGCAGCCACCCTGTCCCCGTCTGGAGCCCCGCGCTGCGTCTAGGAGGGCGCAACACGCAGTCCCCGCGGGGGCCAGAGCTCGGAGCCCCCTAGTGCATGCCCCCTCTCCTCGCGCCCTGCCGAGGCCTCGGCCCTGCCTGCCGTGCCCTGGGCCTGGTTGTGCCCGGGGGTCCCCGCGGGCAGGGCGCGGGGCAGGCAGGGCGCGCGCGCCGACGCTCTTTTGTCTGATAACTAATTTGAGTTAATGCGATCTTTATGTAAAGCTAACAGCGGATAATTGTCTATTTTCTCGCCAACAGTCTCCATCACAATCACTTATCTGGAAACCTGCGGTTGGATTAATCGTTATATTCCCGAGATGAGCGTCGCTGCAATCCGCAGCGAACGCGGGTAGGGACCTGGAGACGCCTCCCGGGCGCTGGCGGGGCCGGTGTGGGCCAGCTCCGCTACCGCCTGAGACGCGGTGTGCCCAGGTGTTGGTGCCCGCGGGAGAGGGCTGTGGGGCGCCTTCCCCAGGATTTGCTTGACTTGCTTTTCGCTCGAGTGGGTGGTGCGCGGGTGCGGGAGGCGGAGGGAGGAGGAGGGGTGAGGGGAGGAGGGCCTGTGGGGCTGCGGACCCGGAGCAGCCTGGGTGGAGCGCGGCCTCGGGAGGCCCTGGGTGCATCGCGGCGGGGCCTGGGGGGGCCCAGGCGCCGGAGGAGCCGTCGGTGCCGGAATGCAGCGTGTTTCACTTGGGAGAAACGTTGCCCTCGGTCCCTTGCCTCCCTCCTGTTGTCTCGGTTTTTCTGGCTTCGTCCTTCGTCCCACCCACCCGTTCCCACCTCAGGTCCCTCCCCCAGGATCCCCTCCTTAAGGATCCAGGTCTCTGAAAATTATTGGCAACAGTTACACGCCCCACGATTGAAATCCACAAGAGAAGAGTCCCAGTTCTGCAGGCCGCTCCAGGGCTAGGGGTAGAGATGGTGGCAGGTGGTGCGTCAACTCTCTAGGGAAGAGGAACTTGCATTACAAAGACTTGTCTTTCTGAGCTGAAGTCAAAACGGGGGCGTCAAGCGCGCTCCGTTTGGCGGCGGTGGAGGGGCCGCGCGCCCGCGCTGTCCCAGCCGGAGCTGCCCTGGCTGGTGATTGGAGGTTTAACGTCCGGAATTCAGGCGCTTCTGCAGCTCAGATTTGCCGGCCAAGGGGCCTCAGTTGCAACTTTTCAAAATGGTGTTTCTGGAAAATAACAAATTCAGACTCAACTGGTGACAGCTTTTGGCTATAGAGAATGAAACTGCTTCCCTTTGGCGGTGGAACTCTTAAACTTCGAAGAGTGAAAGAATACAATGAAATAAAATGCCATAAGATCACTGGATTTTTCAGAAAAAGGAAGACCCCAAATTACTCCCAAAATGAGGCTTTGTAAATTCTTGTTAAAAATCTTTAAATCTCGAATTTCCCCCTACAACATCTGATGAGTGCTTTAAGAGCAAACGAGCAAATCCCACCTCGAGAATCAACAAACCCAAGCTCTGGCCAAGGCTCTCCCCGCGTTTTCTTCTCGTGACCTGGGGAATGTCCCGCCCCATCGCTCACCTGGCTCTTGTCATCTCGCTCATCTTGAAGTGACCCGTGGACAATGCTGCTCCCTGCCGCAGCTCCGCCGGTCACTCAGGCAGAACGGGGTATGCAAATGGCCTGGAGAGGCCGAGGCCGAACACTGCGCCCATTGTCCCGGGCGCTCAAAGCGCCGAGCAGCTGCGCAGACTTTCTGGGCTCGGACCCTCGGCCGCCACGCTAATGTCATCATTGCAAAACATCAGATTTTGAGAACTATGCAGTCTGAATTCATTAGCAGCCTTCTCGGCGAAGGTTCTTTTCCCCGTGACAAGTTTCAAAGTCCAGACCCCCTCCAACGTTGGTAGGGGTAGGAAGAGGAGGAGGGGCCCAGGGAGGGGGGTCTTTCGCAAGTGGGGCCTCGGGGGATCCCTGCTCTCCTTCTGGTGCATTCCGCAACTTTAAAAGCCTTCCTTGGGGTTCTGAGCGCGGATGTCTGACTTGAATGACCTGAGATTTGGACATATTCCCGTTTTCTCCCAAGAGTTGCTTTAATGTTGCGAGTTTAAATTCACTGAAAGAGGCCCAGATACCAAGTCGAGTGAATTTCATAGACATCATCTTCTGTTTTAATGATCGCGGCAGTGATCGTTTCTGAAGTCATACCCTTTAGGGTGAACTCACAACAATGCATGTCAGAGAGGCTGCGCGCCCTAAAGCAAAACAGTTAAAACATCAGGCCACGCTCCTCAAACTGCAGGATTGCAAGCAGCTCACAAACTTCCAGTCCCCACCCCAAGGTGAGGAGAGTCTCAGTGACTTGAGGACCTGCTTGCACTCCCGCTTTCCACGCCCGGTCCCCTACCCGCACCTGCCCAAGTGGTCTCGTTCCTCTAGAATCTGAATGGTGGGGAGGGGTGCTCCTGATGCCCCGGGTGCAGGGCGGGCACCAGCGAGCGAGACCCAAGGGCGCTAGAACCCAGGAGCGCAAACCACCGTTAGGGCCTGAGGGACGCAGAGGCGGGTGGAGTAGTGTTTCTCAGATTCGTGGGAGGCCGCAGGCGCCAGCAGAGGCAATTTTCCTCCCCTGAGCAATGCTAGTTCTCCTCAGGCCCAGGATCTCCACTAACGTGTCCTTCCACCTCCTCACAGGACTCCAAGCTGCTGTCCCCTCTCTGCCGCATCTGAGGCTGGGAAAACTTCCTAGGAGAAGGCAAGAGAAAGCCACCAGACCAGAGCCGAGGACTAAACTTTAAGGTCGAAGACGGCAGAGGGGCAGGTTCTCCCCTGCACACCCCAAGGCCTCTCCTGCACCCGCGAGGCCTTCCTTGAGCGCCCAGGCCCCCGAAATGCCTGCCCTCCTTCTGACAAAAGGAGGGGGTAGGATGTGAAGGGGTAGTGCAACCAACAATGTTTTTGTAAACACAACAACAGGGAAATACATGGAGGAAATCTATTTATTGGGTGTGTCATTTTTGGTGGGGGGCGGGATTGAAAGTGGCGCCATCTAGACCCAGGAAAAAGCTACGGGGTGGGCGGGGTAAGCGGGGGACTCTTGGTAAATGTGGATAATTTTGAACTGGGACACCATTTTGTTTCCTTCCTAGAGCATTGTATGATGTGGCCTGAAGGCTCTGGAAAGTCACAGATCACACCCAGCAGGAGGTTCTTCATGTGTGCCAGCCCCTGGCTGGGCCTGGGCAGCCTTGCCCCCATCCTCTGGCCCCAGCTCCTGCCACCCCACCTGCAGACAAGGCTGCCAAAGGCTAGGGACAGGGCTCCAAGCTAGAGGCCGGCTTTTTGGAGATGTGGCTGTGGGAGGGGAATCCCAGGAAGTTGCATAGAGAGGGAGTTTTTGCCAGCCTGGGTCACTGATGGCCAGTCCGGGTCACTGATGTCTCCCCAGGGGCAAGGGGACAGTGCCTGGCTAATTGTGGGTTTCAAAATCTGTCTGTTGAGGGGATGCAGAGGTCATCATTGGGGGGTGAAGCTGATGGTCCACAGAAGCTCTGGGCACAGGTTGGACCTCTTTCCTGCACAAAGAACCCTCCAGGGTGCCCAGTGGTTCTGGCCAGCGCCGGAGCCAGTGACGGTTGGCTTGTTCTGGCCTTCCTCCCCTTCTCACACATGCATTCTCTTGCACACGTGTCACACACATTCCTACACACTCACACAAATTCTCACACAAATTCCCAGAATCAATCTCCCACATACACATCCAAGTCACACACTCATTCTTACATGCGATTCACAGATTCACACGATTCACAGATGCAACAGACTCACAGGCATTCACTCTTACATATGACACAGTTGCACACTTGCACACACACACACACACACACACGCACTGCAATCCCCTTGCATCTCCACAGTGTCGAAGGCTGGCTGAACACCAAGGTGGCTCTTGGTGGCAGGACTTCTCATGGGAGGGAAAGTCACATAGCTGGAAGGTTACTAGCTTAGGGACATAATTTCCTTATTGACTATAATCTCCTTATAGAAATTCAACAACTATAGCAGAAAATGGAGAATGAGGACATTTTATTTCTCAAAGTCAACAGTTCCTTTTCTCCTGCACCTTCGGAGCAGGCTCCTGCCTGAGGCTGCTGAGGTGCTCTGGGTTCTCGCTGTTTGTTTTCAGCATCCAGGTTCAGGCTTTTCTCAGTGCATTTTCCTCGGCTGCCCTTGGACTTGTGTTGTCCGGGGTGGTGGCCACTGGCCCCCAGTGGCTACTGAGCAGGGAGAGCAGGGCCCCTCTGTGGTGAGGCGTGCTGCTCAGTGTAAAACACACACGAGATTTTCCAGATGCAGTACTCAAAAGCATGTGAAACTCCTCAGTCATCACTTAAAATATTGATCACAGGTTGAAATGATTATATTTTAGATACCTTAGGTTAAGTAAAATATATTATTGAAATTTCACCTTCTTTTTGCTTTCTAAAAATGTAGCTCTTAGGAACTTTGCAATTACCTACATGGCTATTTGTGTGTTATCTTCCTGCTGGGCAGTGTGAGACCTTCTCACAGATCCTTCAGAAATGTCAAAGGAAAAGCAAAAATGGTGGAGAAGGCTGAGCACGTGGCCTCGCGGGAGGCCGGCTCAGAGCTGTTCTGAAGTTGCTTTTGTAACACAATCTATTCTCAAAGCTCCTTTTCTTTCAATGGGGCAGGTTGGGGGTGGGGGGGGGGGGGATATTACACCTTGTATTTTACTTCTCGATTCATTTTCTTTCCATTTTAACTTTAATTCCGTCTAATTACTGTATTGTGAGCTCAGTCAGCAATCTTGCATGAACTCTGCAGTAACTTCTGAAGACTCTTGCTCCAAGTGTTTGATAATGAGGAGATGTGCAGGACTAAGGCGACTGTGTGATGTCTGCACAGTTCGAAAGCCCGCTTTCCTGTTACTTTCAAATCTCGGGTCAGCATTTTGGAACTTTTCTGCTTTAATTTTTCCACACACACCTCTCACTGCGACCACCTACCATCACCACAACCCAAAACAAAGCAAACAAACAGAAAGCTTGAACAAGAATTTACATCTGGGAAAACGCTTCTACTCATCAAGAGTGGAATTCCTTTTTATTCCTATAATTGACTCACAGCTTCAAAAATCTGTGAAGTCATACTTTGGTCACGGAAGTTGCAAGAAACCATATTTGCAAACGTTTTATTTTAAAGAAGGTATTTAAAAATATTTCACATATTAGCCACAGATTTCTAGAAGTGAAGTTATAAAAATTAGAAATTATATTTTGCCTTTTGATGATAGCAAGTGAAAAGAGATTGCTCCAAGCATGTTTTCAATAAATTCAGTATAACTGCAACACAAAAATTCTGCATGCAGGCTTCATACACACACGTTATAATTTTATGCATTTATCTTGAGAGTTGTATAATTAATTTTAAAAATGCAACAGAAATGTGAAGTTAAGTCTACTTTGCCAATAATGGAAATGTCTCATAGATAATTTTGAATACAATTAAAATTTTGTTTTTATCATAAAAGGAACTGTCCTGTTGCTCATTATTAGTATGTTGTCCACTTACTGTTCTATTTTTAGCTAAATTAAATTTAACTAGAGGAAAAAGAAAATGTTGTGCAATACCAAGGATGAGCAAAGTTTTGTGGGTAAACTAATTGAGATGGTTAATTTTGGTATTAACTCTTTGGGCAATATCATTCTTGTTAAAATTTAAGTAAGGAACTAGTAGAAATACTTTATTCCTTAATCAAACTACCTGTTTTTGAAAAAAATTGCCAAAGAAGAAACTAAAAAATTAGCACATATCCTGTTAAAGAGCCATCAACATCCCATTGGAAACTCTAGCACTCTGACTTTGGATGTGTACGATGGTCTGTTCATTTAGTATATGTATTACACAGCCTCATTTGCATCATCACCTTATAAAGCCAGAGAGACTCTCATTTGCTTTCTGTTTTTCTTCTTTCCCCTAAGGACTACAATGGTTATATACTTTCAAATATTCACAGACGAGATATTCTGGGTAAATAATCTAAGATTAACTAAATTAGGTCAATGTTCATACAGGGCCAGTGTGATATATCCCTTGTGCTGAAATTATCTGGCGTCAGCTACATTGATTGAAAAAGCACTACAGACCCAAAAGGAAAAAAAAAAAAAACACAACTCTTATTACAAGATGTCTCAAAAGCAGATAAGAAAGCAACGAAGTCTTCTGGTAAATGAGGGACCTTATCTAGATTTTAATATGGCAGTAGGCAAATTACAAATGTTTCTGCAAGTTAGACAACTTGCACGGGAAAACAGACGTTCCTAAGGTTCCCATAATTCTAAGCCAGTTATAGAGTTTGCACATCGTCTGTGCTGGTGGGTTCTTTGTGCTTTTCCTCAAGATACATTCCATATAAGGGCAGAAAAACCATCAAGATTCAGGTCACACTGGCTGGGCTGTTTGACTCACTCTAGGATGGAGATAGCTCAAGAGAGGGACGCCCGAATGTCATTGTCGGAGGGCTACTTTCTGCTTATCTACATATTGTTTACATCTACTTCACACATTGTTTCTCTCTTTCCGAAAACGGCTATTAATATAACAAAGTCCTTATAACAAAACTAAAATGTCAAGGGTTGGAAAAGAAGGTCCTTGAGGCTTTCATACAGAGACCACATTTGCTGAAGTCAGTAGCATAACTCAGCTTGTTTTCACTGGGTAGCCTCTTTAATAATTTTGCAGGTGAGAAAATGATTTCTTTGATCATTGTGATTATCATCCGTTTATCAGTCAAAGTTCACTGAATTGTTGCTCCTGTCACCATTATAATCTATTATCACAAAAGGTATTTAACAAGTTGATAATTTGATAGAATGAACAGAATGGCTGTCAGAACATATATTTCAGAAACAGACACAGACTCATCTAGCAGGCTGCTGCCCACAGAGGATGCCATTCCATTCGAAAATTACTATCTTTAGAGCATATTTCTGAGTGGCAATAATGACAGTAACCTTCATCTTCATCTTCAGGACAAAATTAAATTTCTAATGCATGCCTGGGCATGCAAAAAACTAACAAAATAAAATGAAGAAGGAAGCCCAACAGCCTAAAACTGGAATTTCTGATTGCATTCTAATACAAAAGTGAGTACTTTGAGGGAGAGTATCATAGTTGTTCAAATACTGCAGTGAGCCGCAGCTGCAGGTGGGTGTGGACTCTGAGAAGCAGCTGCTGAAACAAGAATTATATAAAGCAAAATAAGTCAGAGGCCGAGATCTAGAATGAGGAATTAAAAAAAAAAAGGAAAACATTAAGCTTCATGAAAAACAAGAGAGTTGGAGCTTTGCCTCACCCGTCTCCTGTTGAGGTCAGGGGTGAGCTGATGCCCATGGGGTCAGTGTTCTCCTTCATGTCTTTAGCTTACCCAGCATTTCCGTCCTGTAGCCAGCGCAGCCTTGCTATAGTGTTTGTCTGGGGCAGGTGAGATGGGGTCACCTGCATCCGTGCAAAGAGGGGTCAGCGAGAATTGAACGTGGCCCATGACCTTTTGCCCTCCTTGACTCTTAGAAGCTTCCAGATGCACCACCATGATTTGACCTCACGGTCTTGAGCATGAACCCCTATGTGGAGTTGCGGAGAAGCCTTCAGAAGACCCACCACAGGTGTCCTTTCAGTTAGCAGGCTCACTGCCCACTGCACTCCACTGGTTTGACCTTCCACGCACCGTCTCACTGCTCTTACCAGCCCACCACCCTAGCCCATCACCCTAGCCCACCACCTTAGCCCACCACATTGGCCCACCACCCTAGCCCACCACCCTAGCCAGCACCCTAGCCTACCTCATGCACCAAACCCAGGACCATCCCAGAAGCAGACACAGCACACTGAGCCTTCCTCCAAGCCCTCCAGTGCTTCTACTGAAGCGTATTTCTCCCCAGAAGAAAACTAAGTCCATTCCTTCTTTCCCGCTGTGCATTTTGTGAGGACGGACTGGATGGAGGCCACAGAGCATGAGTCAGATGCCCAGCACACCCGGCTCCTCTCTGATCTGAGACGCCCATCACACCCGGTTCCTCTCTGATCGGAGCAAATCTAAGGTTTGTGGCTTTTAAAAATGTCTATTTCACGTGTTTCTCTGTTAAAGAGGAAAGGTGGAGGCAAGGGTGGGAAGGGCCCTCAAAGCTCCTTTCATGGGAGGATCTTTCTGAAGATCTGTGGCATGGTCTTTTATTTCTAGTCCAAAAAAAATTAACTGACACCTTCACTGGAGATTATTCATAAGCAAACACGGTAATTTATATTCTTTGATAAGACAGGAAAAGATGATAGGGTAAGAATTCAATGCAGTAGATGTTTGTCAGGTATCTACCATATTTATGGTGCTTTGCAAAGTGCAGGATACGGAAGTAAAGACGTTGGTCATGAATCATGCTCTCATGAAATTTACAACCTTGTAGCGAAGAGACAGTAAACACTTGTTCAGCAGGACAACTGCAATTACAGGTAATTCAGTGGGGCACTTAGAAAGGAGTGGCACTCTCCTCCTGGGAGAGGAGAGAACGCTTCCCAGGATCTCAGTCTTGAGGAAAGAGGAGAGGAAGGGAAAGACTTTCTTGCAGGGGAACAGCATTTACAGAGGCACGGGGCAGGACATAGCAAATCGTCTTCGGGAAAGTGGGCCCCATACCAAGGGGCAGAGCTACAGGAATAGACGCTTTGATGATTCTGCAGAGGAAAGGATGGTTCAGAGCTGGGTAGTCAGAGAAAGTTCCCAGAGGAAGATGGAATCTGCTCAGGGCCTCCAAGCAAAGCCCCTGCCTGGAGGGCCTGATTGGAAGGTAGCAGCAGTCCCTCGGCAGAGGAAGTGAGAGGCTGCACTGGCTTCTTTCCTGAATGCTTGCAGTGTGGGCATGCCTCAGCTTGGCTGAAGCCAAAGACGCTGTTGAGTATGTGAGCAGAGGGTAACCATGTTGGAGGAGAAGCATCTGGCTGTGCAATGGAGGGCCTTGGACGGCAGGTGCATGAATGCTGACCTGATTCTCTGGGCAGTGAGGACCTCTGGAGTGATTCTGAGCAGTGGAATACTGCTCAGTGCAGTACTCCTGCACTGAGTGACCTGCAGCATCTTGGTGTATGTATCAGTGTAAGGTCCAAGTGGGGACAGCTCACTATGACAGCCGCTGTGAACCTAGTCTTCAAGCACCTCTTGGTCCATGAGAATCAGCCCTTGAGAAAAGTCTTAGCAACTGTACTCATTCAGGGAGAGAGAGAGATCCATGCCTGCACTGGAGCAGGTGGGGAGTGGCCACACTCAGGATTCTTGGAACAGGTGAGTGGCCCCTGCGTGGTACACATGGCACCTGGGCCTGCCTGTATGACCTTCCACAATGTCTCCACTATCTGGCCCCTTGTTATCCCTTTGGTTGAATTTTCCATTTACACTTCCCTCTGCTCAACCCACATTAGCCACTTGACCGCTTCCTGCCCCACTACGGGCTCTGGCACCGCTGCTTCCGTTTCCCCAGAGGACTCTGCCCCTCACCTCCTCGCCTCCTACCATCGGCCCTTTGCTCAGAGGCCACCTTGTCAGTGAGGCCCTCCTGACCGCCTGTTTAAATTGGCCCCAACCTCTTTTCGTCTTCTTTCATCTCCGTAGCACTTACCCCAGGACCAAGCCAAATCCCTCCTTGGCTTTCTTTGTGTGGTCTCCGCACCCAGAACCACACTTCACCCGGGAGGGATTCCTGCCTGTGCAGTGCATGCTGCATCCTCGGCCTCTGTGCCTGGAACAAGCTGGGTGTGTCCTGGATATTTTCGAAGGAAGGAGGAATGAACATGTGGCTGAGGGTGAAACATGATGAAGGCCATGAGGAGGAGGCCAGCTTTGGAGACGGAGGGAGCCATGTCCTTGGATGCCGGGAGTGAATGGCCTGGGGAAACCCTGCGTGTTTGGGCAGCAGCCTCTGGCCTCCTGGAAGTAGACGGTCATGATTTTCGGGTGAAACAAGGAGGCAAGGGCGTGATTTCCTCAAGCCATGCAGCGGGAAGTGGAGGGCTGATGAGTGCCATGAGTCAGGGGTGAGTTTTGCCAGGTGAGTCCTGGGGCAGCTGGCACTGTGGGATCCTGCCAAGTGAGTGGAAGGGCTGGCCATGGGTGAGAGACGGAAAAGGCGGGTGTAGGACAGCCCAAGTGCAACGCCATTCACTGAGGCACTTTCTGAAGCACAGATGGGGCCCACATGCACAGAAGAAGGTTTGCTACATTGGGTAAGAATCATTTTCCGAGCTTTTTTGATGAAAAAATTGAATTGCCAAAATTAATATCTTGATCAAATATAAAATCCTTTTCCCATTATGATGGGTAATAAAATATACATCTATACTTAATGTTTAAGTGTTTATAGATGACATTTTTGGTTGATTTTTCAAAGAATGAAAGAAATTAAAACTTAATAAATGAGAGCATTTCAAAACACATCTCAGTACATTCTGTATTCTGGTCTGGAAAAATATTTTCACTTTAAACCTTGTGAACACAAGCTTTGAAATACTGATGACTTGGCAGTTAGCTCACACACCTTGAGAAAATTCTATTACATCCCATTTGTACAAGCAGAAACGACGTATCTTCTTCCAGAGGATGTTTTCTCCTCTTTGGATTTAATTGGTGGAAGAACAGAAGGCAGAGCAGGGCTGGTTCATGTGCCCGCCTGGAGAGAGGTGGAGACACTCCGCAGAGCTTCTCTGTGTGGCATCTCAGTCTCAGGCCCTGCAGGCAGCACGCAGCCCGGCTACGGACACACCAGCTGCACGGCGGCCTGGGCCAGCGTTCGGAGCCCATCCTCGGAGCCCATCCTTAGCCCCGGCCCCGCACCAGGATGCATGCTGCGTCTCCCACAGGATCACCTCACCCCGCCTTCAACACAACCTCCCAGGAACTTTGTTTGCATCCTTGTGACCACTTTAATAATGAGGACACTGCAGGAATCTCGGCTGCAGCAGGGCCCCGAGTTCAGGCTCAGCCATGCTGCTGGGTCGCGTCCCAGACATTTGGAGGACAAACACAAGACAGAAAGAGACATGCTTGCCATCCATCAATGCTGATTATTAACAAAACAACACAATAGTGACACCTTCCTATTTTTTTTTAAACAAGATGCACCTCTTTTCCCCAAATAAGTAGAGATGATCTGAAAAAAAAGCATGATGCTGGTGAGCCATCCATGTTCACACATTTAAAAAACCCAGTCAATGTTATTGTCCTTGTTTCCTCTCCAGCTCACTCCTGGAGGGAAGGGCCCCAGGAAGGCGATGCGGGCAGTGGGCTGGCGTGGATGAGGCATGGTCTCTGTGTGCCCAGCACCCGGCATACGCCCGTCGGCACAGCCCAAACACTAGCACCTCCTTTCATACCGAAAGGTACCATGCCTGGCTCAGATGATCAAATACGCGGACAACCCAGTGGAGGGGAAGACGATGAAGGAACATGGGTCAGCAATCCTGAACGTCCTGTGCTCACAGCGAGGACACAGGGGAAACCGAGGCCTGCTATGCGGGGAGAGCTGTAGAGGGACGGAGGGTGGGCTTGGGGAACCCTGAATGGAGCCCTGCAGTGGGCGGAATTGTGGCCCCCCAGGAGACAGGTTGAAGTGTTAAGCCCCAGCACCTCAGAATGTACCCAGCACAGCGCCCTGGGATCACCTTCCATTCTCCTGTCCCTGTCCCTCCTGTAAGGAAGGAAGGCTGTCTCCATTGGACTTGGACCATCAGCTCTTAGGACAGTGCCTCGCACCCGCTGGACGTGGTTGTCCAGGAAGGAAAGAAGGGAGGGAGGAACAGAGGCCGGTAAGGAGCCAAGGATGAAGAGGGAGAGGAAGAAAGGAAGAGAAGGGACTACACATTAGAAACGGAGTCACTACAGACGTCAACACTGGGCAAGACGCGTGCCCGTCTCATAGACTTTGCAGCTGTCCACAGGCTACTTCAGCCGGAGTAGAGCCAGCCCTGGTCCGCTACAACTTTGTCCTTAGAGGCGGGGAGAGACACAGTGGGAAGAAAGGGACACGGGCGTGAAGATGGAGGCAGAGTGGGGAGTGATGCAGCTGGAAGGCCGGGAACACCAGGAATTGCTGGCAAGTTCCGGTGGCTGGAAAGGGACAGGAAGGACCCTCTCTAGAGATTTCAGAGACAGCACGGCCCTGCAAACAGCTTGATTTCTGACTTCCAGCTTCCAGGACTGTGATGAAACTGATTTCTGACATTTAAGCTCCCCTGTGTGGGACACTCTGTCACCGCAGCCCTGGGGGACAGACAGACAAGCCTTGCCGAGCAAACACGGCCCCCGCACACCTGAATGCCTGAGCAGAACAGTGTGGGCATGTGGTTTTCACGCCCTGCACAGATTCACATGGACGCACCCCAGCTTCCAGTTCTTGGGCCTGCACCAAAGAGAGATGTCCCCCGGGCGCTGGACCAGCCCAGGGGCTCACCGGGACCAGGTGGCCCACTTAAAACAAGATACCTAAGGGGACTTGGAGGTATCCACCATGGGGCAGTGTGCCGGGAAGCTAGAATGTCCAGGGCAGTGGGGCAGTACCCTGGGGTCTTCTAGCCCCAGGCCCACAGGGATGGAGGAGACTGCAGCCCTGCCTGGGAGAAGGGAGATGTGTCTCAGGGCCACAGCTGGAGGGGAGCAGCAACCTTCAGCTGAGGAAGCCACCTGCCCAAGGCCCAGGGAGGAGCAGGAGTGGACACCGCACCGCCACCTCTGTCTCTCTCCTGCTTCCAGTCCTGCAGGGGGTCCTGGCACCAAACCCAGATGGAGCTCCAGGGCAGAGGGTCGGGACAGCCCAGGGGAGAACGCTGCCTAGGGGTGAAAATCTGCAGGCTCCAGGGTCTCCCCTTCCTTACCCGGAAGCGAGAGGTTGAGCCTGCAACCGAGGTCCCTGCAGCAGTAACCTTGAACCTCCACGCCAAGTGCCGCGGTGGAAGCCCTGGGGGATGGGGAGACATAAACAGAAGTAGTGCAGCCAGCTCCGCCTTCGAGGAGGAGGGGGTGCCACACAAGCAGGCTTGTGAGCCTCGTGTCGGGGGCGTTGGGGTAAGGTGCTGAGGCCTGGGATTCCGTGCAGTGCTTATCCTGGGTCCCGCCGCACCGGAACAGGACGATGGCTGAGCCACATCCCACTCTGTGTGTGGTAGAGGAGAGAGGACGGGGAAACTCTTCGTTTATAAAGAAATACCCAATATGTCCCACTCTACTTAATTTGAATTTTCAGGTTGATGTCTCTGTTAGCATTTTCTTTCCACGTGCACACTGAGCCGGCGGTCAGTCCTCGGTCCCACCCCTCCCACTCTGTCATCTCTGCTGTGCTGGGCCCAGGGCCTTCAGGGTGACTTGGGCTGGGTGTGGAACCTGCTCTCACGGCTCCTTCCTGAGGTCGTGGATGCTGCATCAGGGGTGCACAAGGGAGGCCTGAGCACGTGACAGTCGGCCGCAGTGATTTCCCATCTGATTGCATCTGTGCACGGCAGCGCAATTGCCAATCAGTCCTGGAGGAGATTAGACTCAGAGCGGCCTTTTCGTGGCTGGGTCCCACCTTGGGATGATTCTAAAAGGAGGCGGCTCTGAGGACGGCCACTTAGGTCTTGGAGGCCCTGCCACTCAGGGAGCCTGCAAGCTTCTCGGGCTGCAGAGGGGCTGGCGTGTTTTCCAGCCCCCGGATCCCCGCTGGGTCTGCCAAGCCCCAATCAAGGGGCTGTCGCCGAGGCTGCCCCTTCAAGAGATTGCTGGAGGTGGGTGGGGAGGGGATGGACCATCTCGGGACCCCTAATGGGCTCAGTAGCCTGGGGCTTTCACCACAAACCCCAGGCACGGGGAGCATGGCAGGCGACCCCTGAGTGTGCTGTGGCCTCCGTCACAGGCAGGTTGGGAGGTTGTCACCAACAGTGCCAGCCACAGCAGCCCAGCCCTGTGACGGCTCAGACATGTGGCCACCAGTCGGATCAGGGAACCTGCAGAAGGCAAGAGGCGTGTCTCGGTTCCACTTACAGTCCTCTGAGAACTCTCAGAGAGAAATCACAGATTCTGAATTTGAATATGAAGAATAATAAATGAGAAATGAAATCACAACTCATATATCGAATGCACCACTGCGCAGCAGACAGGACTTTAAATAGATTCACGTAGACACATTTCAAAACGGGCAATTTGGATATTAAAACTCAAATGGCATCAGTGACTTTAGGGAGCATGTGCCAGTGACACGCACACAGCTGAGACACACAGTGACACGCACACAGCTGGGACACAGTGACACATGCACGGCTGGGACACACAGTGACACACACACAGCTGGGACACACAGCAACACACACATGGCTGGGACACACAGTGACATACACATGGCTGGGACACAGTGACACACGCATGGCTGGGACACACAGTGACACACACATGCCTGGGACACACAGTGACACATGCATGGCTGGAACACATAGCAACACATGCATGGCTGGGACACACAGCAACACACACATGGCTGGGACACACAGTGACACATGCGTGGCTGGGACATGCAGTGACATGCACACGTCTGAGACACACACAGCGCTGAGACATGCAGTGACACACACATGGCTGAGACACACACATGACTGAGACACGCACATGACTGAGACACGCACACGGCTGAGACACAGCCCTGCTCATGGCACCTGCCTGATGGGGCTGCTGCTAGTCACGAAGACCACTCCTGGGTTCAGGAGGCCCCTCTGCCAAAAACTCCCCTGCTCTCCTCAACCTGTGTCACTGAGAGGCTCCCCCACCTTGGCACAATGCCCTGTGATCACCTTCCATTCTCCTGCCCCTGTCATTCCTATAAGGAAGGAAGGCTGTCTCCATTGGACTTGGATCCTCAGCTCTTAGGACAGTGCCTGGCACCTGCTAGACTTGGTTGTCCAGGAAGGGAAGAAGGGAGGGAGGAAAAGAGGAAGGGAGCCAGTAAAGGATGAAGAGAGAGAGGAAGAAAGGAAAAGAAAGAGGAAGAAAGGAAGGGAAAAAGGAGGGAAGGAAGGGAGGGAGAGAGGAAGGGAGGGCAGAAAGAAGGAAGAGAGGAATGAGGGAAGGGTGGGAGGCAGGGTGGGAGGCAGGGAAAGAAAAGAAGAGGGAAACGTGGGAGGAATGGAGGGAGGGAGGAAGGGGGTAGAAGGAAGTGGCGAAAAAGAGGGGCGGGGAGGAACGAAGGGAGCGGGGAAGGAAGGAATGAAGTGTAGCCAAGCAAAGAGAGCAGGAAAGGATTAAAGCCAAAACCCTCCAGATAGTGTGGACTGATCCCCTTCCTTCTGTGGTGTCTAAAGGAGAAAGGGGTGTTTCTGGGACAGCACAGGAGAGCCAAGAGTCTGAGCAGGGGTGAGCTGAGGTCCTGCCACCCCAAATGCCACGGCACCCTCAATGGACCCCAGACGAGCTCTCTAACAGGGGGAGTCTGTTCTAGCGATCGGCTGGCACAACTTGCCACAAGTCGTATTTTATTTATTATATTTATTTCTGCCATCCTCTACTTGCATTATCTAGGAAGAAAAGGCATTCTTTTGCGACAGGTTAAGGTGGGGTAGAAGTAAATGAAGGGACATGATAAAAAGGGGTTCTCCCGACAATGCAGTGTGGCCTTGCCTGCTCCAGGACAGGCCTAGCTCTGTTCTAAACATCACAATTGTGTGACATTCAGATAGACACAGGCGGCATGACACCAGCGTGAGAAGTACTTCTAGTCAATCTTGGAAAGGTCGCAACCTGTCTCAGGACCTGCCAATGCTTTTAAAAGGATGAAGACATTTACTCTGACCTTAATAAGGAGCACACGGATCTCTGCCTTTTTACTGGTGTAAACCACCAGTGCTCATCTGCAGCGGAGTGGTCTGAAGCAAAGAGCTATAAAATCTCAGTTTAAAGCCTTGAGCTAGGAGGCTCCAAATTTGGGTGCAGACGGCTTTTCCCATCACGGATAATGAGATATTTTACCTTTGACAAAAGACTATACATGTAATGTACACAGCTATGTAAGCTCTAACCTTGCAGATTCTTTCTGTGGGGGTGGCATGGGGTATTCACAAGGTAAATGTGAGGGGATACCTCTCATCCCACGGCCCCTTTTCTGGGAGTTGAGCTGCATCAGCTTCCTTCTGCAGACGCTTTTGCACTCAGACACGGAGCCGTCCTTCTGTTCTAAGAGAAGCAGTGAGGAAACAACTGCTTAGGCATGTTCCAGAAATCCCCAAATGCAAAGAGTAATTATAGTCTTTTTTTTTTTTTTTTTTTTTTTTTTTTTTGAGACAGAGTTTCACTCTTGTTGCCCAGGCTGGAGTGCAATGACGCGATCTCGGCTCACCGCAACCTCTGCCTCCCGGGTTCAAACGATTCTCCTGCCTCAACCTCCCGAGTATCTGGGATTACAGGCATGCGCCACCACGCCCGGCTAACCTTGTATTTTCAGTAGAGACAGGGTTTCTCCATTTTGGTCAGGCTGGTCTCGAACTCCCGACCTCAGGTGATCCGCCCACCTCGGCCTCCTGAAGTGCTGGGATTACAGGCGTGGGCCACTGCACCTGGCCAATTATAGTCATTTTTAAATTTCATGAAAATAGTTGTTGAAAAGAAACACCCATAAAACTGTTATGTGGTCATGCTCAGTCAGTGCATGTGGAGAGGTGAGGATAATGACCACAATTTGGGTTATTTAAATGGCTTATTTGTTCATTTCATTTGGATAAATACAAATACATATTTATGAGCTCTTATAAGATCTGTTTGATTTTACTAGCCAGGCACGGTGGCTCATGCCTGTAATCCCAGCACTTTGGGAGGCCGAGGCAGATGGATCGCCTGAGGTCAGGACTTTGAAACCAGCCTGGCCAACATGGTGAAACCTTATCTCTACTAAAAATACCAAAAAAAAAAAAAAAAAAAAAAAAAAAGCCATGCATGGTGGCGTGTGCCTGTAATCCCAGCTACTCCCCAGCTACTCGGGAGGCTGAGGCAGGAGAATTGCTTGAACCCAGGAGGCAGAGGTTGCAGTGAGCCAAGACCACGCCACTGCACTCCAATCTGGGCAACAGAGCGAGGCTCCATCTCAAAAAAAAAAGAAAAACCATACTAAATATATGAAGTACAGTGCCATCTCATTATGCTTTTAATTTCCATTCATTCCCCAGTGAATAATGATACTGAGCTTTTTAAAAATGTGTTTATGGCCGGGCGCGGTGGCCCATGCCTGTAATCCCAGCACTTTGGGAAGCTGAGGCGGGCAGATCATGAGGTCAGGAGATCGAGACCATCCTGGCTAACACGGTGAAACCCCGTCTCTACTAAAAATACAAAAAAATTAGCCAGGCGTGGTGGCAGGCACCTGTAGTCCCAGCTACCCGGGAGGCTGAGGCAGGAGAATGGCGGGAACCCGGAAGGCGGAGCTGGCAGTGAGCCGAGATCGGGCCACTGCACTCCAGCCTGGGCAACAGAGCAAGACTCCGTCTCAAAAAAACAATAAAAAAAATGTGTTTATTTGCCACTCATGTATTTTCTTTGTTAAAGTACGTGTTCAAATGCTTTGCCAATTTCATTCCCGGGTTGCTTGGTTTCTTATTGTTGAGTTTTGAGGGTTCTATATATGGCCTGTATGCAACTCCTTTGCTAGGTATATGATTTTAAAATATTTTATTCTAATCTGCATCTTGTATTTTTACTCTTTTAGCACTGACCTGGACAGAGCAAAAGGTTTTAATTTTGATGAAGTTCAGTTTATTAATTTTTCCTTTATGGCTTTTACTTTCAATGTTGTATCTAAGAATGTTTTGCTAAACCAAGGTCACAAGGGGTTTCCTTCTATATTTTCTTCTACATTTTTTAGAGTTTCATGCTTTACATTTAGGTCTGTGATCAATTTTTAGTTAATGGAGACCTTTTTATTTTCACATGTAGATGTCTAATGGTTTCAGTGACATTTGTTAAAAAGACTCTCTTCTCCATTGAATTGTCTTTGTACTTTTGTTGAAAATCAATTGTGCAAGTCTATCTCTGGACTCTATTCTCTTCTATTGATCTATGTCTATCTTTTTGCTGGTATAACATTGTCTTGATTATGGTATCTTTAGAATAAGGATTGAAATGAAGTAGTTTCAATTTTCTTCTTTTTCAAAATTGTTCTGGTGTTTCTAATAACTTGCCTTTTTGGGTAGATTTTAGAATCAGGGTTTGGCTATTCTGAAAGAGTCCTGGGGAGGTTTGGTTAGGGTGGCCTCGGACCTATAGATCCAGCTGGGAAGAATGTACATGGCAACCATAGTAAGTCTTCCAATTCATGCACACAAATATCTTTTCATTTATATGGATTTTCTTTGATTTCTTTCATCAGCATTTTATAGTTTTCAGCATACATATCCTGCAATATTTTTTCATATGAATACCTAAATGTTTTATTTTTATTCTGCATTGGAAATGGTTCTTAAAAAAATTGATTTCCAGTTGTTTATGTCTAATATATAGATACACGACTGATTTCTTTTTAGCATATTGACTGTATCCTGTGAGTCTGCTAGACTTCACTGTTCGTTCTAGGACTTTCTATGTAGATTCCATAGGATTTGTCATGTAGATGATCATGTCATCTGTAAATGGAGACAGTTTTATTTCTTCCTTTACAACCTGTATGCTTTGTTTTGTTCCCTGCTTAGTTTCATTGGCAAAGATTTCCAGTATTACGTTGAATAAAAAATAGAAGCAGTGACATTGAACAAATTTACCTTTTTCCTAATTTTATGGGATAAGCAGTCAGTCTTTACCACTTAAGTATGATGTTAGCTATAGGTTTTTTGTAGATTACTTTTAACAAGTTAAGGGCATACCCTTTTATTCTCAGTTTGCTGAGAATTTCTATCAAGAATGAATGTTACATTTTTGTTAAATTCTTTGTCTGTGTCTAATTAGGTGATCACATGAGTTTTCTTCTTTTCTTAATATGATGACATATTAATTTTCAAATGTTGAGCCCACTTTGCATTCCTGGAATAAACCCCCCTTGGTCATGATATATTATCCTTATTATACATGGGCAAATTCTTCCTGCTATTTTTTTGCTGTGGGTTTCTGTATCTCTGCCCATGAGGTATATGGCTCTGTAGTCGTCCTGTAATGTCTGTCTGTGTTTTGATATCAGGTCGTGGGTTTCTGTATCTCTGCCCATGAGGGATATGGCTCTGCAGTTGTCCTGTAATGTCTGTTGGTGTTTTGTATCAGGATAACGTTGATCTCATAAATGACTGGAACGCGTTCCCTCCTCTCCTGTTTTCTGGAAGAGTGTGTGCACAGCTGTCATCTCTTGCTCTGATGTTTGATAGCATTTTCCAGTGAAGCCATCTGGCCTTGGAGTTTCTTCTCTTTTTTTAAGTTCTTAAGTGTGGCTTCAATTTCCTCAATAGTATGAAGTAATTCCAGTTACCTCTCTCTTTTTGAGTGAGTTTTGGTTGTGTCTTTCAAAAAATTGGTCATTTAATCTGTTATCGAATATGGTTAGAGTGTGGTTCATAGTATTCCTTTGTTACCTTTTCCATGTTTCTAGACCTGTAGTGATATCCTCTCTCTCACTCCATAAGCTGGTAAACTGTATCTTGTCTTTTTCCTTCCTTATTCTGGATAGAGGCTCATTGAGTTTACTGATATTTTCAAAGAGCCAACTCTTGGCTCCATTAGTTTTCTCCGTGGCTCTGTCTCCAGTTCCAATGTTGCCTGCTGTTTTATTGTCTTCCTTCTGTTTGCTCTGATTTAGTTTGCTTTTATTTTGCTTCTTAAGGTGAAAGGCTAAATTCTTGATTTCAGACATTACTTCTTTTCAAATGTAACAATGTGAATCTATAATTTTGGGTGTAAGCACTGCTCTAGCTGCATCCTTCTAGTTTTGATATGCTGTGTTTTCATATTTATTCAAGTAAAAATATTTTCTAAGTTCCCTTGTTTCTTTCTCTTGACTTATGGGTTATTTAAAAATATGTTATCTAATTTCCAAATGTTTGCAGATGTTCTGGGTATCTTTTTGTTATTGACTTCCTTCTTAATTCCATTATGTTTAATCGATACAGTTTATACAATTTTGGTTCTTGTGCATGTTCAAAGGCTTGCTCAGTGGTGTGCAACATGGTCCACCCTAGGGTGCGTTTCTGGTGCCCTCACTGTGTGGAGTCTTCACACCAATCAGGCCAACAGGGCCATCGTGGTGCCTGGTCTTCTCCGTCATGGGTAATTATCTGTCCTCTTTGTCCACTGATGACTGGACTATATAAGGGTTGGCATCTTCTGATTCTGTTTCGTGCTGAAACTTGGCCAGGGATTGTTTGTCGTGCTGAGTGATTCCAGACAAGTCTGGGTCTTGTGAAAACCTTCTGGAGGATGTTGATGCCTGTGACTGGCTTGTGTTAATAGGCGGTTGCCCAGCTAGGCTCAGGGTGCAGGTTTCCAGGGCCACGGAAACTTCTATGGGTGCTGGTTCCAGGCCCGACTGCTCTCACGGCCTTTGCCTTGCTGTCTGGGGCCAGCCCTCACATGTACCCTGGAGCTTAGTCTGGGAATAGGGTCTCCACTGCCTTCACTGCACTTCTGCGGTCGATCGCATGCATCTACGGCTTTATACACAGAACTGGGGAATCCCCTTCCCCAACATTCTTCTTTCCGGGATTTCCCCACAGTCTGCAGCATTTAAGGTCATGTTCCCGGTGTCTGTGGCCAGATGATTGGGATTATCTCAGAAGTTCTGCCCTCAACACTCCTGTGCAGCTTCACGGCCAAGAGCAGCAGGAAAAACAGAGAAAACAAGCCGAGCGTGGTGACTTGTGCCTGTAATTCCAGCACTTCGGGAGGCCAAAGCGGGTGGATCACCTGAGGTCGGCAGTTTGAGACTAGGCCGGCCAACATAGTGAAACTCTGTCTCTACCAAAAAAAAAATTGGCCAGGTGTGGTGGTGAATGCCTGTGATCCCAGCTACTTGGGAGGCTGAGGCAGGAGAATCACTTCAACTGGGGAGGAGGAGGTTGCATTGAGCTGAGATCGCACCACTGCACTCCAGCCTGGGCGACAAGAGCCAAACTCCGTCTCAACAAAAAGAAAGAGAGAAAACAATAACTGGGACACCCCCCACCGGCTTCATTCTTCACACATAAGGGCCCTTTCCCAGGTCCTCTGACCAGAGAGATTGGGCCTTCTCTCAGGGTCTCAGGTGACGGCACCATTCATGCGGCAATGCAAGTGGGGCTAGCTTCAGGAAAGAAGGGAAGAAAAACAGCGATGATCTCCATGTACTCTGGCTCACAGGGGTGCCTTTCCAGCCTCTGGCAAAAGAGCTGGGCTTCCCTTAGAGTTCTGCTGCCCATGCCTGAGGAGGAGGTCCCACGTCAGCTCACTGTTATGGACCCTATTTTTGCGGCCCCAAAACTCGTATGTTGAAATCCTAACTCCAAACGTGATGGCATGAGGAGTGGAGCCTTTGAGAGTGACCAGGTCATGAAAGTGAAGCCTCAGGGTGGGATTAGCGTTCTTATAAAAGAGCCGCAGTTGCTCCCCCAGCCGTCCCACCCTGTGAGGACACAGCCAGAAGGTGGCTTCTGTGAACAAGGAAACCCTCGCAGGACGTGGAATCTGTTGGCACCTCAATCCTGGACTTCCAGCCTCCAAACTGTGAGAAATAAGTTCCTGTTGTTTATACAACACTGGTTTACGGTATTTTGTTGTAGTGTCCAAAGTGGACTAAGACATTCACCTTTGCTTCCAACTTCACAGATACAAAGAGGAAAGAAATCCAGAGGACTTACCATGGGCATACTGGTTTTCCTCATGTTTGGACCTCTTTCCCGATCTGCCTTCCCCTGTTTACTTTCAGTGGCATCAGGTGGTCACTGCTTGTATTTCACCCAAGTTCTCCGTTTAATCAGGGGGAGCTGGAAGCAGCAGTGGGCTTATGCCCTCTAAGCCAGCACCAGATGCCCCCCCCTTTGATTTTGAGCTTTGTCTTGCTTTCTGACCCAAAAAGTTATTCCAAGCTCACCTGCTCGACACCCCAAATCAACCTTTTCTCCCAGAAGTCTTGCTTCCTTTGATCAAATAATTGAGAAGCACAGATCTGGGTGGTAGTATGCTCATTGCTAGAGGCGTGCAGTGCTTCTAGACTCTTCCAGCAGGCCAGGTTAAAGATTAGAAATTATGGGCTTATACGGATACCTCCAATTAAAACCCTACAACACAAGGCCTGATGTCTTCTTCCTCACCTTCCACTATCACATACTGGTCTCTCCTTTCCCTATGGCAATGCCCCTGGTTCCTAAGAAGGTCAAAATATTTACTTATTCGTTCTACTCTCTAATATGTGCAAAATAGATTCAGAATTATTATATCAATACAAACCCATGAAGCAAAGTTCAGAATTTCTTTGAAGTGTTTTTTTGTTTTATATGGTTTATAAATTAAAAACACACACACACAGATTCTCAGAGAAGTCTCATGCTCATTCATGTCCCTTTCATCCAGTTTCCACTCAAGCCCTATGGTCAACATTTTTGTTGTTGGCTTGGATAATCCTGGGTTTCTTTTTACAAAATGTGCATGTGTGTGTGTGTGCACATGTGTGTACTTGTGTGCTCATGTGCTTGTGTGTGCATATGCGTGTATGTGTGCAAGTGCATGTGTGCATGTGTGTGTGTGCGTGTGTGTGCACGTGTGTGTGTGTATTCTTTCTCATTCCCACTTCTTGTTTTTGGAGGGTGATGTACTCTGCTTACTGTTTTGTGCTGTTTTTTCACTTAGCTGCATGCCTGGAACTGCACCACGTCAGTTCACAACGGCTGCAAAGTTTGTTCTGAGCGTGGGTGTATGGTGCTGACAGGAAGATTGGTGTTCTGGGATGTGGGTCTCCATGGTCATCCTTGGAGCTGGACTCTTTATTGGCTCTAGTAGAACCCCAGCTGGCCACAGCAGCTCTCTCTTTTCTCCTCTCCCAGTAAGGCCTTCTGATTCTTCTGCTCTCTCTCTGTCATCAGTAGGAGATCACAGCGCTCAGAAGCAGCCACACCACCTGTTCTCTGGTCCCAGGCTGGCCTGCCCTCCTCGTCTTGTTGGTTTCCCAGCGATTTGTCCCTGCAGAAGCACAGGGAGCATCACCCACATGCCCACCCTTCGCCGTGCCCCTTGTGAGCACGTCTGCGTGGGGGCCCCTACCTCGCCGTTCTCCTGGGAAGTGTCCTCCAGTGTTGGGTGTGTTCCCTGAGATGCACTTCGGGAAGCTGTGACGCTGAGAGTGTCTCTGGTGTGTGTTGTGTTGACAGAGGACTGAGGGATGAGGGCACCCCCGGATTGCTGGCCAGCGGGCTCCTTCTCCGAGTGCAGTCCTGGAAGGAGGGGCCTCCGACACTCCAGCCTTGCCCCGGGCAACAGGACATGGAGCTGGGACTCTTCACACAGCAAGGAGCCTCTCCATCCATGTATTCCTTCCCTGTTTTTCTCCAGGAGCCTCAACGGTAAATCCTCTTACTGCCCATGGGGATGTGGTCCTCTAATTAATCGCTGTGCTAAGCCAGACCTTGAAGTCTTCAGCTGAGATCGAGATGAAGAGGGGCTCTGCCCGGAAGCTCTTGTTTGCCTCCACACATAGTCAAGCCGCCCTCAGAGCTGGGCCCCCAGCTTCCCCTTCATGCTTTCCTTCTGCGTTCCTGCCTTTCCGTCTTTTCTTCTTTGCTCTTTCCTTCTTCCCTCCTTTCTTCCTTTTCCCCGCCTCTTTTCCTTTTCTCCAAAGCTTTCCTTTCTCCCATTGCTTTGTCACAAAGCTGCCTAATACAGATTATTTTAGTGTAGTTACTCTTTGGCTTTTTCTTTTAAATAACATATTTTACAAGTCCTAAAAGCACACTTTAAAAAACCAAATAGGATATAGAGAGTGATGTTAGCAACATGGCAGAATCGGAGATATGGAGAAAAGGGAGTGTGAATTGGCGTACCCATTATGGAAAACAGTACGGAGGCCCCTCAAAATATCAAAAACTGAAGTCCCACAGGATCCAGTAACCCCACTTCTGGGTCTACATCCAAAGGTATTGAAATCACATACTGAATTCAATACCATGTTAACTACAGCACTGATCACAATAGCCAACATACAGATCAACCTAAATGTTCATCAGTAGATGAATGGATAAAGAAAGCAGGCAGGCTGGGCACGGCGGCTCACACCTGGAATCCCAGCACAGTGGGAGGCCGAGGCAGGCAGATCACGAGGTCAGGAGATCGAGACCATCCTGGCTAACATGGCAAAACCCCATCTCTACTAAAAATACAAAAAATTAGCTGGGCGTGGTGGCACGCACCTGTAGTCCCAGCTACTCAAGAGGCTGAGGCAGAAGAATTGCTTGAACACGGGAGGTGGAGGTTGCAGTAAGCCAAGATCCCGTCATTGCACTCCAGCCTGGGAGACAGAGTGAGACCCCATCTCAAAAAAAAAAAAAAAAAGAAAGCATGGTACATCTACACAATGGAATTGTGTTCAGTCACAGAAAAGAAGTAAAGCCTATCATCTGTGACAACGTGGATAAACACGGAGGACATTATACCAAGTAACAAGCCAGGCAGAGAAAGGCAAACACTGCATGATCTCACTCCTACGTGGAGTCTGAAATTTCATACTTTCAGATGCAGAGAATGTAACGGCGGTCCCAGGGGCTGAGTGGGCGAGGGAAGGAGAAACGTTGGTCAGAAGATGCAAAGTTTCAGCTAGACAAGAGGAAGGAGCTCTGCTGGTCTACTGCACAGTGAGGTCACTATAGTTAATAACGATGCATTGTTCACTTCAAAATTGCTAAACAAGTGGATTTTAAATGTTCTCACAAAGGACGATGAGTATGTGAGGTAGTGGATATGCTAATTAGCCTGATTTGCCCATTTCACGATAGATCCACGCATTGAAGCATCACATTGCACTCCAGAAATACAGGCAATTATTATTTGCCGATTAAAAAAAAACTAAACAAAGAATGCCCTGAATACATATACAAGTCACAGTGCACTTATTTTATCTGGGAAGGGAGTGAATGAGGTGTTAAGCTACAGGTAAGGGCTTTTGGGAATAAGGCGTTAATGATGGCTATTAGCCAACAGAAAACTACACAGCAGGAGGATGTTGGCGTGGCAGGAGCACAGTGATGAACACCAAACAAAATAATTATCGTGTATTTCAGCATGGCTAGAAAAGAGACTTGAAATGTTCCCAACACAAAGAAATGATGAATGAGGATGGATACCCTGAACGCCCTGATGTGGTCATTGCACATCGCCTGCATGTATCAGAATATCACAGGTACTCCGTAAATGTGAACCATCATTATGTATCCATAAAAAAGAGATGGAAACAAGGTAAGTAACATTTAGAAACCAAGTAAAAAGTACCAACGCGTTCCGGTTCCTGTGGTACAAAGACTCATCAGAAATTCCTGGACGGTGCTAACTAAAATAGTTAGTTTCAGTTAAATTGTTCGGTTAATTAGAAAGCTGATTGCAATTTGGGCTGAGATAAAAGCTCCTTTAACAGCCATTCCTTTCCCTTGGCTCATCCTCCTATCAGAGGAACTAAATTAATTAGGCTCCTGGAACTTGGACTTCTAGAAATTCACAAAGAAGTATTGATGAGTGAGCACTGAAGCTTTGCAGAAAGAGGGTTCAGAAGAGGGGGCGTGAATCTTCTCTGCTGAGTTCCAGTGACCCCAGATCTGACCACTGTTTCTTCAACGTGCATTTTCAAAGTCTGCATTGGCCAGTTAGGTCAATATTGGCGTAAAAACCAGTTTCTGCGGTGCACCGCCAACGACGTTAACTGTCACGCTTGTGTCTCCGTAGCAGCTGAATGCTCGAAGTTCATAATAATGAACCGGGAGCGCTCACAATCACAGGGAATCTTTCCAACAACCCAGGTTAAATAGCACTCAGTGGAGCTTTATTGTCAAGCACAGGGCCCGGGTTCTCTGGGCACTGGCCGCCTCCATGCTGCGTTTCCCCGCTGGGCCAGCGGTGTCATCTTCACCCATCACCAAGGCCAGAGGCCTGGGAGTTGGTTCGAGCTCTCCTTTTCTCTCACCCCTGCTCCAAACATCCCCACGTTCATCTGATTTTCTCTCCCACTGCTGCTGCTCTGGCTCTGAGGCTGCCGTCCCACGGTATCGCCTCCCCAGAGGATCCCACGGGGTCCCCCAGCCACGGGGTCCATCATGGACCGTGGCCTCCTCGCCTCCGCTCTTGTCTGTGTACTGTCTGTTCTCCCCCAGTCTCAGAGATCACATTTGAAACCATCATTCTGATCACAAGACTCCCTCGCTGGAAACTCCTCTGCAGCTCCCTTCACAGAAGGAAATCAAATCCCGCCGTAGCCTCCAGGGCCTGCCTGGGACAGGCTCCAGCCCACAGCGATTCTGGGCAGGTCCTGGGGCTGTGCACGGCCTGCAGGCCCCGAGCAGAGCTTCTGACTTGCCCTTGCTTCAGCCTGGGAGGCTTTTCCCGACTCTTCCCAGGACTAGAACTCAGCTTCCAGGCCACCTCTCCCCGAAGCTTTCTCTGGCCACCTAGTCCGGAGCCCTCGGTGTTCTCAGCCGTAGCACCCTGCTTTGCTCTTGCAGGCTGAGCCTCTCTGTTGCAGCCCTTGAAGGCTGAGCCCTGGGTGTGGGGCCGCCTCGGGCACTCAGCATGGGAATCTAGCACCTGGCACCGCGCCTGGCACTCCCCGGGAGCTGGGAATGGTTCACGGTTGAAAAGTAAAACACATTGTCTTAAGAAGCAGACAGACCCTCTCTGTCTGTGAGACCACATAGGGGGGTCCGACTGTGGTTGGGGTCTGTGCTGATTGTTTGGCCGTGGGGGGTTGTCCTGTGCTCAGGGAGACAGGAAGACCCACAGGTGTCCGGCAGCTCTCACGCAGGGAGGTGAGGAGGGAGATTCCCCAACACTTAACCTCAAGCAAAGTGCAGGGCTTGACATGACAGCGAACCCAAGCAGTGAGGAGCGGGCAGGGATAGAGCCTGGTGCGGAGGAAGCCGAGGATGGGCAGGAGCAGCCCACAGAGCACCCGGCGAACGGAGGCATGTGCCCAGCGTGGATGACTCCAAGAGCAACAGCACTCCCTCGGGAATGAATCTGCAGAGTGGAACAGCTTTTCCCTCCTCCTTCCTTGTTTTTAAAAAAATGTTCCGCCATGCTACTTGTGGAAGCATGAAGTGGAGGGGCAGGAAGCCGCCTGCCCACCATGGAGCAACGGCGGCTGCCGAGGAAGGCGGAGTCTGAGCCGGGCACATCCCTGCCCGGCCGCAGATATACACGGAGGTTCTGAACAGTAGGACTGCACTGTCTTCCGGGCTGAATGACTCCAAATAACATCTGCCCAGACAGTTTGAAAAGCAGGTTGGTGTTGTATTTGGATATCTATGTTAAAGACTGCCACTTAAAAGTTGCCTTTACACATATAGTTCATGATATATACCTGGAATAAGTTAGAAGCTAAAAGCAACACACATAACAGTTAGGTTCTCACCAAACTTAACTCTCTTGGATTCTCAGGAATATTACCACTAAAGAAAGGCTTATACCGACTGAGTTAAAAATCTCCAAGCAGCAGCTCCAGAAGGGAGCATGACGCCCAAGCCCCTCCAGTGCTGGGCCAACACTCCACGCAGGCACCCAAAGCTCAGGTGACCCACCAAGCACGTTCAGCACCCATCGCCCCACTGCACAGAGCTGGCGCCATCCAGGAAGTCTTTTCCCTCGAGAGCCACAGCAGAGGGTCAGACATTCATCTTCCACCACTAAACCATCAGCTACACCAAACCCTGTGTTCACACCGCAAAGAGAATTGCCATCCCCTGTGTGTCTGCTCTGCATCCTCAATAGATACGCCCAGTGGTGTCTATTCTAACCCACATGCAGGCTGGTTCCATGAGCAGGTGAATCGCCCTGACCATTTAAATGGTTCAAAGAGCACCTGAGGAAGTGTCCTTCGTGGGTGGACGTCAGGAAGCAGGGCCGTCTTCCTGCCACCGCAGCTGCAGTGGAGATGACCACAATGAAGCAACATCTCGACAACCTCAAGCTCACAGTGTCTCCTTGAAGATTCCAATTTGCATGCTGGGTGGTAGGATTCACTGTCTATACCCATCCCCTTCCACAGATTATGATCCCAGCTTGTGCACAGCCCAAGTCAAGCCAAGAAGTTAATACAGAATAAATGTGCAGTATCTTTTGATTACGGGGCAAATACATGTCTGTGACCCTACATCATGTGGCACATACACCTGGAGGTGACTGATAAGTGTTTCTCATGTGATAAATAAAGCTTGAATTTCTCCAGGTAGAGCTGGATGAGTAGAGGAAGCCTCCGGATGGCATTCCCATTTTCATTTTGTAAAGCAGAGAATTGCACTGAACTCTAATGCCTTAGTGCTGTGACGTTACACAGAATACGTTCCTTTGTCCATCATGCATTATATTGCTTCTGTATCACAAAATATCCTCCCAGCTACCTCCTCAAATACACAGAAGCCACTTGCATGAGTACATACACAAAGAGGGTAAAACAGTGCCACTCACGGACTAACGCGGCCACACGGAAGATACTGCAGCAGGCTTGCCTTTGTCTTAGAACCAAGAGTGTGGGGCAGTCATGACCCACAAGGAGGACATTTTTTGGCAGTCAGCAAGTGACCAAGGAAGTTTAAGACCCTGGAGTGAAATCAAAAGCCCTTAAGAAAGAAAAACTTAAATGAAAATGGCCAGTTGTTCATTAATCACCAGGAGTTGTCTGACCCAGGGCGGGGGCAGTCTTATTGCTATTATAAACCATACAAATGTAAAGAAGAAAGTAATTGCCTCCTTTATAGACTGAAAAGTTAAATGTGGAGCTGCTGGTTACCGTGGACACGCTGGACTGTTTACAGCCCCGGTGTAAACAGTGGCCAGAGAGAAAGCAGCATTTCCTTCCTAATGACATTCATTAGGGTCACTTTTTTTTAGCGGGTCCTTTCTCTGAAAATGAATCCCCACTGATTATACACACGCCTTCACAGATAAAATCACATCGAAGAGAGCGGTGCGAGTGTGTGCCGGGAACCAGCCACGTGTCCATCTGATTCTGCCGTGGAACTTTCTCCGCCAGAGGTGGCAGCGAACTAACACACCCTGTCCCTTGTCCACCGAGAGAGAGACATGGATGCGCAGAGCTGTGAGCGGTCGGACCTCTGTCCCATGAGGAAGCCCGGATGACCTCTGCGTTCTGGAAACTGCTTCTGCTTTAGTCATTTCATCGGCTGACCTGTTACAGGGCTTCTGTCTGGATGCAGGGGAGGCATGGCAGGGGCCTGTGGAGGAGCCCAGGAGGGAAATGGGGCCCGACTGGAGGGTGGTGGAGCGTCATGGTGCCTCTTTCATCAGGCCTTTAGGAAACACAGGGAAGTCTGCTGCTGTGTATGGACACCATTATGACCCTGACTTACTCTCAAGGACTCACTCCTAGGCTGGAGCTGACCTGGCGTTCCACGGCCACCAGCCCAGGTTCATGAGGCTTCAGCTGCCATCACTAGTGTTTCTCTCCCGCTTCTTCAGTTTCAGAAACGATCATCATCCCCCTTTATCCTGAAAGCCCCAGTCCCTGTTTTCACAGAAATAACAATGTTCCCCTAAAGAAAAGGAACACCAGAGAATTGGATTCAAGATCTAAATGACCTCAGTAACCACACTGTTTCGGATTTCCGGGAATGCCACGTCAGCAAGGAGGGTGGAGGCTGAACACTCACCGCCCCTTAAGCCCTGAGCACAGCTGCGCTATCGGGCCAGCTCTCCTGGAAAACAGTGACATACCCCATCACCACACTCCAGTGTGGCCCACGGCCGGCTCACCCCTCACACTGAACGCCACAGGTGAGGAAGTAGGGGCAGAAGTGAGCGGTGAGAATTTAAAACTCCTGCAGCAATTTGACACAGTAGTGCTATGTATATTGAATCTCACACTTCAAAAGTCTGACTTTTCTTTGATGGATTATTTTTTTTTTGGAGATGGAGGTTTGCTCTGTTGCCCAGGCTGGAGTGCAGTGGCGCAATCTCGGTTCATTTCAGTCTCCACCTCCTGGGTTCAAGCGAGTCTCCTGCCTCAGCCTCCCAAGTAGCTGGGACTACAGGTGCCCGCCACCATGCCCAGCTAATGTCTGTATTTTTAGTAGAGACGGGGTTTCACCATGTTGGCCAGGCTGGTCGCGAACTCCTGACCTCAGGTGATCCACCCAGCTCGACCTCCCAAAGTGCTGGGATTACAGGCATGAGTCACCATGCCTGGCACTTTTATGGATTACTTTTATTTCGCTTTTTTAAAAGTAATTCCTTTTTACTGTATTTTACAAAAGCATCATTCCACGACAGACTGGGAATTAGAAATAAAATGCTAGTCCTTGACCACAGGCTGGTGACCTCATCACAGAGACAGTGCCCACAAATTCTCTGTTAAGATTAAACCACAGTAATAATTAGCCAAGACCTGCTTTCCTAGAGGGTTCAATTTAATGGCTTATTTTTAAATACTTTTTTGGAAACATCTCTAGGTGTTAGGTTTTCTATTCTTTTTTTTTATCACCTGAGAGAGAACCAGGGAAGCCAGCTCAGGTCCCTTCACAAATGGCCTAAAACTCTGTCCTAGGGCCCCTGCCGGGGACGGTCCCAGACACCCACAGCCCCTGGAAGAGTTGATCCTCCCTCCAGAAGCATCCGAGACCCAGCTCTCACTAAGAGCCACCAGGAAGCTGGGCCTCCCCCTGGGCACTGCCAAGCTGTGGTATACGCCATGCTCCATCTCCAGATAGGTCACACCCAAGTTCAGTTATAGGATCTTAGAATATTCCCCACAGAAACAATGTTAAAAAGTGACATTAGGTTCCCAGATAAGCCTACCCAAACCCATTCTACCTGTAACGCAGCCAGCATTGTACAGAAATCACTTAGGGAACGTTCTAAGCCTCTTCTGCTTGACAGTCTCTCTGCATCCCCAGGGCACAGCCTCCTGCCTAGGCCTCTGCCTCTGGGTTCACCCACGCATCCACTCTCCACGCCCTTGGCCACAGTCCGTGGCTCCCCACCTCAAAACCTCCAGGGCACCTGGTCCCCAGACTCGAGCCCAACCTTCTCTCTGGCCCTGCCTCAGTTGGCAACTTCACCAACATACCAGGAGGGAATGTTCTGGAACGGCAGCCTCCCCACCTTTCCCCCTGCTCCTGGATCATTAGGGCTCCTCCTCCCAGGTGTGACCACCTACCCTTCCTCCAGGTCTTGGCTCAAGGGAGTTCTCCTAAGGTGGGTCATGTTGACCCCGGGGCCCTCCTCCGGGTGACATCCTTCTCTACCCAGAATGCTCCTCACTGTGAAGCCCTTCCTGCGGCTCTCAGGTTGGCAGGGGCTGGGTCTACTGTGCCCACTTGCTGTCTCTTTCTTTCTTTTTCTTTCATCTCCCTCCCTCCCTTTTTCCTTTCTTCCTCTCTGTCCTCCCCCAACCCCTTTCCTTCTTCCTTCTCTCCCTCCCTCTCTCCCTTCCTTCTTTCCTCCTTCCTTCCCTCCTTTCTTCCCTCCCTCCCTTCCTTCTTCCCTCCCTCCCTTTCTCTCTCCCTCCCTCTCTCCCTTCTTCCCGCCTCCCTCCCTCCCTCCTTCCCTCCCTCCCTCCCTCCTCCCTTCCCTCAGTCGTCAGGTGGTGCCTGCACATGGGGGATGCCCAGTTTCATGGAACAGAACGGAAAGGAACTGTGACAGGCAGAGTGTCTCTGCAGGAGCTGCGTGGTGACCATGGGTGAGGACAGTGCACATCATGTGAAGGATGGGAGCTGCAACTGGGCGAGGAGAGAGACAGCTTAGAGAATTGTAGTAACCATCCTCAGAGGCTTTAGGTCTCTGACATAGAAACAAGGTGAGTTTGTACAGCTCCAGCATGCTGAGCTAGGATCACTAGGTACAGATTTGGATGCAGTTCTGGCCTGGTTTCAAAGAGAACTTTCTAGCCCAGTTGTCTAGCAGTGGTGGGTCAGCAGGTCTCCCCTAGCAGACGCTGGAGGGCAGAGGGTTCCTCGCAGCTGTGTTGTGTGTTGTGCAGGGAGGTGCTGCCTGGGTGGAAGGTTACACTCCGGGGCGTGGACTCCCATCTCTGAAATTCTGACCTCCTGTGAAATGTGGGAGACCTTTGCTCCATACCCTGAGGTGCTCCCTGCCTTGAAGGTGGCCCCGGGATCTCTCTGGTGGCTCAGCTAGACCTTCTCCCCAAAACAGGAGGGGCCCCTGCAGCCACAGCCATAGTTCAAGGTCTGGAGCCCAGAGCGCATGCCTCCTGGATGGGTGGCTCTTTCTGGAGCCCCCTTGTATGGAATAATGAAGAAAAAGGTAGGATCCTGAGGTGACCACATCACTTTATACTCCCAAATGTCTTTATGTTTTCAGCCTTGAGCTGAAAGTAAAAGTAAGCCTTTTACTTTTTTTGTGGCGATTTCTATTCATATGCACTGTCAAAAATTATTATATCTTCCAATTCAGAGATATTTTAGCATTAACTCACTAAATAAAATGCTTTAAGCCCGGTGCAGTGGTTCAGGCCAGTAATGCCAGCACTTTGGGAGGCCGAGGCGGGTGGATCACCTGAGGTCAGGAGTTTGAGACCAGCCTGGCCAACATGGTGATACCCCATCTCTACTAAAAATACAAAAAATTAGCCGGGTGTGGTGGCACACGCCTATAATCCCAGGTACTTGGGAAGCTGAGGCAGAGAATCACTTGAACTCAAGAGGCAGAGGTAGAAATGAGCTGAGATTGCACCACTGCACCCCAGCCTGGGCAACTGAACAAGACTCTGTCTCAATAAATAAATAAATACAATTTAAGAAATGCTTTGGATATTTATACGTCTTTATTCCTATGAGCACAGTGATCTTTAAAGATACTCACAAACAGGAGTCAATCTAAATGGGCTTTTTGTTTGTCTGTTTTTTCAGTCATCGCTATCATTTCCAAGTGAGGGGTGAAAGGAACCATTGCTCCCTTCTCTGCAGGTTTGAAGGAGAAAATGCAGCGTCGGTTCTGAGGCAGCCGCGTGCAGGGGCGGCTCAGGCCTGTGCCCAGAGTCAGGCTGAGTGGGCTGGGGGCAGATATGCTGCCTAAACAAAGACACTGGAGTTTGTGGAATTGTTTTTTTATTGGAATCAAGAACAAAGTACCAATAATAATTGCATAGTTAATTTTGCTTCAAATTCTTTTTTTCTTAATAGAGCCCATGACACAAAGAGAAGTCTCAAAATGCTTCCCGTTCTGTTTTGCTTTGTTGCAGCAGTATTTGCCAAAGATCCAGGCTACACATTGTTTTATTTCAGCGAAACAATCAGGAATGAAATGGTTGCGGAGGCTCCTTCTCTGGGCACGGTTTTTCAGAGATGGAAACCCAGGCCCAGAGAACTGAAGGAATTTTCCCTCCACCCAGGCAAGAGTTTGGCAAATTGTCAGACTTCCAGAGGAAACAGTTTCTTCTAAAGGTGGATGCGAGTAAGTACAGGTAAATGACTGAGGAACGAATGTAAAAATGAATACATTTTAAAAGCAACTCATGGTGGTTAATAACAAGAACATTTCATTTTAAGATAATGAGTGATCTGACATCCAAGGATGACCACTGCTGTCCTCCCACAGCCTGAATAGCGTGGGCAGCTGCACCACGGGTGTGCATGGCTGCATATGTGCCCAGTGACTACATACAACCTACAGACGTAAATGCACATAGAGTCCTGTTTGCCAAACTCACCGTAATTTATGTAATTATACACATAATGTATTTTACCCAATACACAAAGAAGATTTTCATAATGCCACTTAGGGTCTAGATTTAACTTAAACCACTACTTAGTCTATCTCTCTTAATAGGATACTAAAAGGAAATTTTATGACAACATTATCAGTAGCATTTTGCTGATAATTAGAATAACAATAATAATACTGAGATATTTTTTCAGTAATAATGGTGTTATTAATGAGATTTTTATGAAAGACAGACTTCTTCGGTATAATTATGAAAATTGATCTTTTGCATTTTACTTATTCACTGAAATCAGATAAGTGGCTTAACTACATGTATTATTTCTAATAAATATTCAAAAGAATGCATTTAAACAAGGCTCCTTATTCTATTCTTGCTCATATTCCTTGCATTTAAATAAAAGTGTAATTGCTCTGCTTTTTAAACTGTTAGTTTGGATTAGCTGTCTAACCTGTACAGTGTAGCTGTTTGCTGTTTGCATTTTTAATAGCTTTATTACCATTTGGTGAAGCCTTAATTTCTGACTCCCTTGAAGAGTCCTGCCTTTAAGTCAGCACTACAATTTAACCAGCAATAATCTGTCAAGATGAGATAAAGACCCACACCAGATGAAATGCAGTATTTTTGTGTAGCATTCTGTCATTGTTAAAGGCAAGATCCTAGTATGTCAAAATGTAACCTCTGAAAGTTTTCTAAACTTTGCAGCATAATTTTACAGTTCATGTTTTTAATCCATGGCTCCAGCACACATTATCTTGTTCACTGGGGAAAGCAATTAAAATATACATCTAGTTATCTGTGAAAATATATATTTAAGGGCATTAGCAGGAATATGCACTTATGCGTGCGTTAATGAGCGTGTGCATGGGTAAACACTGCAAAGAGGAGCAGAAGATCTCTAGTGTCTCAGCAAAAGTGATGATTTTATGCTCTAAGAATCTGAGACTATACATACATATATACCTTTTATTTTTTAAAATTATGTAAAACATATAAAAATGGGGAGAATAGTACAATGAATCCCTGCATACCCTGTGCAATTCACAGAGGTCCTGTTCAATCCAAACCTCCCACTCCCCTCCCCCAACAAATCCCAAATGTTGCATATTTTCATGTGTAAATATTTAGGCACAGATCTTTAAAAAATATGGAATTTTTTTAAAAGCCACGATTATATACACTGTCACACCTTAAAAAATTAACAATAATTCCTTAACATCATAAAATATCTAGTCAGTTTTTAAATTTCCCAAGCATCTCATTTAATATCATATATCTATGTCATACCTAAATGTATTGTTTGCTTTTTAATTTGTTTGAGCCAAGATGAAAATGAGAGTCCTACAATGGTGACTGGTTGAAAGGTTTTGTGAGCCTTTTCAATCCATAGGTCTCACTGCTGTTTCTTCTTTCTTTCCTTTTTTCTTACAATTTCAGTGTTGAAGGAAACAGTCATAGATATAATGGGCTTCCATGTGCGGGATTTTCCCGGTTGCATTCCAGTGGTTTAATCTAACACGCTCCTCCAAATTTCCCATAAACTGAAATAAGATCTGGGGATTTGAAGAGATTGGGTTTCACGGTGGGGAGAGGTGAGCTCCTTCCTGGGTGGCTGTGTCTGCCGGGAGGCACGTGGGGTCTGCTTATGCCTCTCACTTTGCACTGCCAGTGGCCATCACAGCTCCGTGTCCAGACACATTGATACACTCAGGACAGCACCATGGGCATGTTCTAATTCTATCACTTCTCCACTTATTAGCTGGAACACTTTCATTAACAGAGCATTTGCCTCATATTATATCTGGTTACCCAGTTGTGTAGTTTATATGGGAAAGATGACATAAATATTTAATACCTTTCCTTTATGAGTTTTCAAAATAATGAATTATTCATTAGCATTCTCCAATGGTACCAATTAATTTTTTTTTTTTTAGTTTCATGAAGAACTTATGGATTTGAGCATATGTGTTGGGTCTCAATCCATTGCAGTTGTTACACTTTGATGATCAAGCGTCCCATCTTTGGCCATTGGAAGCTTCCTTCCACTGGCTCTGTCACCATGTGCGGGGACAGAACATCCCAGGCTCACCTTGTATTACTCCAGGCTGGGATCAGCTGTTTCCCCAGAGAGCTTTGCTTCCTCTTAGTGAGAAATGAGACCACAGTCTTGGCCCTGAGATTTACATACATACATACATATATGCACATCCATCCATGCACACACACACACACACACACACACACACACACACACACACAGGTATATAGTTACCTTGCTATCTATCTTTGGCCTTTCCTCAATATCTATCATGTTAATATTAAAAGCTACCACAAAGCAGCATCCATAAATTGTCCCTTAATGTTTATTCTAGCATCTGAGTGATTTCTTCATAATCCGTGAAACAGACGCTATGGTGAACGGGATTGGGTTGTTAGAAGACGAAACTGTGGAATCTGATGCTATCACAGGCTTGTCTACTCTGAAGGCGTAGTCAGCTTCGGTGACATGAGGCCTCCCAGTGCCTTTTCAAAGGGTTAATGGTACCTGACTTCAGGGCTCCACTTGCCTTTCTTCTCTAAGTGTGTGGGATTCTGTTATACCTCAACCAATTGGTCTAGGGGACAAAGATTTTCATGCCAGGTGAACAGAGTCCCCAGAAAGGAAAGTACAACAGGGTGGCCAAGCCCTGTCCAGGAAGGGAATATTTCAGGCTTTCATCTGCCACTTCTGGGACGAGGACCAGTGGGTGGAAAGAAGAGAAAGCAAACTGTGGAGCCACCCACGCCACGCCCGCTGTCCTGTGGCTCCCAGCCCTGTGCCCCAGCACACTCTGATCTCATGGCTCAGGCACAGAAAGTCCTCTGATAACCTTGGTGCTGTTTGAGGCAAAGCATCTTCTTCATGCATTCAATGCTCTCTAAGCCACGGTCCTCACCCAGCCTCCCAGCCACAGTCCACACCCAACCTCCCAGCCTCCCAGCCACAGTCCACACCCAACCTCCCAGCCTCCCAGCCACAGTCCACACGCAGCCTCACAGCCACAGTCCCCACCCAACCTCCCAGCCACGGCTCCCCTGGGCCTCCTAGCCATGGTCCCCACCCAGCCACCCAGCCTCCAAGCCACAGTCCCCACCCAGCCTCACAGCCACCCAGCCTCCAAGCCACAGTCCCCACCCAGCCTCACAGCCACCCAGCCTCCAAGCCATAGTCCCCATCCAGCCTCGCAGCCTCCAAGCCATGGTCCCCACCCAGCTTCCTAGCCTCCAAGCCACAGTCTCCACTCAGACTCACAGCCTCCAAGCCATGTTCCCACCCAGTCTCGCAGCCTCCAAGCCATGTTCCCACCCAGTCTCGCAGCCTCCAAGCCACAGTCCCCACCCAGGCTCCCAGCCTCCCTCTCACAGATGTTCTTTGTCTACTTCATTCTCCATGCAGGGGACCCCCAAGCCCCTGCCAGACAGCCCAGCTGTTCACGCTCCTACCTCTGAGCAGAACATACTTCCCAGGTTTCCCGGTCTACACCCACCCATGTCCTTTCCAAGCCCTTCCCTGAAAATCAGAAGTGGACCATGCCTTCCGTCCAGTCCTCATGGCCCAGGTCGACGGTGATAGACTCCACTTTTCACCGTGGGAATTGGCTGGTGCCTGATTTCTGCTGCTGGGTCATAAACGCTTCCCCTTGGGGGTCACTGTTTCATCCTCCACCATCATGGCCCTGCGCAGGCCGTCGAAATGCACGGTTGAAGGAATGGGTTGAGATTCCGGAAAGGGGAGTCCCGGGGCTTCTCCTTAGCCCTGGGGAGGACAGAGCTGTGCCCAGTGCTGACAGAGGCCCTCGTGGGGCTTTTCTCTGGCCTTTTTGGGGTGACAAAGAGACTTGCATTTTAACTCAGTATAATCAAGAGCATCACCCTGGGCAGGAGCAGTAGCCATTCTGAGTCTCTGAACATATCCATATGTAACAGTAAAAACCCAGCCAACAAACCCCAGACTTGCCATTCAAATCAAGCCAGGTAAGGAGACAGGGATGCTCGGCGAGCTGTGGCATTACCACTGGGCAGCTGTGGCGACGGTGTCATGATGACACATTTAGGGTGTGTCCTGCGCCCCTCATGGGGGGATCAGGAGGAACCACTTTACTCCTCCTAGAGAGGAGGTTGTTCAGGTGCAGGGTTGGGGCAGGACACAGAGCAGGGGCTCCTGCCATCATGGTGGCCATCATTCATCCCAACAGGGTCATTACGGGCACCAGCTCGTGGGGAAGTGGGCCTGCTGGCCTCAGGGCTGGTACATGGGGACCCCTCCTCACTCATCTGCACCCACAGGGGAGGAGGGGAGCACTAGCTGGGGTACTGGCTGACCCCGCAGAAGCAGGTGTTTCCAGGGGGCCTAGAGGTGACCCAGACTGCTGGGAGAGAGGGAGGGAGAGCTGCTGGCAGAGGAGGAAACCCCCCTCCAGGTCCAGGGCATCTGGCTCTCTCCGGTAGCCCCTGAGGGAGGCACACACCTTGCGGGGTCAGCTGATGGGGAACTGGAAGTGGATGAAGAAAATACAAACATGGAGATGAGGACGATTGGGTCGGAGCCACAGAGACGCCGGCATAACCTGCCCTAAGTGGCCCTGGCTCGTGGCCTCACTTAGTGAGGAATGAGGGCAAGTTATGCCCCTCGAGGGCAAAAGGCCTGCACTGCACCCCTGAGCCGGAGCAGGCCAGGCCCCACTTAGGTTCATTGCCACATCCCTGCCTATGGTCCATTCAACGAGCCGGCTGGGACACAGAGAGTGGTGGGTTTCCCTGTGCTCAGAGAGTCCTTCAACATCCCGGTGGCAGGCGGGGAAGCAGGTCCCACAGTCAGCCCTAGCCGGCAGGGATGGCGGGCAGGAGTCCTGAGTGTCCCCCACACCCAAGCATCACCAGGGTCTGTGAGTACATGGGGCCTCCCTAAGGCGCTCTCACCAAAACTGTCTCATTCAAAGCTCAGGACACTGCAGGGAGGTGGCTGTGGCCCTGGGGATGGGATGTGAGGAGGTGAGGACTGTGGTTCCACTTTGCTGATGGGAAAACGAGACACAGAGCATCAGAACACTGGCCACAGTGCAAATCCACAGCCTCCACTCACATAGTGCAAGTCCCCAGCCGCCCCTGCCCCCCATGCGGGCCTACAGCCGAGGGAAAAGGCTAGGAAAGTGGCTGCCGCAACCCCAGGCTGTCCCAGCCCTCCTCGTCAGGCTGCCTTGGGTTCTGGGCTGCCTCAGCCATCAGCTTCACATTATTGGGTAACCAATAATCACCCGGATGTGGGCTCCACAGGACTCAGCAGACAGTGAGTCTCGGACCTGCACATTATCTCTACCGTCCTGGGAGATTTAGGCTAAATTTTGGTATATTCAGTGGGCTTTGCTCTCCTTCATGTCTGCTTCAGCCAGCTGGCACGCATCTGGGTTTTAATTAATCAGTAGCCTCTGAAATGATAAAATACGACCTTCATAGAAGTAACCTGCAGAAACAGAGATCAGAACATTGCCTGGAGTCAGTTCTTACAAAGCAAAGGTGGTTGCAAGATGAGGCATTTGTGAATCATTCCTGTCTGCTCTTCCGGAATCCTATGCTGCTTAAGAAAACACATGGCATTTACAAATCAGTCTCTCAAGAATCAGTCTTCAAGGCCCAGCACCCCTGCTCCTGAGGAGGCCAAACACCTCCAGAGCTAGGAACATGGGCTCCAGGACCAAGTTCTGCTGCTTCTGCTGGTTACAGGAATGGGCAAATTGCTTGACCCCCTGCCTGGATCTGGACCAGGTGCCAACGCTCACGCCTGCAAAAGGATTGAGATGCTACATATTAAACAGCAGGAACCACATCTGACATACGGCAAGTGCTCACTAAATGTCAGCTCACATCTCAAGGTGTGGCTGCAGCATTTCAACAAGTGTGTCCTGAGCATCAAAACAGGTAGCCCAGCAAAAGACCAGATGACTTTCCGACACAACCAGTGGTTTCGCTCAAGAGCAAAGGAGGCTTCTGTCTCTTCCCGCAAAGGCAGAGTCAACGTGGTAGTTCCGGAAGATGGACGCACATGAGTATGTGAGCCTGGTGTGATTCATGCCAGGGGATTGTGGGTCCACTGTGTGCCCATTTAGGACCCAGGAAACCTGCCAAAGATGTGGGGAAGGAAAGACTTGTGCACCATTGAATTACTAGTTTTTGAATCACATGGTGGAAAAAAAGAAAAAAACAAAAACATTAGCAAGTTTTTCAAGCAATAACAACGGTGCAAGTGCCGGGGTCTGAGCAGGCCTGGAGGTTACAGGGATTTCTCGGGGACCTCCCTCCCAGCATAATGACAGCAGGTTCAGAGGAACCAGATCTGCACTGTTGTAAAACCTGACACAATAAACTTGACAGACAGCCAGATTTCTGTTTTCAGCCAGTTTAGGGTTACTCTAATCTCATTATAATGCTTGAAAGATGACAAGTAATAGAATCTCAGGTAACCGCTCTGGCGCTACTCGGCCACATCCTCCTTGGTGCTGACTTCCTTGATTACCTGGCCACTGAGGCTCAGTTTTCAACTCCTTCTCCTGCAGAAATAATCATCTGATCAGCTGACAAGGTTCTCCCTGGAGCCCACAGTTTTAATGGGTCAAGCATCGCATTAACCCTTTCGCCCCGTCCCCCGAGCATACCACACTTATTAAAAAGAAATTTACTTTTCAATCATTGTTAGCGTGGTGATGGAGCAGGAGCTGCTGAGCAGGCCGCCCCGGCTCTCTTCCTCAGCGTCTAGGCTTTTAGAATTGTTCTATGTCCTTTCAGCCAACACAAAGGCAGGCGTTCAAAGCCAGGCCTCTTAAAAGTGTTCTTTCGGTTGCTTTCATAACCTGGAAGACGATGGCACCAAATACTTGTGGGTATTTTATATTCTGTTCAAAGACAATAGAGTGAAGTTTGACAAAAGCTAGATGAATTATGAATTGCACGTTATGGAAAAACCCGTCTATTAGAAATGTGACTCATTTCCAATGAAACGAGTGCCTTTTCCAGGGAAAAAGATTTCCTGGGAAGCGTGGCTTTCACAGCTTTCCTTGCAGCGCCGTCACAGTTGGTGCTGCCTGAAAGGTCTGACGTTGAAACCAAAGCCAGGGCTGTGGACAGCCAGACCCCCGGGATGCTTCTCACAGGAGCGCCACCTTGATTTGAATGGGAGGTGAGCTGAGTGCTGGAGCTGTTGTCTGTGCTCACCACCGTCCACTTGTCTCTGAGAACACAGAGGGCTTTGGCTGGGCTCAAGGATGCTGCGCATGAGCTTGGACTTGATTCGAGATCACTTTTACTTTACCCCAAGGCTACAAGTAAGCCCTGCAGAGGATAAACGTGAGACAAGCATGCCCGTGGGCAGAGTAGCTCTGCGTGGCTCCTCTATGTCTTCCGGTGATGCACACCACGTCTGGGGCCTGGCAGCTGAGGTGCAGTGAGATGCCCTCCCTCTAACTCTGAGGATCCCAGAATGGGGGCTCAATGCCTTTTGTACACGTGGCCAGGACACCTTATGCTATTGGATGAGTTTAGAACGCTGCCACTCAGTGAGTCATGCCACCTGGACTTAGACAAATTTCAAGGCTTCCAAATTCCTGCTGTGCCCACAACACGTAGGGTCCCTTTCCCTGCACCTGCACTAAGGGTCCAGGAGTTCTTGGTTTGCACCCACGCTGGGATGTCCTGGGGCAGCCCCAGACGATCCTGTCTGAGCATAAAGACCCAATCATCCTGATGTCCCTAGTTCAGCATCAAAGATCCACGGCACGCCAACAGGGTGAGCTATAAGCAATTGTGAGCAGATGGGTACAAAACAATCCTATTTGAGAATGGTCTACCACTGTGCTATGGACTGAAATATGGTTCCCAAAGTTCACCTGTGGAAGTCCTGACCCCGGTGTGATGGTCCCTCTGGAAGCCCTGACTCCAAGTGTGATGGTTCCTGTGGAAACCCTGACTCCCAGTGTGATGCTATCTATGGAAACCCTGACCCCCGTGTGATGGTATCTGTGGAAGCCCGGACCCCTGTGTGATGGTATCTGTGGAAACCCTGACCCCTGTGTGATGGTATCTGTGGAAACCCTGACCCCTGTGTGATGGTATCCGTGGAAACCCGGACCCCTGTGTGATGGTACCTGTGGAAACCCTGACTCCCAGTGTGATGGTATCTGTGGAAGCCCTGACCCCCATGTGATGGTCCCTGTGGAAGCCCTGACTCCCAGTGTGATAGTATCTGTGGAAACCCTGACCCCTGTGTGATGGTATTTATGGAAGCCCTGACCCCTGTATGATGATATTTGTGGAAGCCCTGACCCCCATGTGATGGTATCTGTGGAAGCCCTGACTCCCAGTGTGATGGTATCTGTGTAAACCCTGACCCCTGTGTGATGGGATCTGTGGAAACCCTGACCCCTGTGTGATGGTACCTGTGGAAACCCGGACCCCTGTGTGATGGTACCTGTGGAAACCCTGACTCCCAGTGTGATGGTATCTATGGAAACCCTGACCCCCATGTGATGGTCCCTGTGGAAGCCCTGACTCCCAGTGTGATGGTATCTGTGTAAACCCTGACCCCTGTGTGATGGGATCTGTGGAAACCCTGACCCCTGTGTGATGGTACCTGTGGAAACCCGGACCCCTGTGTGATGGTACCTGTGGAAACCCTGACTCCCAGTGTGATGGTATCTATGGAAACCCTGACCCCTGTGTGATGGTATGTGTGGAAGCCCTGACCCCTGTTTGATGGTATCTGTGGAAACCCTGACCCCCATGTGATGGTACCTGTGGAAGCTCTGACCCCTGTGTGATGATATTTATGGAAGCCCTGACCCCTGTATGATGATATTTGTGGAAGCCCTGACCCCCATGTGATGGTCCCTGTGGAAGCCCTGACTCCCAGTGTGATGGTATCTATGGAAACCCTGACCCCTGTGTGATGGTCCCTGTGGAAGCCCTGACTCCCAGTGTGATGGTATCTATGGAAACCCTGACCCCTGTGTGATGGTACCTGTGGAAGCCCTGACTCCCAGTGTGATGGTATCTGTGGAAGCTCTGACCCCTGTGTGATGGTATCTGTGGAAACCCTGAATCCCAGTGTGATGGTATCTGTGGAAGCCCTGACCCCTGTGTGATGGTATCTATGGAAACCCTGACCCCTGCGTGATGGTACCTGTGGAAGCCCTGACTCCCAGTGTGATGGTATCTATGGAAACCCTGACCCCTGTGTGATGGTACCTGTGGAAGCCCTGACTCCCAGTGTGATGGTATCTGTGGAAGCTCTGACCCCTGTGTGATGGTATCTGTGGAAACCCTGACTCCCAGTGTGATGGTATCTGTGGAAGCCCTGACCCCTGTGTGATGATATTTATGGAAGCCCTGACCCCTGTATGATGATATTTGTGGAAGCCCT